>NC_000007.14:121294657-121597688 GCF_000001405.40 Homo sapiens | reverse complement strand
AATACAAAAAACTAGCCAGGCATAGTGGTAGGCACCTGTAATCCCAGCTACTCCAGAGGCTGAGGCAGGAGAATCATTTGAATCCAGGAGATGGAGGTTGCAGTGAGCCAAGGCCATGCCACTATACTCCAGCCCAAGCTACAAGAGCAAAACTCTGCCTCGAAGAAAAAAAAAAAAAGATATGTTATTCTGATACTTGTTAAAATGATAAGAAACACTTTATTTAAGACTATTGCAATAGGAGAGAGATACTGAGCTCAAATCTAAGTGCAGCAAAGAGCTGAAAATTTATAGCCAGAGTGAGGGGGTAAGTAGATGTAAAATTACTAAGAGGAGAAGTGAAGGACAGAGGCATTGATATTCAACCGGCTTACTCTTAGCAGGATTCTTATTAAAGGTAGGGTAACGACTTAGATGTCAATGGTCAGGGATGAGCAATCTGATATATATCAAGGGTAGGGGACTGTTTCTTAACTGACTTATCAGGATTCTTGCTAAGACTAAGTCAAGGTCAAGACCTAGTTGAGAAGATGGCTAACGACTGGTCAACGAGGTCACCTTTGTCACCATAGACACTGTTTTTTATTTTGCTCTGCTCTTTTCTTTTAACCAATAGCATCTACCCCTAAAAATTCTTTTTCTGGCTAACTGACAAAACCAGTATATGGTGGAAAGAGTAATAATGATAAGGTATGGTAAAATTTACAAGTTTTGCGGACTTTGGAAGATTTTCTAACAGTTTAAACACAATAAAATAATGTACTTCTCTGATTTCTAAAATATTTTTAAGAAAAAAAGTTTGTTCCCTATGAAATGTCAAAAATGAAATGATTGTCCTCACATCTGTCAGAAAATTGTACCGATTTTGATCTTAGTTTATCCACTTCCTGCACAAACAGAAAGCATGAAATAGTGTTTCTACTAAAAATGGTGGAGCTTTGCTTTAATCTGTCTCCTCTCAATTTTAAAAACAAATTCCTACGAGCCAAAGAAAACATATCATTTTGAAAATGTAGTTTATTTTTCAAAAATGTTATTATTTCCTTCATCACACAGTATGAGGTTTCATGTGGTAGCTCATGTAATTTTTACAGCTAAACATGTGGTCTGAGGACAAAATAGTCATGGTCCATAGAAAGCTTGGAAATTTAATATGATGGCATCTGCTGCTTCACTTAAATGGGCTAATACTGATTTT
This sequence comes from Homo sapiens, assembly GCF_000001405.40. Classification (NCBI taxonomy): domain Eukaryota; kingdom Metazoa; phylum Chordata; class Mammalia; order Primates; family Hominidae; genus Homo; species Homo sapiens. The sequence continues at coordinate 121,596,490 of NC_000007.14, read as the reverse complement.
CTCATCTCTCTGGGGAAGTGTATGAAAGAATCTCCATGACTGAAGTATCTTGGGGCACTATTCTTCATAGGAACAAAGTGAAAAGAAACAAGTTCATGTAACATTTACTAGCTTTAAAAATATTTGGTGCTAAATTCTGATTGCTAATTTGCATTCATACTTATATTTAGTTATGGAAGGGTTCAGTTCTCTCTTTATGCACCTTGGCTTCTGGCCGTAAGTAAGGCGGATACCATTTTTTTTTTTTTGTCTTGGAAAAGATGTTGGGATTTGAGGTTGGGCCAAGAAAAGCTAAAGAGGCTAGGAAGCACTTACAGATGGAGATAATTAGCATATTAAAAATAGGCCAGCCAGACCTTCTTTTTTTTTTTTTTTTAAATCAGGAAGTAGAGGGGTAAATGCTCTTTCTGGCAAGACTATAGAAGCTGTGCGGATAGAGGAAATGTGATTCAAACTCTGGTACGAGAATGGTATTTTACTTGAACCAGGTTTCAAAAGACTAGAGCAGGAGTTCCTTTTACTGAAAACCATGGAGTTGGCGGGCTTTTTAGGGGCCTCCCTTGAAATTCTGCTCCAAGAGTACTGTTTTGAATTTTGTTTGAAAGTCTTAGAATGGGAAAAGCTTGGTTTCAGAAGACACAGGATAAACACCATGAACTCAATTGCTTTCTAATGCATGGAGAGGAAGTGGCATTTCTGATATTACCTCCATTCAAGGGGGATTATAGAAGGAGGCAGTAGGTGGGAACCAAGGCCCTAGAACAAAACCACTCTGGCTTCATGAGCCATTTTGCCAATCCTAAAGCAAAGGTCCAAGGCTGGTCTGGGATTCAGGTTTTATCAATGGGGTATGCTTAATTGCCAGATAGTTTACTGTGGTTTCCTGAAGTTCAAATTCACAGAATCGGCCCTTTGGATCATATATTCCACTCATTCTCTGAAGGCTACTGTTATTTACAAGAGACTTTAGGGATATCTGTCCTAGAGCAGTACTTCTCATTGGGTGATATGGACACTGATGGTTGAATGCAGAATTAACTATGTGGGCCAGGGAACTTACAATATTTAACAATTAACAATTTTTCAGTTTCCATGGTCTTCAGCAAATATGCCTAGCCATCACCTGCTGACTATATTTACCATGGATTTTACAAATACAAAATGTTAGTAACTACTACAGTGTAAAGTTTCTTTTTTCCTTCTACAGGTAATTATATAGTGTAAAAATGTAGGAAGGGATTACTGAATTTCTAAAAAGAGTTCAAAAATAACAAGAAAACGCATTAGCCTGGGATAATTTCACTGCTGACCTACCTAGGAAAAGAGCTTAGACCAAAGGACTCTTTTCATCCCTTCAGTGGCTCTAACTCTATCTTTAAATATGAAGGCTCTCCTTCTTCTGGGTCTTGGGTTTGTCACCAGGTAGAATACTTCAAATAATAGATTTTATCCCTATCTCTACCCCAATTCACATTAAAGAGAAATAGTTTCCTTCTTTCTTTGTTAATCAGTCAATAGTTTTCAAATATCCTAAAGTTATACATATTTTTAAACTAACTATTCATAGAGTGGTAATTCTCCCTAACTCAAGGTTTGCCTTTCTGGGAGGAGTATTGACTCATTTACAGGAGGTATGGGATTTTTTTTAAATAATAGGAGCAGGGGAGATACTCCTGGAACCCTTGGGTTACCTCCTGATACTTGCCTTCTCTATTGCAATTTTGAATGGACATGTGCAGTAACCCTAATCTGAGAAGAGTATAATTATGAAAGACTCAAATAAAGCTTTTGGTCACACCACCAGGTAAGTTTCTCAGATCTGCTGAGGTGATAGCTCAGGGTAGCAGGGAGGAGATTTAGAATGGTTAGGGGATGAGAGAGATGAAACCAGTTACTGCTCTGAAACAAACTGCATCAATAGATCGTTTAGTACATCTCACTAACTTCCCTCTTCTGAATTTCCTGTCAGAAACAGGCCCATGGGAAACATGGGGGACCTGTTTTCCAAAGCTGTGTGGAGAGGTATTTCCCAGTAGAACAAGATGTGGACTGCAGCAGCCAAGGAAATATCGACTCAGATCTCCTTAAAGAAAATCTGTTGCAGCAAGCATAGTTGACTGACAGCCCAGATGCTGCACCTCTGCATCTCCCACCATGCTTCCCCTGGGCTCTCACTGCCAATGACTGAGCATGACGTATGTTTTCCTGCTAGCCACGGGATGCAGGACACCTCAAATGGGCAACTTTGGCTTGAGGACTCCCTAGCAATCTGGACAAAATGTTCTCAGAACTGTACCACAGTCTGACTTTTCCTAATCAATTCTTTTCTTTTGCCACTCTTCTTTTCTGTTTATAGGTGAACAGTCTAAAGTCTTGTCCCGCTCATTCCTGCTTCTTCCTTTTCATCCCCTAATAAGTTTCTTGAATATCTAATCTTATCTGACATCTACCTCTCAGAGAACCTGAATGAACCCTGAATGCTATCAGTTTCTAGACTGAAGAGGCTCTCTGAAGTTCCGATAAAGTAAAAAAAAAAAGAAGGATATCCTTACAAGCACATTGTCATGTAACTGCAATATCAGGAATAAAGAAAATAACTTAATATCCTGCAAAGGGGATTAAAAAAGTAAAAATCAGGAGTCACATATAAAAATGTGTTTGGATTTCTCAATGACAATTCTGGAAGCTTGAAAATAATGGAGCAACACCATATATGACCAAGAGTCAGGGATAAGAATAAAGACATTATTTGTCATCCAAATTCTCAAAATTTCTCTTTTTTTAGAAAGCAATTGGAAGCTGGACACAGTGACTCAGACCTGTAATCCCAGTACTTTGGGAGGCCAAGGTGGGCAGATCATTTGAGGTCAGGAGTTCGAGACCAGCCTGGCCAATGTGGTGAAACCCCATCTCTACTAAAAATACAAAAATTAGCCAGATGTGGTGGTGGGCACCTGAATTTGCAGCTACTTGGGAGGCTGAGGAAGGAGAATCGCTTGAACCCAGGAGGTGGATGTTGCAGTGGGCCAAGATTGTGCCAGGGCATTCCAGCCTGGGTGACAAGAACAAAACTCTGTCTCAAAAAAGAAGAAAAAAAAAAAACACAAGCAATTGGAGGATGTGTGTCACTAAAATGAAAAAAATAAAAGAAAAAGAAAGTAAAAGAAGACAGAATTCAGAATTTAGCATATCCAATTCAAGAAAGAGTTGAAGGGAAAGAACTGAAGAGAAATTCTAGAGCAATAGTCATGCAGCTGACCCAAAGAAAAGCTGTGTCCAGGGTAGAATGAGAATATGGTCAGAAGTTTCCAGGAAAAACATGGAATAGATATGTCATCTGTTGGTTTGATTATGTGAAAATAGGATTAGATTTTATTGATTCATAGACACTTTATGAAAGGAATACAGAGAAAGGGACATAGAAAAATAAATAAATGAAAAATGAGGCAATCGCTAACATGAGGAAAAAAACAAAAGTGTTTTTAAGAAAGGATATATAATCATGATACACTCTAGGATTAGCAGGAATTAATGCTTACAATTTATAATAATGAGTAATCAGTATGAATAACGAGTAGACAAAGAAAGTGAAGAAACTAGACTTTCATCTTGAGAAGCATTAATATGAAATAATATATAAAATATCTAGCACTATAAAACTAAAACATGGCAGTATAATAATATAATTTAGAAAAACAAGTAAATACCTCAAAAAATTGCTGATGAGTCTGTGTGCTTCATTAGACAGCAGAGTCAGGGTGAAAGGGTCAAGCAAGGCACTGTTTTTAAAAAATGCAATATTTGAGTTTATAAACCGTGTACACGTTCCTACATTTTCACAAAATTAAAAGTTTTAATTGAAAATGAGAAATAACGAGCAAAAAACACAGATACATATTTTGGGGAAATTATTTAGGGGAAATTTTTCTGCTCCAAGCTTTCTAAATGTGAAGTATAATTAGTTTGGCTCTCCTCACTCTACCTCATTAAAAACGGAGTTCTGGCAGTTATATCAAAGTGAGATATGGGGCTGTTATGAACTGAATGCTTGTGTCCCCCACATTTATACATTAAAGCCCTAACCCCAATGTGATGGTATTTAGATATGGGGCCTTTGGGAGGTGCTTAGGTTTCCATGAGGTCATGAGGGTGGGGCCCTATGATGAGATTTGTGCCCTTATGAGGAGAGACACTAGAAAGCTTGCTCAGCCCTTGTGAGGAGAGACACTAGAAAGCTTGCTCACTCTCTCTCCCTTTCTCCCTCCATAAAGAAGTCACATGAACACACAGTGAGATGGCTGCCATCTACCAGCAATGAAGAGAGCCCTCGCCAGAAACAGATGGTGTTGGCACCCTGATCTAGGACTTTAGAATTGTGAGAAAATAAACTTCTGTTGTTCGTGCCACCCAGTCTTCGGTATTTACTTTGGCAGCCCAAGCCAACTAAGACAGGAGCCCACAGGCAGGTGCCATTATATGTTTGATCAAATGTGTCATAATAATAGCTATCCAAAATGTGTTTTCTTTCAGAATTGTATACATTTTAGCAAAGGAAAGTAACAAATTAACATTAGAAAAGCATTGCGATCTCAATATCTATCAGAAATATTGCCTCTAAAAAAGCATTAAAACGACTGTCAACGTTTTAAAAAATATAACACAAGGAATATGGTATTCTAGCATGTCCTTGGCTAAATTATGGTAGTTGTTGAAAAATGCCCCCTTAATACTGGTTACTACATCTCTGACCAGCTAAGGAATACACATTCTTCTTTTGTTAAGTTGTCCTGTGCCCAAAAGATAGGGTCAACACCTTCAAATGTAAATTAGTCTACCAGTTAATTATCTCATTGTATCAAGATTTGGATCAAATAATTTCCAGAGGGAAAGAAAAGATTGGCTTGATTCTGTAAACCACTGATGATATTGAAACTTGAAACTTGGTTTTACATTTATTTATTTATTTATTTATTTATTTATTTATTTATTTATGTTTTTAACTCTGTTTCTCATTTGAATATCCCTAGTGAGAAGTCTGACCTGGGGTAGCATGTGTGGAAATAAATACTACAAGCTTATTTTTACTGTAATTCAAACTTGGTTAAAAATTTTAAAAAGCATAGATCACAAACATAATGATAGTTAATGAGAAAACTTGAAATATGAGAATTCAAAGTACTAAGCTGGTCACGAAGCTGTAGTAAGGATAAAAAAGAGGCAATATTTATATATTAGTTACCATAAAGTTATAAACAACATAAAAAGCACCCGGAGGCAGGTCTAAATTCCAGTTTTATTAAAATTTATTAAACTGGAATATCATGTCATCCTGAACAGAGTTTCTATGTAGCTTGTTTATGAAGAAGGATGCAAGGAGATAACTTTGCCATGACACCCTGGCAGTCTTGTACACATCCATCTAGATGAACACTTGAACTGCAGCTTACCTGTGTCTGGGCAGAACACCTTGTGATCCTCATGTAATAAGAGAGGATGGAGGGTCTGAAGCCACCTCCTACTCACCTCCCTATCTCCTCTGGGAGACTCTAATGACAAGAGTTTCTCATCAACTCCTAGACTTGGAGGAAGTATGGGGCCTTCTGTTCCACCGTCTCAGAATGAAGCTGCAGAATATAAGGCCACTTCTCTGTGGTCTAGAATTGGCTCCTCAACTATGGGTGCCTCACGACTCACAGTGCAGCCATCCAGCCCCTTTGATTTGGGTGGTGTTGGGGTTTTATTGTTTGTTTTTGGTTTTCTGGTGTGTAAAACAAGGATCACAGGGAGCTGGCAATTTTGGCATACTCTCCTCTTCACTGTTTATGTAAGTTACAAACTGTCTAAATCTAAGAGTGGCTCCTTGTATCTTTACCCAGCCAATGAGTCGAGCCTTGAACTTGACCTTGCCTTGCTTTGTGTTTGTAACAAAGAAGCCATCAAAATTTTTCTAACTACAAAAGCATTTTAGTTTTGTTCATATGATTTACCTCTTAAACTTAAGGTTGTGCTACCTCAAAGCTTCTTTATTAAAAATTTTATTTTGGTAGAATATTTGTTATAGAACATTGTATTTGCCTATATGAAATGATAAACTATCTATGAGAGGAAAAAATGCCTATATGAAATGATAAATTATCTATGAGAGGAAAAAATTCACTATGAGAGGAAATAGTTAATTAATTCAATTAACTAATTGATTAATTAATTAACTAACCTTGTGATAATGAACCTATGGACTGATGTCCTTATAATTAATCTCACTGCTTTATAACTTGAGTAAATTCTACTGCTACAGAGGGAATTTTTTCTAGACTTTCTTTTCTGGGGATTGAGTAAATAAAACAAATGATTTTACCATAAATCCAGTTTTCAAAACACCATAGAAATCTTCACTTTTTCACATGCCAGCTTGACTAAACAGACTTTAACTAAACAGTAAGAAGATTCAACTTGAATTTTTGAATTAGATAGTGGGAAGATGCAATACAAGGGACAGGAATCCAATCCTTGAATGTTGATGAGTTTTCTTGCTGTGACTAGTTTGGCAGATGAGAAATAGTTGCAAAAACTTCAAGTCGGTTAATGCAAGACTATCTGATTATTGAATAACATACTGAGGATGAGAGGGGTTTTTTAATGCTTATCATTATCAATTTAATTTGCATTTGCTATATTCACTATTTTCTTCCAAACATAGAATTTAAACTGAAACCATAGGCTAAAGGAGGCACAGCACCCTTGAGTTAATGCAGAAAACATTATAGAGATTGCTCCATCTATCTACAATTTCTCTGTCTGATATCTACCCATCAAAGTGATAAAATATTTACATTCATCCATCAATTCAAACAACATGATTCCCTTACCTCCTTGTATATATTCCTATTCCCTTACAAAATATGTAAGTTATTATTATTTCAAAGTGCTTATAAATACTAGCAGTTCTATTTTTGTTTTATGGGAAATTCTACTTTAACACCATGGAGTAAAATACCTGACAAAATGATTGTAGAAACCAATTTGCATTCAGGAAGGTCGATGAGCTATGTACTTGCTTGCACCTCTGAGATAATATCTGTTGCTGAATCCTCTTAAGGTATGTAAACCAAAAGTATCTGAGATAGGCCTTAAACAATTTGGAAAGTTTATTTTGCCAAGGTTAAGGATATGCCTGTAACACAGACTCACAAAGTCCTGATCTGTGCCCAAGGTGGTTGGGGTTTTATACATTTTAGGGAGACATGAGACACCAATCAATACATGTATCATGTACATTGGTTCACTCCATAAAGGTAGGACAACTCGAAGTGGGGTGGGGGACCAGGGGGTGGCTTCTGGGTCACAGGTAGATTTTTAAATTTTCTGATTGGCAATTGGCTGAAAGAGTTATTATCAATAGAAAGGAATGTCTGGCTTACAATAAGGGATTGTGAAGACCAATGTCTTATACAGCAGATGAAGCCTACAGGTAGCAGGCTTCAAAGATAATAGATTATAAATGTTTCTTATCAGACTTAAAGAGGCTGGTCTATTAGTACTTCCAAAGGGGAGGAGGATATAATGAGGCATGTCCAAGTCCTCTTTCCCATCATGGCTTGAGCTAGTTTTTTCAGGTTAACTTTAGAATGCCTTTGGCCAAGAGGAGGGATCTATTCAGATGGTTGAAGGACCTTAAAATTTTATTTTTGGTTTACATTTGTATGGTTCAACTTCTTCCTTCTATCCACCAAATCTACAACAGCAAAAATCCATCCAGATGCTATTTTTTCATCCTCCACCTGTTACTAGGTAGTGAAACCCAAAATAATATGCACATTTGGGAATCAAGAGAAATGTCGAATCTATATGAAATGATAAACTATCTATGAGAGGAGAGAAAAGTCAAGAGAGAAGTTGAATCTTCCCAGGATCCAAAGAAATTCTAGTGCTGCATGTCTTCAAGATGGTAATATACAGACTATTCCAGTGTCAATCGAGGCTTAGAAGTGACTGTCCAAAGCAACTATCACATAAAGAAGTAGTTTTTAAACATCCCCATGCACTCAGAAATGAACCAACAAAAAGTAAGACAAAATGAGAAACATTGCTGTGTGTGAAATGAGGGATTTGAAGCTTTAAGGAATTCTATTAATCCAATATTCTGTCACTCAACCATGTTCTTTCCCATTTTATAGCTTTAGCATTAAGTTAGATAGGAAGGAAAATTAATCCTGGGTATGGCAGGGGAAAAGTTTTCTAGGTTATTATTTGCAGGTCATTTAAACTGTCTATACAGATGATTAAAATGAAGTCTCTGGCCTAGAAAGAAAAACCTATGTAAATGAAAAGGCCATTGACTCCTCCTCCCCAAATAGAAGTAAGAAAGAGAAAGGAAAAGGAAGAAGAGGAAGAAGTAACTAAGAGCCTAGAAACATGAGAAACAGGTAAATGTGGGATTAAAAGAAGCCAGAATTACAATAATAATTCTTAATATTTAGCCAAGGCTTCTGTAACACTACCATATTGCAAAACATGTTGGGCCTAGTACCTTACTTAATATATGGGAGGCATCTATTGGCTCCTTTGTAAAGAAATTGTCTCCAGTCTGCACAAATGCACCTTACAGTGGAGACAGAAGTTGAAGCTTGATCTCTGACTCCAGGGCCAGTGGTTTGGAGTTTATAACTCTGCAAGTGTTTATAATCTGGAGCTTTAAAATCTGCCACACTGATGGCTTGATTTAAATTAGCAACCCACCATGATTGCTGTTGGGAGCAATCCACCACGGGTATTCTCTATTCAATGAGCAGCCAGTGAACTCCAATGAATTGTGAGGTTTTGGCCTGTCACTGGCAGTCAGAGAGCAGGGACTCTGGCTCTCATGTGGCCACAAGGGCTAGAGGGAAATGTCCTTAGGCTGTTCCCACATAAAAATCTGTACTTTTTTAAGGGAAAGAAAATACCAATATGACAACAAATGAAGTGGCGTCGTTGTCTAGGGTAAATACCCGAGGTTTGTCATCTCATGCCAAGGGAATTGAGACACAGACGCACAAGAAGTGAGATTAAGAGCAGAGGTTTAATAGGCGAAAGAAAGAGAATAGCTCTCTCCCACAGAGACAAAGAGGCGCCCCCGAGTGGGTCTTCCAGTTCCATGGTGAAAAGCACAGGGTTTTCTTGTAAATTTGTTTGAGTTCATTGTAGATTCTGGATATTAGCCCTTTATCAGATGAGTGGATTGCAAAACTTTTCTCCCATTCTGTAGGTTGCCTATTCACTCTGATGGTAGTTTCCTTTGCTGTGCAGAAGCTCTTTAGTTTAATTAGATCCCATTTGTCAATTTTGGCTTTTGTTGCCATTGCTTTTGGTGTTTTAGACATGAAGTCCTTGCCCATGCCAATGTCCTGAATGGTATTGCCTAGGTTTTCTTCTAGGGTGTTTATGGTTTTAGGTCTAACATGTAAGTCTTTAATCCATCTTGAATTAATTTTTGTATAAGGGGTAAGGAAGGGATCCAGTTTCAGCTTTCTATATATGGCTAGCTAGTTTTCCCAGCACCATTTATTAAATAGGGAATGCTTTCCCCATTTCTTGTTTTTCTCAGGTTTGTCAAAGATCAGATAGTTGTAGATATGTGGCATTATTTCTGAGGGCTCTGTTCTGTTCCATTGGTCTATATCTCTGTTTTGGCACCAGTACCATGCTATTTTGGTAACTGTAGCCTTGAAGTATTGTTTGAAGTCAGGTAGCGTGATGCCTCCAGCTTTGTTCTTTTGGCTTAGGATTGACTTGGCAATGCAGGCTCTTTTTTGGTTCCATATGAACTTTAAAGTAGTTTTTTCCAATTCCATGAAGAAACAAACAACCCCATCAAAAAGTGGGCGAAGGATATGAACAGACACTTCTCAAAAGAAGACATTTATGCAGCCAACAGACACATGAAAAAATGCTCATCATCACTGGCCATCAGAGAAATGCAAATCAAAACCACAATGAGATACCATCTCACACCAGTTAGAATGGCGATCATTAAAAAGTCAGGAAACAACAGGTGCTGGAGAGGACGTGGAGATATAGGAACACTTTTACACTGTTGGTGGGACTGTAAACTAGTTCAATCATTGTGGAAGTAGTGTGGCAATTCCTCAGGGATCTAGAACTAGAAATACAATTTGACCCAGCCATCCCATTACAGGGTATATACCCAAAGGATTATAAATCATGCTGCTATAAAGACAGATGCACACGTATGTTTATTGCGGCACTATTCACAATAGCAAAGACTCGGAACCAACCCAAATGTCCAACAATGATAGACTGGATTAAGAAAATGTGGCACATGTACACCACGGAATACTATGCAGCCATAAAAAATGATGAGTTCATGTCCTTTGTATGGACATGGATGAAGCTGGAAACCATCATTCTCAGCAAACTATCACAAGGACAAAAAAACAAACACTGCGTGTTCTCACTCATAGGTGGGAATTGAACAATGAGAACACATGGACACAGGAAGGGGAACATCACACACTGGGGCCTGTTGTGGGGTTGGGGGAGTGGGGAGGGATAGCATTAGGAGATATACCTAATGTTAAATGACGAGTTAATGCGTGCAGCACACCAACATGGCACGTGTATACATATGTAACAAACCTGCACGTTGTGCACATATGCCCTAAAACTTAAAGTATAATTAAAAAAAAAAAAAGCACAGGGTTTTATAGATGAGCTTGAGGAGGCGGTGTCTGATTCACATAGCACACCCATGACCAGGTGTGCCATTTAAACAGCGCACAAAGAGGCTGGCCTCATGTCCCAATCTTTTATTATGCAGATAGGTTCTCTACCTGGCAAGCACCATGTTGCCTGTTCCTTTACTTTTCGTGTGGTTGACAAAGAAAAAGGAAGATGGAGCTTCCATGTTGAACATGCCTGGTCCTGTTAGCCCTTTTCTATTGGCATAGCTGCTGGCATTCACTCGTGCAAGCTTCCATCTTGCTTATCTATGTCTGCAGTTTGATTTTACAGGCTTCTTTTTGTTAGAAAAGAAATGATTTGGGGGCTGCTTTTTATTTAAAGGAAAACCTTACTGAGGGCTCTCTTACCCTCACTATCTGCCTAAATAATTTCTTTTCAAGTCCTATATCACTACTACTACTGCCACTGCAGGGACAGTGAGAAAATCAGACTGAGAAAAGCAGAACTACTGGTTAGAGCAGTGGCCCAGGGTAATAAAGAAAACCTGGGACAATAAAAGAAAAAGAAATGATACAGAAAGCCTGACAGGGAAGTGTTAGTGCCTTTCAAGAAAGAAATCCACTAAAATGAAGTAAAAATTGAAGAACCTCTGGGAGTTCAGAAGGGAAAATGCTGGAGGAATAAAGAATTTCTCCTATTTTGTCTTTCCCTCATGCCTACAGGTAATTGCTACCTGGCACAAACATAAATCATGGGATGAGATCTTACAACACTGCCCTTATGTACTTAGTAGAGGTATTTCATTCCCTGCCCCTGGAAGAAAATGAAAATGTTTGGTCACTACAGTTGTATTGCTAAATAGTTTTGCTTCTTCCATGCAGTCATGTCCCCACCCTTGGAGTATGGTCAGCTTCTCTCTTCTGATCCAATGCTTTTTGTCCTCCTCTCCATTCATTCTTTTCTCCAAGCCTTCATCCATTTTCTGACACTTCCAGGCAAGAGCTGGAGAGAATGGGAGAGCGAAGGAGAGCAAGGATTCTTTGGTCATAGAGCAGCAGCACTACCTGGGCTCGGCTGTTACTTAAAGCTGATTCTACTGAGTGACACTTCAGTGAGTTATTTTACAAATCTACCCAATTGCTTGAAAACATCCACCTGAAATTCTCTGGACCTGGGTATCTCTATGCTATCTGGTTGCTCATGCCTTCCTTAGCCCCTAGCAAGGTAGTAATGTCTCCTACTTCTCTCTGCAGCCCTTTTGGAAAGAACGTAGTATGACTCCAGGATCATACTTTCTCCTCCGTGTCCCACATCTCATCCATAGGAAACATTCACCTGTTCTTAACCCCCAGTGAACCCTAGGAGTGCTGGGGGATCTAACAACCACTGTCCTTCAGCTTGTCTGTTGCAGCTACCCAGCCAATCTTTTACCCTTGAGATTTCTTAGGGGAGACTCAGATAAGAGTCCATTGTGTCCTTCAACCTTGCTAAATACATATCAGACTTTCTAGGCAGTCCAGTTAAAGGTTTGGCTTAAGGTGTGGGGCAGATATCCTGCAGAACTTGCCCTTGTAGGGGGCATGGATTCTTAGTACAGCTCTCTAAAGAAATCTTCCTAAGAAGTAATATGTCAATCTCCTTCTTTACCCTTTTATATTCTTGATAAGAATAAGGAGTTTAAGAATGATCTAGTAGTTCCTCTTACTTTGTAAATCCTGGTCCAGGACTTTAACTTGGAATAAATATCTATTGTTTTGCAACCTAAACTTCCATTCCATTTCATCATCCTGTTACAAGGTATTGCGAATCTTCTATCTTTAGTATTTTCCATTTCTGCATACAACCCAATTTTTCTAGGCTTCACCAGATTGGAAATATAAAATAAAGTTGCAGTCTACTTTTATGCCCAAATTATGATGGCAAGAGCTTCAACTCTTTTGATGACTAGCAATTAGCGCATCTCCAAGTGTCCCCAAGATATTTTAAGGAGTTCTCCAAAAGGGTGCCGCACACAACCCACAGCCCAGTCTGTAACTTCATGGTATCTGCTTTTTCCTTCCTTTCCTACTCTGGCTTATAATTTTCCACATTTTCTGCCTACAGATTTGAGGAGTGCCAGATCATTGCTGGGTTCCAAAGAGAGGTGGAGGAAATAACCTTCTCTCCAATTGTGTGTTGCATTTGGTCACCAGGACTCTGAAATGGCTCTTCTTTTCCAAAAATTAACTTTTGGCCATCTCTTACTTCCCATGAATCTGCCAAATCCCTCCTAAAAAACAGTGCCACTATTTTTCTGACTGCCACTTTTTGGAGCTTGGGCAGTCCAACCCACACTAAAAGCCAGAAACACTCCCATCCTTAGCTCCCCAAAACCACAGACTCTACCACCAAAATTGCTCCTTTCTCTTCCCTCATCCCCAAGTACAAACTAAAAACCTCTGTGCACATTAATAGGTGGAAAGGAAAGGGATACAGAAGTCTCACTAGTGACTTCTGGGCCAATGCTCCACTGCTAAGGATGTCCAATATTATCTTTCTTTTACTTCCTATATTCAAGAGTCATACAGAAAAAAAAAGTGAATGACAATGTATATAGTCTTCTACTGATGGATGTGAAGCTATACAAATATACAAGTTTATAAATTCAAAAAATGTGTCCAGAAAGACCTACAGGAAATTAATTAATAACATGATTGCTTCCACAGTGATAATTTGGTGACTGGGGAGCAGAGATCGAGAGACTTACTTTTCGTTCTATTTCATTTTGCACCTTTTGAATATTTTACATGACCATGTAATTGCTTTTCAAGATAAATTTTAAAAGAAGTCCCAGTAAAAATACTTTCAATTTCATGATTTTTAAAATTATTGCCTGTGTATTTTTGATAACTCCATTGAGAAAGGATTTGTAATGAAAAAAACCCTTCCCTTTATTGTTTGTGATCACGTTGTTAAAAACAGAAATAATCTTTTCTAAAAAAAATATTACTCCGAACTTTTCCCTCTTTACAGTGTTCTATCAAATATAAACTCTTTCAGCAAGTCTCTGTGTCGCTGAGGGGTTTAGACAGTGACAAACTGCAAACACTGGCTGACTACTTATTCTTTTTATAGGGATTTAACATCCCCTGCTGAATACTACCAATGTCCTTTAAATGAACAAACAATTAAAGTTTCAAAACCAGAAGCATGGATTTCAACATTATTATCCCATACATTTTTAATTTAGCCATTTTAAATTTATGTATAGTATTTCTGGAGTGTGCTTATAATGTCAATGAGTAAATGTTCACTTTTCTCTCAGGCTCTGTTTACAAGGTATGTTGTAAAGTAAACACAGAAAGAGCAATCTGTTGTCTTTATGATACTCAAATATTTTTACTGGCAATGAAATGTAACATAGTTTCTCCAGATCCTTAGCAATTGGACTGGTCTGGGGTAGGAAGTTTGCTGGAGAAAGATAAGGTCAATAATTCAGGAAATAATATACATAACCAAAGTGCATGGATGAAAATAAAATACAGTAACAAAATAATCTTCTTCCAGATATCACAGGCAAAAATCACAGAAACCTACACCCTCTGAGAAACTCTCCTCCAACCATGGTTTTAGTATTCACAGATTTTCCTTTTGAGCCTTCCTTCTCACTAACTCTCCTCAACATAGAAATATGTTCAAGTCTCTTCTGCCTTAAACACACTCTCTCTCTCTCTACACACACACACACACACACACACACACACACACACACACACCATTCCGAGAGAGACATACGGACACTGCCACAGACACAGATATGCAGACACAGGCACACACACATTGTCACACACCCACACATGGACACTCACGCACATACACACACACAAATAAGTAGACATAGACATACACACACACACAGACACAGGCATATACAGAAACACTCACAGAGACACAAACTCACATGCAGAGATACACACACAAGCACATGACCCAGAGTGACAGTCTCACACCCACACTGGCCATCTCTAGGGGCTCCCTAGCTGCTGCCCTCTTACTTTCTTTTGCTTTACTACTAAGCTTTCTGAAAAAGAGGTCTACACTTACTACTCCAATTTCTCATCTCTCTTTCACTCCTCTTCCCTCTGCAATCTGCTCCCCATTCCAGCACATTATTAAATCGCTCTTTCTTAAGTCACCGGCAATTTCTTAGTGGCCAAATCCAGGTACACATTTCAGTCTTTAGCTTACCTGACTTCTCTCCTAACACTGACACTGTTAAATAATCTCTTGTTGAAACACATTTGTCAGTTGAATTTCAGAAATTACTCTCCTGATTTTCCTCTTACCACTCCTGATTTGACAATTTTATTATTATTATTATTATTAGTTTAATATATATTATATATCAGGAACTCCAAGGTATGCAAAAGAAACTATTTCTCCTCTGGTAAAGCTTACCAACAAGAAGGGAAGAAAAAACAATAAAATCAGCAATCACCATAAATGATAATAAATGCCCTGACTAGGGAAACACAGTTTGCCAGAGGAAGTGAAGAGACAGAATGGGGGCAACTCACCCTTTTGAGCTGTTGACAAAGATGACTTCCCAGGGAAGTGACATGTAAGTGTAATCTAAAGAGTGAGTAGGGGCCAGGTACAGTGGCTCACGCCTGTAATCCCAGAACTTTCGGAGGCCAAGGTGGGTGGATCACAAGCCCAGGAGTTCAAGACCAGCCGGAGCAATGTGGCAAAGCCCTATCTCTACAAAAAATACAAAAACTAGCTGGGTGTGGTGACGCACACCTGTGGTCCCAACTACTCAGAAGGCTTTGATGGGAGGATCACCTTGAGACTGGGAGGTTGAGGCTTCAGTGAGCTGTGATCATGCCACTGCACTCCAGCCTGGGTGACAGAGTGAGACCCTGTCTCAAAAAAGTAAATAATAAAATTTAAAAGAGAGAGAGATAGTAGGAGTTACCCAGAGAAAAAGATTGTAGAAAAAAAGAAGAGCATATATGGAGGTCGGGAAGTGAGAAACAGCATCCCTCACTGGAGGAACTGAAGTGATTTTATGAGAGCTGAGACATAGGCATTAATAACTATCATCATCGAAGGCTAGTTGGTGCCAGGCTCTAGATTAAGTGCTTTAAGACACAGTGTGTAATTCATTCCAAACAGTGCCATGTGGTAGCTACCATTATCCTGACTTTTACTGAAGATAACAAAAATAGTAGCTAATATATAGGGGTTACTATCTACCAGTTATTGTTATAAGTGCTTGATTTCTATGAATACTTTCATTTATTGAATCTTCATAGCAACCTTATATGGTATATATTCTCTCTCTCTTTCTTTCTCTTTCTCTTTTTTTCTCTCTCCCTCTCTGTGTGTGTTTGTGTACATATGTGTGTCACACAGCTTGTCAGAGGCAGAGCCAGAGGCAAACCCAGACAATCTGTACTACAGGAGTTAGGGGACCTATTGTAAGCGGTGGGACTGAGACTGCAGAAGAGTTTGTTGGCAATAAAGCTCCAGGGTCAGGAGAGAGTGACCAGTGGAAGCCTCAGTGAAGAGGGAGGAGAACAAAGCAGAATGGGCAAATGGCACTGGAAGATGGTGAATCTGCACAGGGACTCTCACCTTAAGAAAGATAAACAACGACAGAAACATAAGACACATTGGCTTTAAAAGCTTCATAATTTTTTTCCATCTAAACTATTTATTCTTGTTAATTTAGATTTCATTGGTGACTAAAACTGATAGAAAATTATCAACCCCAAATTTCTTGAACAATTCTTTGTAAGGGAAATTTTAAAATACACCAATAAGTTGTCATCACTCCTAAGAAATGAAATCCTTCATAGACTCATTAATGTTATAGAATTTATTTGTTGGGAAAACAATGTTCCCTCTATGACCTAACTTTAAAAATAAGAATAACAAAAGTAAACTAAGACATGCCAGAACTAAGCTGTATGCTTTACATGTAGTATCTCATTTAACCCTCAGTGCAAACTACATGTTATCGTCTTCATTTTACAGATGAGGAAACTGAAGTCTACAAGTAACAAAAAACTGGTCTGATGGTGTATCTCATGAGTATAGGAGCCAGAATTCAAACCCCCAATGTCTGAGTCCAAAGCCTGTGTTTGTTCCACATCATTGTACTTCCTTTAGGATCAATAAATGAATCTCAGATGTCCTAGGCTTTGTCCTGCTGAACTGTGTAACTCACACTGTTTTAGGGAGGTGGGATCAATGACTCCATACTTATGCTACCCAGTAACTTTCCATACCCTACTCTGCATAGCATGACACTCAAAGCCCTTACTATTTCTCAAACCAGGCTCAAGCCTTCCCAGCTCATCCCTCACCACTTCTGTTTTACTCTTTGTCCCACTACCATTACTTCAACCCTAAAACCATATTCCCAAAGAAGATGTAAGGTCATAGAAAATTTATCATTAGATAGTCTCAGGTATTTCTTTAAAAACGTCAAATACTATGCACATTATTATCCCAGTTTGAAGAACCACATATATGACCAGAGCAAAAGAATACACACCAAAATATTACCAATAGCTATTTCAGGAAGGTTTTATTTTAAGTGATTTTTATTTTCTTGTTTATACATTCTCTATTTTTTCAATATCATGAATAAAAAATATATTTTAACAATAAAATGTACAACATTTTTATAATAGCTGTTCCACCAGTGTAGCTTTTTTTTCCCCACTGGCATGTTTACCAAGTTCTCTGTCATTTGCTCTAAAAGAGAAAGGAGGTAGTTGGAGCCATAGTGATATTGTCAGGGGTGGATACAGCACATATATCATGGATATTGCCATTTGAGGTGAAAAATTTAAACTGAATCTCTTTTTGTTTAGATAGCCGTACCTCCTCTGGCAGGAAACTTGAGTAATATTGGACTGAGCTGAAACCTCATCATTCATCTCTAGCTTCTAAATTTACAGAGGTGAAATAAAGCACGCTAGGTATCTTAAAGCTCTGTCTCTCAACCAAGGACTCTGGTAAGTGTCTCAGCTGGAAGTAGTTCTCTGTACATCTCTCAGAATCATAATGAAAATAATCTCTCTCCTGGAAATAAATGCATCTGATATAGCGGTCATAAGCACAAAAGGAAAAAATATGATGTCATTAACCATCTTGACCCCAACCAATTGTAACCTCACTTACCTTCATATTATCTTTTTCTTTCTTATTTCAACCTAATGCTATCTGGTTCAAAGTTTTGAGCTCCTAGCACCATTAGAAGCAGTCTTAGCAACATGTAATTTACATGGATAAAGGATTTTAATGCCAAAGAGCTTTACCAAATATCTAATAAGAACCGAAATTTCCAACTTACATTAAAAGAGCAATGCTTTTCCTTGTATTTTTAAATATAGTTTTAACTATAAAGATTGTCCTGTTCCTATACCTTTCTTGAAGATTATCTTGTTCCTATACCTTTCTTGAAGATTATCCTGTTCCTATACCTAAAGAAGATCCTCGTTTATATTAGCATCTCAACTGTCTTCACTACCTTCCGCTAGTCTTCCAGGAGCTCTTCAAAAAGACTCTCAGAGTCACAAAATCTTAAAAGGAACATTAAGATCCTCTGTTCCAACTGCTTCATTTTATTACTGATGAGGAAACTGGAGCCCACAGTGGCTAAGTGATTTGCTTATGGTTACAGACATGATTAGCAGCAGAAGAAGAGATCCAGGTCTCCCGATTCCATATGGGTGCTCCTTTCATCATACCTTATACTATCTCCAAGGAATCAGAAAGTTATTTGCAAGGCAAAGCCTTCTCAAATGAAGCCATTTTTGTGACCATGTCAGAGAAAACTTACCTTTCAGGAAAGCCAAGGCCCATTTATCAAGACTTTCCTGGGTTCTCCTTGAAACTGAAGGTCTCTATGACATTAATAGTAGCCATTCATTAAAGGGCTACTGACTGCCAAGTTATAATATGCATCATCTCCATCTTCAAAGAAGTCTTCAGAGTATCTACTGAAATCCCCAATTCACTGATAAGGAGACTGTACCGTTAACAGGCTTAAGCAATTTGCCTAAGATCCTACAGCTGAAAATAGTAGAGTCAGGATTTAAACCTAAGTCTTAAATGCCTTTTGATACAGGTTGCTTCCATGATGCCAAGTCTTAACTCCAAGGACAAAATAATTTACCTATGCTGCTTTTTGAAACATAGAAAAAAAACCTTAGGGTCTGCAACAAAACATAATATCCGTAGTATACTACTCTTGACTTCATTCATTCATTCATTCATTCACTCATCAGGCATTGAAAACACGGACATTAATGCAATATTTCAGAAAGAAGCCTAAAGTAAACATACAGAATGTTCAGTAGAGCAAACGAATTTCGCAGCTTTTGGTTACTTAATTTATTAAATACACTTACTTAATATGTTGTTCTGGGCTGTAAACTCAAGAGAAAAGGGAACTTAAAAAGGACTCTGAAGACAGCAAGATGATTAAATGGTTGGAAAGCAAAGAAGGGAATTATTTTGTCAACTCAAGAGGAAGCAACATAATAATAGTTTTCCAGTGTATGAAAGATTGTTATCCTGACAATGATGACAGACCGTTTTCCATTTCCAAACAAAATTAGACAAAAAAAAAAAAAATAATGAAACATGAAAAGTTTGGCTAAATACATTCAATAGTTGTTACATGAGAGATTTCAAAGTTTGGCTTAACTTATAGGGAAAAAAAGATCATAGAATTTCAAAGGCAGTAGAATCAGTAATCCTATAAGACTTTATAAATGAGTGGTTTACACATGGTAAAGCTATGACTTTCTCTAAGTAAGGTACAAGTGAGGAGAAGAAGGGGGACAAAATTGACTTCAAAGTCCCTGACATCTCCATGGTTCTATAAAATGAGACATTTTAATATTGCTATGTTATTAAATGTCTAATCTTACCATGTCCCACCTAAAATTATTCTAATTATTCCAGAAAGGCTTGCCAATATTTTCATGAGCATACAGTCTTGGGTGCTGCAGCCACAGTTCTCTTCTCTCTTTTGTCTGCATGTGATTTGGAGCAGGTGGTTTGCTGTCTGTGCACGCCAGCAAGCAGCTCCATTAGCATGAGGACAGTCCTCTAAGAAGGTCATAGGGCTGAACAGTGAGAAGCACAGCACACAGAAGCTGAAGCACGAACGCACAGAACAGGTAAAAGGGATCAGAGAGGGTCTTGATAGAGCACCAAGTGTACACAATTATGCAAATTATTACCATTTGATTTACATTCAATCAGATAGGCAGTAGCCATGAAATAAATATTGGCTCACTGAGGCAGCACTTCTTTCCTTAGCTCTGTTCCCTGACACTGGTGAACTGACTTGACTTTTTCTACCAAAAGCACTGCTACAGTCTTGATAACTGTAGCCTTAAATAACAGCTGCTCCTTCTGATAATCTCAGTTGTTGGAATTTCAGGGCAAGAAAGAGCAACAAAGAAAACGGCAGGGCAAGTAACTGAGATACAGCTGTGATAGGGGGCAGTGACAAATCTCCTTCATGGAGATTTCTCTCGCTAAAGTGAAAGGCTAGAGCCTTTCTGAGAGATACAGACAGGGAGTAGAGGAGGGAGGACCGAGTCTTGAGTACCATTCTTATCTCCTCTCTCCCCTATTTCACTTTTCTTTCTGACATGAGAATCTGCACAAAGGAAGGACTTGGGGCTAAGTGTCCAAGATATTAAAGATGTAGAAATCACATCTTAGAAGTGGGGCAACTGGGCAGCCACAGAGCAACCTGTTGTTCATGATTCCCCACTCAACAAAGAAGAGAACTGACTCATTAAACCATTTATAACAAAACAAGTTATTCAGGTGCCAGATTCTATAACCCTTCCAACTCTCAATCTACCACTCATTTATTTCATTAGTCTTACTTCTGATGAAATTGTTTTTATTAAATAATTATATTCCAAGGGATGTTTGACTCTCCAAAATCATTTAATATCCCCAGAGCACATGAAATATCACTTATCTGATGAAATGTTTTTTATTTTTATGCTCCAATAACCCAAAATGAGCCACAGTGAATTTTATCAAACATTCAAAAAAAAAAAAAAAGAAAAAAAACAGTTCTGGATTGAAATTAAAAATTACTTAGAAACTTAGAGCCAATGGGGATTAAGAAAGTTAGAATGAAAGTGCTTTCTCAACCAGAGCACTCCTGTTGAGACATGATAATAAAAATGTCCACAGTAATAGAGACAGTATTTCTACTTGGCACGATCTGAACAAAAGAAACAATCTTTTTCCAGAAGCATATGTCTTTGTCCAGATATTTAAGTCTTTCCTCAGACCAAGAAATGTCACTTTTTATTGCTTATCAAATATTGAATTTGTTAGATTAAATCTTTTAGTTTGATTTCATTTTACAGAACATGAGACTATTTTCTTACAGTTGAGTAAGTCCATGGATGGATGGCATGTGTAATTTGATATTATGATTGTTTTACAACATAACTGAGCTAACTGACATGCAATATTTAATTCATTTCCCCATTGTGTTTAAATTTTTTAAAAGAAAAAAATTGAAAAGACTGAAAGCCAGCTGCAAATCTAATTATCATGAACTCTCAGAGATTGTCCCAATTCTATTGTCATACTAGAATGCTCTAATATTAAGTATTATGCGAAGTAAGTAGGCCATAGCTAAAGCTGAAGAACAGTTTTTGACATTTAGAAATGGTCTTTGCTGTAGTGGAATTGACTTCCTATAAAAATATGATTTAGTGTAAAGTTTGCTGTTTTTCATTCACCAGGAAACCATTCACCAAACAGCTACAAAACTAATTTACAGTGGTATGTTAATGGAAGGACACAAAAGTAATATACAATAATTAGATTATACATAATTCTTTAAAGGAATAATAACATTTGCGGATATTATTTACTTATTTTAAAAGAATGTTTCAAAAACATGGAGGGGAAGCTTAAGTTCTCATTGAAAAGCCAAAACAAATATATCATATAGTTGAAAAAAATGAAGAGTACCTATGTACATACACACACACATACATATATGTATATATACACATATATACATGTATAAATGTGTACACACACACCTATATCTGTCGTCTATATATCTATCTATATAGATATACAGATATACACAGATGCTAGAAGTTTAAAAGAGATCTCTTCCCATATAAGTGAAAAGATGACATCTTCCCTTTAGGAAATATCAGAAGAGGTGGAATTTATTGTGACTTTAAAATGAGTATCCAAAATAGTAGAGAGAATCTTCAGACTATGGAATATAAGTGACACAAACTCAATATAAGTTTAGGTGGTCCCAGTGCAGACAGAACATGTGTTTTTTCTCCCAGGGCATAGCCCAAAAAGACTGAAAGCATGGTTTCAGAATGGCAGTATAGGAAGGATGAGTGTGGTTCCCAAGGAAATGCTCATGGAGGCTGCATAACCTGGAGTTGTGCAGATAAATCAGTCAGAGATTTCTTGGCTGCTGAGAAGGCACAAAAGAAGCAGAAAGCAGATCACACACTCAAAAGAGCCAAATCAATTACAGCTCAGTGGTGGCCAACAGATGCTATGAGATGGCTCAGGATCTGAGGTTCCCATACCTGAATAATTCTTAAGCCTCATACTACTTAGATCAGAAGAGTGGTAAGGAAGAAAGAAAAGCAGAAATCAAGTTATATTTGTCAAGGGAGTTTTGTAGCTATAAAATTCATGTTAGCTAGACACAATTACACAATGATCCATTCATTCATTCAACAGCATTTGTTGAGGTGGAATTTTGAAAGACTGATATCACCTTTCAGATGATAGTCGCTATGGTAGTTTCCATAAATATGAAGATTAGTGGCCGGGCACGGTGGCTCACACCTGTAATCCCAACATTTCGGGAGGCCAAGATGGGTGGATCACGAGGTCAGGAGATGGAGATCATCCTGGCTAACACGGTGAAACCCTGTCTCTACTAAAAATACAAGAAAATTAGCTGGTCACGGTGGCAGGCACTTGTAGTCCCAGCTACTCAGGAGGCTGAGGCAGGAGAATGGCGTGAACCCAGGAGGCGGAGCTTGCAGTGAGCTGAGATCACACCACTGCACTCCAGCCTGGGTGACAGAGCGAGACTCCATCTCAAAAACAAATCTATATCTATATTTATATCTATATCTATATATAAAATAAAAATATATATACTATATATTTAAAAATATTATATATATTAAATAATATATATTATATATTGAATAATATATATTATATATTGAATAATATATATTTTTATGTATTGAATAATATATATTTTATATATATAAAATGAATAATATATATATATATTTATAAAGATTGGCAAGAAAAGGACCCTGTTCTCAAGCTGGTTATGGACTAACACAGCAGAAAAGCATGTGAACAAATAGTTGCAATATAGAGCAATATGTGCTTTAATGGGTATATGTCAACAGTGCAGTGAGAACATGAAGGAAAACACAAACATAGCTTCTTGGAGGGATGTGTAAGAAAGTCTCATAGTACAGATGTTGAGTGGGATTTTTAGGATTTTAGACAAAAGATTAAGTATTTTTCCAGATGGAGGAAGCAAAAAAGAGCAAAGGCTTACATATTTGTGACAACATAGAGAGTTACAAAACAATGTAAGTGGTCTAGAATGAATGGGGAGTAGCTCCCAGTTGTGGAAAATAAGTTGGAGCGGTAGGCACATACTAAAATTGTGGAATGTCTTACATGCTAGGCTGAGGAGTTTACTTTTTGTGTGTTGTATTTTTCCATCAAGAAAATACTGAATGGTTTTTAAGTGATTGTTAAATTATCAAATTTGGGTTAGAGAGTTACGCATGACTTGTTTTAATCACCTCCTACTCACCCCATTAGTGAAAGAGGGACTCCACTCTAACACACAACACTGGACAGAGGACAGCAGTTTATTAGTCACAAACACTCACAGCTCAGAGCAGGAAGATACCACTCACCATCCAGGGTCACACAGGGGCTGCACTGACGAGCAGAGTGAACCAACAGGGACTGTACGAGGCAGGTTTGCAGTATTTAGACAATGGCATGCCCCCTGGTTCCAATGAAAGGCTGTAATTGGCTTGTTTGAATAATTATCTGGGCTGGCAGGGAACAGAAACCCACTGTTCAGGCGGGGCGCGGTGGCTCACGCCTGTAATCCCAACACATTGGGAGGCCAAAGTGGGTGCATCACCTGAGTTCAGGAGTCCAAGACCAGCCTGACCAACATGGAGGAACACCGTCTCTACTAAAAATATAAAATTAGCTGGGCATGGTGGTGCATGCCTGTAATCCCAGCTACTTGGGAGGCTAAGGCAGGAGAATCTCTTGAACCCGGGAGGCAGAGGTTGCAGTGGGCCGAGATCGTGCCATTGCACTCCAGCCTGGGCAACAAGAGTGAAACTCCGTCTCAAAAAAAAAGAAAAAGAAAAAAGAAGAAAAGAAACCCACTGTTAAGAGATAAGCAGGAATTGCGCATGATTCTCTTGACAAGTAGGGTTATTTGGTGAGGGGACCTTATGCACACAAGCAGTGTAGGAAGGAAACTTCCAATTCAGCTATTCAGGGCCCTCCTGCTTTCACCAGATGTTAAGGGGCAGTGCACAATAGTAGACCTTAATTTTAGACATTATGTCTCATGGCTCAATTTAACTAAAAAACTAATAGTTAATTAGAATTAAACTCATATATCAGACAGTACTTTTTATTCAGAGTGTTCCAAAATTTTAAATATTATTTGGAAAGAAACTTAGCACCTGGTATATACTCAGTAAACGTTCCCTTCCCTTGCCAGCTTTCTCTCCTGATCTCCGCATGAAACAGTTTTTCTCTTTTCTTTGAAATTGTAAAACACTCTGCAACTCCATTATTACACTGATCTTACTCTGTTTTGTCATATGACTGGGCCCAAGTCAATTACCTCTAGAGTAAAACTTCGTTAAGGGAAGAGGTAGCATTGCACATGTCTCAGGATTCCCTACCCTGCTGACAGACTGCCATGTACATGGTAGCTGCTTAAATTTATCAGACTGAATTGAACTCCAAAACTGTCAGCTAATTTGACCAAAGCATGTAGCAAAGTCAAATCTCTTGATACTAAGCACATCTTTTTTCAAACCCACCAAAAATAGACTGCTTATATTGGAGATTTGAATACTTTCTGTAGAGTTAAATACGTTATTTTATTTTGAGGGGATCACATTGTCTATAGCAAAATAATCCCCAAAAATATGTATTGGTCATTTAAGCATGCCTCTCTAATGAGATACAAAAAGAAATAAACATGCACACAATACTAAATTATGATAAAACGCTTATGACCTCAAAATGTTAAAACTGAATTAGTCCTTTTTCACCTTTTAAATCATTAATCTTTCACTCTCCACAATAAAAAATATTGTCATAAGCTACCTCTTCCTGCTTACTTAGATATTCTCCAATATATTTCTTTTAAGTTGTCCAGTATAAAATTGATTCAATGGAAAACATATGGGCCAATCCCCAGAGACTAATTTAGTTGGTCTAGGGTAGGGTCCAGGACCACAATCTATATCTCTAGGATAGACTCTGTGGAGATTCAAAGCCATATATCAAATGTCTCCTGGATATTTGTACCTTCTGTCTCACAGACACCTCCAATGTATATAAGACATTTCAAAGTGAACTCACTTTTTCCCTCTCATACTCACTCCTATATTCCTAATGCAGAAAACTATAATCACCCAACTACCCAGTCCCCAAGCTCTCTAAGCAGGAAATCTTAGGGACATCTTCAATCTTTCCCTTTTCCTTACCACCACCCCCCACCACCAAAATCAAGATACAAGCCTTGTGCATTTTCACTCCCTTCACATCTCTCAGATGTCCTCAAATGCCCCTGAGTTCTTCCTAACTCACTGCTAATGGCTTAGTTTATGTTCATCATCTCTTACATCATCATAGAATTATTCTACTCAGCTTCTTTGAAATTATCCTCCATAAATCTATGAAGATTTTAAACGTGTTTTTATGAAAATTCAAATCTAATTATGTATTTCTTGCTGAAGACTTTTCAATGATTGCCCTTTTCCTAAGAATCAATTATGAGGTACTCGGTATCCACCTTTCCTTTATCATCTTTTTTTTAGGTTTGCCACCCCATGCTTATATTCACACCCCAAGCAACAGTTATGAGGAAATAGCTGGAGATCCTGGAATTCCTTCTGCTGTTCCATGTTTTCATGTGCTGCTCTCTTTGCTAAGTACGTCCTCCACCAGGCATCATGCGAAAAACAAGATTTCATGCTCAGATATCACACAACTGCCAAACTTCAAATGCTAGATTTCTTCTTGATAGTTATGCATTATTTAATTTCTCCAATCTTCATTTTATTTTTTTGTACTATAGGGTAATAAAAATACCTACTTCACTGAGATTTTATGAAGATAAAATAATATATTTAAATTTGCATATTACAATGTATATACCTACCAAATATTCAATGAACAACAAAAAAAGCTCAATGAACTAAAATGTTTAGATAAGTTTTTCCAAGATTAAACAAGTCATGGTTTCCCAGTGTTTCTCCAAGGTTGGACTGAGCATGGTTTTTATGTGAACATTCCCTCCATTAAATACAAAAGCATCCAGTAATCAGTTAAAAATCACATCCTGCTTAGCCTTCAGGAAACATACTTAAGTGCTTTCTTATTTAAAGGAGGAAGCAAGAGGAAAAGCAGAGGGGGTTGTGGGCAACAAACATGATGACACAAGGACACAAGGGCAGCCTTGAACCTCAAACATGTGCCAACTGCAAGATGACTGCTCTTGTTAAATTCACTATCTTAGTACACTGACCACTCAAGACATCCCCATAGCACCCACCAACACCCACTGTCATCTCTGTTTAAGCATCTTGGCAGTATCTGCTTTACTTGATTTTATGGAGTGGGGAAAGAGGTTGGAGGGGGTCAATTCTGAGGTCACTTGGAGGCCCCAGAAAGCCATCCACAGTCTTAAAAAGTTTCCCTCAAGATTCAACTGAGCTATTTTACTAAAGTAGCTACACAGCACTTACCCCCATTCAAAGCGGGCAACATTTGATTTAAAATGTTGCTTTGTAAATATGTGTCAGGCCTCTGAGCCTAAGCTAAGCCATCATATCACCTGTGACCTGCACATACACATCCAGATGACCAGTTCCTGCCTTAACTGATGACATTCCACCACAAAAGAAGTGAAAATGGCCTGTTCCTGCCTTAACTGATGACATTGTCTTGTAAAATTCCTTCTGCTGGCTCATCCTGGCTCAAAAGCTCCCCCACTGAGTACCTTGTGACCCCAACTCCTGCCCGCCAGAGAACAACCCCCCTTTTTCCTTTACCTACCCAAATCCTACAAAATGGCCCCACCCCATCTCCCTTCGCTGACTCTCTTTTTGGACTCAGCCCACCTGCACCCAGGTGTTAAAAGCTTTTATTGCTCACACAAAGCCTGTTTGGTGGTCTCTTCACATGGATACGCATGAAATTTGGTGCTGTGACTCAGATCGGGGGACCTCCCTTGGGAGATCAATCCCCTGTCCTCCTGTTCTTTGCTCCATGAGAAAGATCCACCTACAACCTCAGGTCCTCAGACCGACCAGCCCAAGAAACATCTCACCAACTTCAAATCCGGTAAGTGGCCTCTTTTTACTCTCTTCTCCAACCTCCCTCACTATCCCTCAACCTCTTTCTCCTTTCAGTCTTGGTGCCACACTTCAATCTCTCCCTTCCCTTAATTTCAATTCCTTTCATTTTCTGGTAGAGACAAAGGAGACACATTTTATCCGTGGACCCAAAACTCCAGTGCTGGTCACGGACTGGGAGGGCAGACTTCCCTTGGTGTTTAATCATAGCAGGGATGCCTCTCTGATTATTCACCCACGTTTCAGAGGTGTCAGACCACGCAGGGATGCCTGCCTTGGTCCTTCACCCTTAGCAGCAAGTCCTGCTTTTCTGGAGGAGGGGCAAGTACCCCAACCCCTTCTCTCCATGTCTCTTACCCCTTCTCTGCTTTTCTGGAGGAGAGGCAAGAAGCCCTCAACCCCTTCTTCACCCTTAGCAGCAAGTCCCGCTTTTCTGGAGGAAGGGCAAGTACCCCAACCTCATATCTCTGTGCCCCGATCCCTTATTTCTACACCCCAACCTCTTATAACTTTGCACCCCGACCCCTTTCCCGCTTTTCTGGAAGGTAAGAACCCCTGAACCACTTCCTTCCGTGTCTCTACCCTCCCTTTTCTTGAAACTTGCCTCCTTCACTATAGGCAACCTTCCACCCTCCATTCCTCCTCCTTCTCCCTTAGCCTGTGTTCTTAAGAACATAAAACCTCTTCAACTGTCACCTGACCTAAAACCTAAATGCCTTATTTTCTTCTACAATGCTGCTTGACCCCAATACAAACTTGACAGTGGTTTTAAATGGCCAGAAAACGGCACTTTCGATTTCTCCATCCTACAAGACCTAAATAATTTTTGTCGAAAAATAGGCAAATGGTCTGAGGTGCCTGACATCCAGGCATTCTTTTACACATCGGTCCCTCCCTAGTCTCTGTGCCCAGTGCAACTCGTCCCAAATCTTCCTTCTTTCCTTCCCGCCTGTCCCCTCAGTCCCAACCCCAAGCGTTGCTGAGTCTTTCTAATCTTACTTTTCTACAGACCCATCTGACCTCTCCCCTCCTCCCCAGGCTGCTCCTCGCCAGGCCGAGCTAGGTCCCAATTCTTCCTCAGCCTCCGCTCCTCCACCCTATAATCTTTTTATCATCTCCCCTCCTCACACCCGGTCCGGTTTACAGTTCCATTCCGTGAGTAGCCCTCCCCCACCTGCCCAGCAATTTCCTCTTAAAAAGGTGGCTGAAGCTAAAGGCATAGTCAAGGTTAATGCTCCTTTTTCTTTATCAGACCTCTCCCAAATCAGTAAGCATTTAGGCTCTTTCATCAAATATGAAAAACCCAGTCCAGTTTATGGCTCGTTCAGCAGCAACCCTGAGACGCTTTACAGCCCTAGACCCTAAAAGGTCAAAAGGCCGTCTTATTCTCAATATATATTTTATTACCCAATCCACTCCTGACATTAAATAAAACTCCAAAAATTAAATTCCAGCCCTCAAACCCCACAAGAGGACTTAATTAACCTTGCCTTCAAGGTGTACAATAATAGAGTAGAGGCAGCCAAGTAGCAATGTGTTTCTGAGTTGCAATTACTTGCCTCCACTGTGAGACAAACCCCATCCACATCTCCAGCACACAAGAACTTCCAAACGCCTGAACCGCAGCGGCCAGATGTTCCTCCAGAACCACCTCCCCCAGGAGCTTGCTACAAGTGCCAGAAATCTGGCCACCAGGCCAAGGAATGCCCGCAGCCCAGGATTCCTCCTAAGCGGTGTCCCATCTGTGCAGGACCCCACTAGAAATCGGACTGTTCAACTCACCTGGCAGCCACTCCCAGAGCCCCTAGAACTCTGGCCCAAGGCTCTCTGACTGACTCCTTCCCAGATCTTCTCGGCTTAGCAGCTGAAGACTGATGCTGCCCGATCACCTTGGAAGCCCCGTAGACCATCAAGAACACCGAGCTTTAAGTAACTGTCACAGTGGAGGATAAGTCCGTCCCCTTCTTAATCAATATGGAGGCTACCCACTCCATATTACCTTCTTTTCAAAGGCCTGTTTCCCTTGCCTCCATAACTGTTGTAAGTATTGAGAGCCAGGCTTCTAAACCTCTTAAAACTCCCCAACTCTAGTGCCAACTTAGACAATACTCTTTTATGCACTCTTTTTTAGTTATCCCCACCTGCCCAGTTCCCTTATTAGGCCGAGATATTTTAACCAAATTATGTGCTTCACTGACTATTCCTGGACTACAGCCACATCTCATTGCCACCCTTCTCCCCAACCCAAAGCCACCTTTGCGTCTTCCTCTCGTATCCCCTCACCTTAACCCACAAGTATAGGACATCTCTACTCCTTCCCTGGCAACCGATCACATGCCCGTTACCATCCCATTAAAACCTAACCACACTTACCCTGCTCAACGCCAGTATCCCATCCCACAGCACGCTTTAAAAGGATTAAAACCTGTTATCACTTGCCTGCTACAGCATAGACTTCTAAAACCTATAAACTCTCCTTACAATTCCCCCATTTTACCTGTCCAAAAACCGGACAAGTCTTACAGATTAGTTCAGGATCTGCGCCTTATCAACCAAATTGTTTTGCCTATCCATCAATCCATACACTGTTTTGTCCTCAATACCTTCCTCCACAACTCACTATTCCATTCTCAATCTTAAAGACGCTTTTTCACTATTCCCCTGCACCCCTCATCCCAGCCTCTCTTTGCTTTCACCCAGACTGACCCTGACACCCATCAGTCCCAGCAGCTTACCTGGGCTGTGCTGCCGCAAGGTTTCAAGGACAGCCCTCATTACTTCAGACAAGCTCTTTCTCATGATTTACTTTCTTTCCACCCCTCCGCTTCTCACCTTATTCAATATATTGATGACCTTCTTCTTTGTAGCCCCACCTTTGAATCTTCTCAACAAGACACACTTCTGCTCCTTCAGC
This sequence comes from Homo sapiens, assembly GCF_000001405.40. Classification (NCBI taxonomy): domain Eukaryota; kingdom Metazoa; phylum Chordata; class Mammalia; order Primates; family Hominidae; genus Homo; species Homo sapiens. Next base: position 121,566,196 of record NC_000007.14, on the reverse strand, counting down.
ATTTATTCTCCAAAGGATATCAGGTATCCCCCTCCAAAGCTCAAATTTCTTCTCCATCCGTTACCTACCTCGGCATAATTCTTCACAAAAACACACGTGCTCTCCCTGCCGATCGTGTCTAACTGATCTCTCAAACCCCAACCCCTTCTACAAAACAACAACTCCTTTCCTTCCTAGGCATGGTTGTATACTTTCGCCTTTAGATACCTGGTTTTGCCATCCTAACAAAACCATTATATAAACTCACAAAAGGAAACTTAGCTGACCCCATAGATCCTAAATCCTTTCCCCACTCCTCTTTCCGTTCCTTGAAGACAGCTTTAGAGACTGCCCCCACTCTAGCTCTCCCTGACTCATCCCAACCCTTTTCATTACACACAGCTGAAGTGCAGGGCTGTGCAGGCAGAATTCTTACACAAGGACCAGGATCGCGTCCTGTAGCCTTTTTGTCCAAACAACTTGACCTTACTGTTTTAGGCTGGCCATCATATCTCTGTGCAGTGGCTGCTGCTGCCCTAATACTTTTAGAGGCCCTCAAAATCACAAACTATGCTCAACTCACTCTCTACAGCTCTCATAATTTCCAAAATCTATTTTCTTCCTCACACCTGATGCATATACTTTCTGCTCCCCGGCTCCTTCAGCTGTACTCACTCTTTGTTAAGTCCCACAATTACCATTGTTCCTGGCCCTGACTTCAATCCGGCCTCCCACATTATTCCTGATACCACACCTGACCCCCATGACTGTATCTCTCTGATCCACCTGACATTCACCCCATTTCCCCAAATTTCCTTCTTTCCTGTTGCTCACCCTGATCACGCTTGATTTATTGATAGCAGTTCCACCAGGCCTAATAGCCACACACCAGCAAAGGCAGGCTATGCTATAGTACAAGCCACTAGCCCGCCTCTTAGAACCTCTCATTTCCTTTCCATCGTAGAAATCTATCCTCAAGGAAATAATTTCTCAGTGTTCCATCTGCTATTCTACTACTCCTCAGGGATTATTCAGGCCCCCTCCCTTCCCTACACATCAAGCTCGAGGATTTGCCCCCACCCAGGACTGGCAAATTAGATTTACTCAACATGCCCCGAGTCAGAAAACTAAAATACCTCTTAGTCTAGGTAGACACTTTCACTGGATAGGTAGAGGCCTTTCCTACAGGGTCTGAGAAGGCCACCGCAGTCATTTCTTCCCTTCTGTCAGACATAATTCCTCAGTTTAGCCTTCCCACCTCTATGTAGTTTGATAACAGACCAGCTTTTATCAGTCAAATCAGCCAAGCAGTTTTTCAAGCTCTTAGGATTCAGTGAAACCTTTATATCCCTTATGGTCCTCCATCTTCAGGAAATGTAGAACGGACTAAAAGTCTTTTAAAAACACACATCACCAAGCTCAGCCACCAACTTAAAAAGGACTGAACAATACTTTTACCACTTTCCCTTCTCAGAATTCAGGCCTGTCCTCGGAATGCTACAAGGTACAGCCCATTTGAGCTCCTGTATTGACGCTCCTTTTTATTAGGCCCCAGTCTCATTCCAGACACCAGACCAACTTAGACTGTGCCCCAAAAAACTTGTCATCCCTACTATCTTCTGTCTAGTCATACTCCTATTCGCCGTTCTCAACTACTCATACATGCCCTGCTCTTGTTTACACTGCCAGTTTACACTGTTTCTCCAAGCCACCACAGCTGATATCTCCTGGTGCTATCCCCAAACTGCCACTCTTAACTCTTGAAGTAAATAAATAATCTTTGCTGGCAGGACTATGCTGAATCTCCTTAGGCACCCTCTAATCAGATGTCCTAGGTCCTCCCAATTCTTAGACCTTTTATACCTGTTTTTCTCCTTCTCTTATTCCATTTAGTTTTTCAATTCATATAAAACCATATCCAGGCCATCACCAATAATTCTACAAGACAAATATTTCTTCTAACAACCCCACAATATCACCCCTTACCACAAAATCTTCCTTCAGCTTAATTGCTCCCACTCTAGGTTCCCACGCCACCCCTAATCCCGCCCGAAGCAGCCCTGAGAAACATCGCCCATTATCTCTCCATACCACCCCCAAAAATTTTCACTGTCCCAACACTTTACCACTATTTCATTTTATTTTTCTTATTAATATAAGAAGACAGGAATGTCAGGCCTCTGAGCCCAAGCTAAGCCATCATATCCCCTGTGACCTGCATGTACACATCCAGACGGCCAGTTCCTGCCTTAACTGATGACATTCCACCACAAAAGAAATGAAAATGGCCTGTTCCTGCCTTAACTGATGACATTGTCTTGTGAAATTCCTTCTCCTGGCTCATCCTGGCTCAAAAGCTCCCCCACTGAGTACCTTGTGACCCCCATTCCTGCCCGCCAGAGAAAAACCCCCTTTTTCCTTTACCTACCCAAATCCTATAAAACAGCCCCACCCCATCTCCCTTCACTGACTCTCTTTTCGTTCTCAGCCTGCCTGTACCCAGGTGATTAAAAGCTTTTATTGCTCACACAAAGCCTGTTTGGTGGTCTCTTCACATGGACACGCATGAAAATATGGATCTGAGGAAACATGGGTCTAAGGTGTACCAGCTTATCAGCATTGTTTTTGGTAAATGGTGAGATTGATGGTTTGCACCTGTTGTTATTGAGATCCCTAAAGGCTCTGTTACTGATTAGATTGCAAAAAGATGCCTATGTGACCAGTATGATATAAAAAGGTCAGCCCAGACTCCTGGTTCCTGGATGTTAGATGTACATATCAGTCATTCCTGACTGGAGAGAAAAAGTGCATTCTAGCACAGGCCTGCAGAGGGAGGACAATTGGAACCAGCTTCTCCACTTTTTGGAAAGCAGCCTTTGGCTGGGATATATAGATTACTTTAATGCCATTGCTCTATTGTATCTCTTCCCAGCAATAAACCATAAATCCACAAGCTTTGACGTTTTTGGACATATTTTGGACCTATATTAGCCAAATACCTTCTCTCTGCTACTATTTGTGTCATTGGGCTTCACAAGATCATCCCAGCTAATAAAATACATAAATATCTAGCAAACACACACGAACGATACCTGAAAATTTATAGATGTTATCAATGTGTAGAAATAGATCATCACTGGTTATTTTAAAATGCTATTGTGCTTAAAACATCATCTTATTCATGACACATATTTTGAATTTAGTAATGTGTGAAAGTCATTATAAGGATTCCATGGAAAAAGTAGCCCACCATATCAAATAGAGTAAGGCATGATATTCAAAAGTCAACATCAGAAGAGTTAAAGACCTAACTGGGAAAGTAAAGACTGAAATGAAATTAAGGAAAATGTAAGAGATTATCTTTATAAGCCTACGAGTACAGAAGGGCTTCTGAAACAGGAGGCCCAAAATCAAAACAATAACGTGAAAAGGTGGCATACTCAATTACATCAAAATTAAGGTTGAACAAGATTAGTAGAAAATATAGAGCCTAAACAAGTCAAAAGATTTTATTTCTATATGAATAGAAACTCAGGTAGATCATTTAGAAAAAGAAGGAAAACCAGAGAGACTGAAACCCACTGGTAATCAGATTAATGAAAACTGAAATGATGACATACCATTTTGTATTTCTCAGATTGGCAAAACATAGACTACAAAAACACCAAATGTTGAGAACTATGTGGATAAATGAGGAGCCACTGCATTGCTAAGGGTCACATACTCTGGCAACAATTTCAGGAATGGTAACAATTTCATGAATAGTAACCTGATAGTACTCAGAGAATTTATGATCCAAAAAGATCATTCCTGCATTTATATTGCAGAGAAACTCACATGTATGTCCATAAGGGTAGTGAGCAAGGATAATCATCATTTTGCTTGCATAGTCAAGAGTTTGAGGCAACAGTGGCGTCTATCTACAGGGCATCTTATAATAAAATGTGGTAGATACACACAATGGAATACTATGTAGCAACTAGAAACAATGAATGAGATATACATATACCAACATAAATAGATCTTAAAACACATGGAGTTAAAATATGCAAAAAATAGAATTCAGTCTATGGTACAAAGCCATCGATGCAAATAAAAAAGCAAACATGCACTTCAAGAACATACAAGTATATGATATATCAGACATGTGGAGAAGGGAAGTGGGACAGGGGATGAAGAGATGGGGAAAAGTAAAACAAAAAGAGCCAAGTAAGGACATATATTGGAAGTATGAGATAAACTGAGTAGTATACATTTAACTGAATTCCTTGCACATGAGGTTCAAAAACTCCATGTGGCTCTGAATTCTGGCAGAGTGCCAGGCTTTTGACAGACTCCTCATATGCATTTGAAAGCTTTATTTAATAGGAAACAATTATACGGTACTGTTTCAAAATTTAATCATTGGGCTCACTAATCAACACATACAAAGAGAATTAAGGTGTTGCCATGTTTTAATTGTATTTGAATTAAAACAAAAAACTTAACCCAGAATTTTATGAATTATTTTAGTACTAAATGTTAACATATATCATTAAAATACTAGAATTAGAGCTACCAGATAATTTATCACCCAAACTAGGACACTTTTGTGAATAAAAGTAGACACAAAAATAATGAAAATTGTATACTATTTGAGATACTTATTTACTGATTTATCATTTGATGCTATTTGTAGACATAAGTAATGATTCTATTCACATATCATTTTCAGGGACTTCTGCTTCTAGATTTGATAATTAATAGCAAACACATTTGATCTTTCACTTTAAGCAATTTTAAAATGGACAAAATATACAAAGCAGATTTCATACATTGGACAAAAGGCAGCTCAGGAAAGGGATCCCCTGAGAGAATAGAGCAAATGAAGTAAGCTTAGGATTGTTCTAGCTTACTCCCAAAAAAAGTGTCCAGGGAAGGGGGACCCAAACCACAGGCTGGCAGACTTGCTTAGTGGAAAGACAGAGTTGCCAATTCGGAGAGGCCAAGAAAATAGAATTTGCAGTGCAGAATACCAGAGAAGAGAAAGCTGTATGGAGCAGAGAGAGCTTTACAAAGAGAGAGCCCAGAAAAGTAGGAAGAGTTCCCCTCAAGTCTTCAGGTAAGTACCAATCAATACATGCACGTGAGAAAACTACCCAAAACTGGAGAGAAAAATATCAGAAATAATGAAACGCAACAATCCTCATAGCTCATGTAGAGTCTGAAATAGTGTTTTCCCAGTAGTCAGAGTGTAAACCTCTCTTAATTCATATGACAAAAAATGAGTCCTGGACTAAAGGCTGCTCAGGCTTTGCCTAGCAAATTTTAAAAGCAGGCTTCAAAAGGATTGTACTGTTTTCAAGTAACAAACTGAGCCTCAGAACAAGATTCAATAATATGAACAGGAGTGTATAAGTATCCAGCATCCAGCACGTTAAAATTCACATTGCATGGCATCCAAACAAAACTGACAGACATGAAAGGGAAATGTGACCCATATGGGGAAAATTAAATCAATAGAAACAGATCCAAAAATGAAACAAATATAGAATTAGTAGACAAGGTCATCAAGACCGTTATTACAACTAGATTCCATATGTTCAAGAAAATAAAGGAAATCATGAGAACATTAAAGAAGAGCATAAAGATGTAAAAAAAAAAAAGACCTGAATTAAACTTCTAGAGATGAAAATGTAATATCTGAGTGAAAAAATATATACTTGGATGGAATTAACAGCAGATCGAATACTGCTGATCAAAAATAGAAGCTGCATCCAAAAAAATTGCCATAAGTCAAGTTACTCCAAAATGAAGTAGAATTTCAAAATTTGTACACCATCTGGGGCCTTTTCATTGATTTTGTTCAGTTTATCCCTTGCTTTTATTTTATAGGACTAAATTTCCATGTCTTTCTGTTTGCAGGATTTGACTATAATTGCAATTATCTAAAAATGTCAAAGATTGTTGACACTTTGACATTAAAAATGTCAAGAGATTGTTGGTACTCCATTAAATAATTCATTTAAACATTTCCAACTGATTTTGAATAAAACGCAAAAAAAAGAGGACTCACTTTTCAAAGTTCAATACCACTATAAAATACTAAAGGAAATTTATTAGGTTAATAGGCAGCAAAGAAAAAAGCATGTGCCACCATAGTAACTTATTTTTTAACTTGTCACAAAAAAGTTTATACTTCAGTTACTCAGTTGTGTATATGTAAAAACACATAGATAAATTTCAGCAACCATAGGTTTTGATTAATACAATACAGATGTTTATTTAGATATAATGACAAGTTGAATGTGCATGACAATTCCAAGTATATTTGCTCCATAAATAATTTAATTATAGCATTGTGTTTACTATGGCCCTGTTTTCCATAAACATTTTATTCACGTTGTCTCATCAAAACATAAAACTTTTTCTTCAATATTGAACATTTAATTTAATGTATAGTACCAATCATAATAAGGATGTTCCCCAACTTACAGTGGTTGGACTTAATGCTTTTCAACTTTACAACAATGTGAAATCAATATGCATTTAGTAGAAATTGTACTTTTAGTGCTCATACAACTGTTCTATTTTTCACTTTCAGTATGGTATTCAACAAATTACATAAGATATTAAGCACTTTATTATAAAATAGACTTTGTGTGAGATGAATTTGCCCAACTGTAGGCTAATGGAAAGTTCCTGAGCGCATTTAAGGTAGACTAGGTTAAGCTATGATGTTTGGTAGGTTGGTTATATTAAATGCATTTTCAGCTTCTGATATTTTCAATTCATGATGAGCTTATGGAGAGGTGATCCCATAGTAAGACAAGGAGCATCTGTAGTGTCAGATATTTCACTTTCAGTTAAATTAAATTTCAGAAGCTTTTCGCTGGTTCCATGAGTTGAATTTTAAAAATTGAACCATTGGAATTAATGTATCTGACTTTCTATGTGAAGCATCTGGTGTCACTGCCAAAAGTTAGACTTTCTTTAACTGTTTGTGAAATTCTAACCAAACCAACACGTTAATAACTATTGCTTCACTTTTTGTACATGTAAAAAATGGAAATCAGAAAAGAGTGAAGTTAATTCAAAGAAGACTTGTTTAATTTAATGAAATATTATGTACAACCTTCCTAACATGACTACCTACTACCAACTTCTGAAGGGAATGCTCAAGCATCTTAAGAATATTTTTATTTTTGGATGTTCACACGGTCCGTGATGTTACTACAGCTTTCATAGTTGGATGGTAAACATCCTCAAAGCTTGCACAATCTTATTATGTGCATCATTGCATTTATTAGGAAATGAATGTTTAGGTGCTTAATTTCCCATTAAATATAGACTTTGGATTTTTGTTTGTTTTTTTGTTTTGTTTTAAGCTCATTGATGTCAAAAAAGTTTGTTGCAAAAGAAAAAAACAAAAGACTAACCAAAAAATGTGATCCCTAAGGGAATACTACTTATTATACCCTATATAATAAATAACTAAACCACTGTAGCAATAACATTCGGCCCACTTTGATGCATTATTCAGAATAACTGTTCAGACTCTTATTTCTCCAAATTACTTCATGCACATCTAACTTATAGTTTCCAGTGTTTCCCAGTGATGCAGCAGATTGGTGACTGCAGGTTTGTGAATCTCAAAGGCTAATACAAAGCTATGGAACATGGGCTTATATGCCACGTGGCCAGCAGAGGCAGAAGCTTCAAGTATTTTTCCATCCCGCTCTACACTGGAGCTAATCTATCCCTTGTCACTCACATTCAGTGCATTTATCTGAGAGTGTCTTTCATGCTGTGCCTGAAAGAAAGGGGATAATTGTGTTTTGTCTGAAAAGAGATGGGAAAAGATGAATAGCTGATCATCTTCTAGATTGAAGTGCAAGTTTAAGTAAGAACTCCATACATTGGACAGCAGAAATTCTAAATACAATGTGAAGGTCCACCAAATCTATCCCTGATTATTTTAATGCAATTGTTAATGTTGCTATTTTATTTTAAAAATTAATAAACAAAGAATCTAGGATGTATGCTAAAATTGAAAGGGTCCCAGGACAAAGAGAATAAATGAGAATTGTAAGCCGAGTCATACGATTACACTAACTGGAATGGTAGATACTATGTTTAGTACAATTGCTTGTTTTTTGCTTTTATTACTTCTATTCATCTTTTTTTAAGCTAAGAACTGATTGCTTACTTTAAGGCAACACTGTACAAAGCACTTTCAGTCATTATCTCTCAGAATACTTACAAAAAAACTACTAGAGGTTATACAAGTGGCATGAACTAGTGTTCATTGTAGAACTGGAATTTTCATCTAGTTCTAATACCAAGGCCTGTGCTCTTAATGGCGATTATGTTTCGTTCAAGTGCTCTATATTATAGAAAGCCTTGCCTGAAATTCTCCTGTTCCAATTTGCTATTGCTGCCTAGCAAATCCCCACAAACTTAGTGGCATAAAACAATCACAATTTTATTGTGGTTTTATTGCTCATGGATTCTATGAGTCAGAAATTTCCACCAGGCACAACCTAGATGGCTTGTTTCTGTCCTGGGATGATTGAGGCCTGAGCTAAGAGAGACACAAGTGGCTCAGGATGGAATTATCTAAAGGTTTCTTCACTCACACATCTGATGTTGGGGCTGGATGAGCCTGAGGCTGGGTTCAGGAGGAACCAGAGTCTGCACAGGACCTCTCCAAGGGGCTTGGGCTTCTCGCTGAGTGGCAGTTGGGTTCTGAGAGGAAGTATCCAGAGCATGAGCATTCCAAAGGAACCAGGAAGAAGCTTCAGCCTCAGAAGTCACTTTGGTTCATTTCCACCACACTGTGTTGCTCAAAACAGGTACAAGCCTCCCAAATTCCAGGAGAAAGAACATAAATCCCACCTCTCAGGGGGAGGAGTCTGAAGAAATTTAAGACCATGTTTAAATGTCTGCATCTTTTTACAACACACACACACACCTCACAACTCCTCTGTGTTCACATGGTACTTTGTACAGGCAGCTGTCTGATCACCTCCTACATATTATAGCACTAAAGTGTTTATATACAACCTTTCTCTACAGGACTGTGTGTTTCTTAAGGTGCAGGACTCCATTTTATTCCCAGAATTTAGCACAATGTATGGCACTTAGTAGTTGCTCCATAATCGTGTGTTAAATAATTGGTTGAGGGATGGATTGGATAAGAAGAAATTTAATTAAAAACATTGAAAAATAAAAATAACTCTGTTGATCACACCTGTAATCCCAGCACTTTGGGAGGCTGAGGCAGGTGGATTGCTTAAGCTCAGGAGTTTGAGGCCAGTCTGGGCAACATGGCAAGACCTTGTCTCTACTAAAAATAAAAAATATTAGCATGGTGTGGTGGTGCATGCCTGTAGTCCCAGCTACTCAAGAGGCTGATGTGGGAGGATCAATTGAGCCTGGGACATCAAGGCTGCAGTGAGCTATGATTGTGTCACTGCACTCTAGCCTGGGCAACAGAGTGAGACCGTGTCTCAAAAAAAAAAAAAAAAATTGCCCTCAATCCTTCCTTCATACCAAAAAGATAGCATAAATCCTCTCTTAGTAAAGAGCACATGAATAAAAAGTCTATCTTCCTGTTAGAAATGTCTTCACTGAGAGTGGAGTCATGTGGTAGTCTAGGTATAGGCTTCAAATAGGAGGTATGGGCACCTTCTTTCTCCTTTCCATCATTCCCGGTAAAGAAAAGCCAAAGCTCTTCTATATCTCTCCAAATAATCTTTAGCTTTGTTTTCATAGGCATGACAGGGCCCTGGCAAGATCCTCTCCATGTCCCAGTGACCATGGTCTCGGACCCTGGAAAACGTGACTGTTTGTTTAGCCACACTTGCGTGCTCCTAGGATAGTACTGACTATACCTCCCCACCTTCTTGTCCTTCGCTTTCTTAGCTTTCAACACCACTCAGAGGTCTGAACTTTACCCAAAATGTTCTGGTCTCCACTGAATTTTAAGAATTGATGATTTTCTAAACCATACATGGAGAAAAAACATAATACTTATGTTAGTACAATGACAGAGGGTTTTTACTCCATATTTTCCATCTTGACATTTCCCCTGATTTATGAAATAGAATTGTTTTATAATACTTTGATGCTTTAGATTTTCTTTCCCTCATTGAAAAAAAAGCAGTGTTGAAAATATAATTGAATGTTTTCCTACATTAAAACTACATACTTGTTTGCTGTCATTCAATCACTAGACACATTAAATTTTCTGGATGAATGGAATATGCATAAAATGAATTGTATTGTTGTTCAGTTGAGTGTCCTGTAAATATAAAATAGATTATTCAGCAAGATTCTTGTGGCATAGAAAACATTATTAAGTGGTTCCTCGAGATAAGTCTGGCTGAGGCATGAGGCTTGGGATCTCTACCTTCCTGAGCTCAGGGGGATCTCACCAGATTAAGTTATTTCCATGGAAGCTTCCCCTGAAGGCTATAATAGGCCTGAGGAGGATGGATCCATGGTTGCATGTAAAATTTGCAAAAGTGAAAAACACGAGCTATAATTTAAGTTAAAGGTAACTGTCTCTTTTTACTCTGATCTTTTCTCTATCCTACTCCCACCTGCTGAAGACATTATAGTGGCTGTAACATTTTTTAGGTTCAACTAAGCAGAAGTTGGGTTCGAACTATGCCATTGTAACTGCAATTTGCAAAGAGCTTTAAAAATGTTTCAATAAAACCAGTTAGAAATAACGTATTCCCTATTTTCTAATATGTATGAGGTAACATGTTCACACTTATTTATTTATTAAATAAATGAGAAAAACTAAAAATTAGTGAGATATAAGCAAAGTTCATAAAGATGAATAATGAAAACAAGGGAAATTAATCTGTCATTGAAAGTGACTTGTAACCTAAAAATTCAAATTACATGAAAAACAGTAATTCATTAGGAAAGAGATAAATTTATGAGAAGTAACAAATAAGACTCTTGTAGTATTTGATAACCCACAAAATGAAGATGAGCAAATTATATGAACACATTAGAAAAAATGTTTAAAATTCTTCCTCATTTGACATAAAATATTGATATCAATGAATAACGTGTATTTATATATATACACACACACGTTATTCATTTATATATAAATATATATACACACACATTATTCATTGATATCAATGTGTGTATATTGATATGTGTGTATATCAATTATTCATTGATATAATGCATGTATGTGTATATATGTGTGTGTGTGTGTGTGTATATATATATATACATGTAAAATTACCTGCAGGGTTTGTCAAAACACGTCTTGTCATGCTCCGCCCTTGGAGAATTTGAATCATCAGGCCTGGATTGGGGGTGTGTGAATTTGCTGATATAATTGGTTCCCAAGTGATGTTGATACCACTGATTCAGGATCCACACTTAAGAGAACCACTAATATTTAAAAATAATTATCTTAAGTCTTTTCTTCATTTCTTCTTTTTACCCTCATTGTCATAAACTTTGTAGCCTGCTCCATACTTTAAAAATGATTGGCCTTAGATAAATATTGTCTTACATGAATAGTGATAATATTCTAATTATTTCTATTTATTTGCTCTTTGTTTTCTGGAATAGAAATATTTCTCTTCAGACTATCTTTACCACCACATTTTATCCAATATCAATTCATTTCCAACCTGAAAGGGTGTATATTTGAATTCTAAAAGATTCTGATGAATAATTACACACATATTCAAGGTTTTCAAGAATATGTATAAGAACAATTTAAATTTTCTTTTAATTTCAAGAGATAAAACAAAAACCTGAAAGTCATTGCATAATAGAAAAGCGAGTTAATTTCAGTATGGTCAAAATGATCATAGGACTGAATTTGACTACTATGCTTATTGAGAGGGTTGTTAAATTAAATTGAGGTTTCGGTTAACTGTTTCAGAGAACCCACAGCAGTGAAAGAATTTAGGGCATTTGGGTCATTTTTACTTAGTTGACAAGGTGATAACTGATTTTAGATTAACTGGCACACGTAACTGTCCCTGGAAAATTTGTGAGTTCTACCAGATGTTGGACACTGCTTTTAGCACGCTCATGGAAAGCTTCTCATCACTGTGTGTCATTCTACTGCTGTGTGGAAGCAAAATCATTGTGTTTCATCTCACAGAATGTGACTCCTTAGCCATCTCAGTCTTCATATCACATTTCTTACTATCTGATGGGGTCAGAAACCAACTCATGATTTGCTCAGTGGAGTATATGTCATTGACTTAAACATAAAACTATAATTTAAGTAGGTTTAAGTGAAAACTCACCTTTTTTGATGGCATACTAATTTCCTATTTTCCTCCTTTAAATTTATAAGTGAAATATAAAATAAAGGTTCCCGTATGTTTGCTAAAAGAAAATAAGAAATATTTAGTGACTCATGGAAAAAAGCAGGGAGTTGCACCTGCAACAAAATACATTCCCAGTATGGTATTGAATTTGACTGTTGCTTCTAAAGAGAACTTTTGAAAAGGAAGTAAGGGATTTCCACTTCTGGGAAGATGAAATAGACATAATCTTACCTACTCCTCCTGCTAAGTACTTCTAAAACCCCTTGACATAATATATAAAGCAAACATAAGAAAACTTTGAATGAGGACGCAGTGGCTCACACCTGTAATCCCAGCACTTTGGGAGGCCAAGGAGGGCAGGTCACCTGAGGTCAGGAGTTTGAGACCAACCTGGCCAAAATGGTGAAACTCTGTCTCTACTAAAAATATAAAAATTAGCCAGGCATGTTGGTGGGTGACTGTAACCCCAGCTACGGAGAATGCTGAAGCAGGAGAATCATTTGAACCTGGGAAATGGAGGTTGCAGACAGCCAAGATTGCACCACTGTACTCCAAACTGGGCAACAGAGCAAGATTCGTCTCCAAAAAGAAAAAAATATATATATATATATATATATATATATATATATATATATATATATATATATACATAAAAGACAGAAAACTTTGAATGCTTGAGAGAAGACAGCAGAAAGGGACCTCAGGACCAAACGAACAACATGGAGATGAGTTCCTTGGCGGGGGCGGGTGGGGTGGGGGGTGGGGGCAGGGAGGTTGTTATTTTGTTGTGTTGTGTGTATGTGTGTTTTGTTTGTTTTGTTTTGTTTTGTTTTGTTTTGTCTCATATATCCCTAGACTTTGGGAGCTGAAGAAGCCAGTTACATGGCAATGTGAATGAATGCAGAAAAACTATATAGTTCCAACAAAGTCTATTCTTTCTAATCAAAGCTCAAGCTAGAAACACAGAAAAGTTTTATACAATAACTGCTTGACTTCAGCCAAACACTGCAGAAAAAAATATGTGGCTCCACCACCACTCATGCTGGCAAAGACCAAGAGGGTAGCCTAGACTTCCAGCCCACCCTATGATTTGACACTTTCCTCTCCCCCTGGGGTTCTGGTAGAAAAATCAGGACTTGGGACTCTACCTCTCCTCTGATGAGTCAGTGGAGGCCACCTGGGAAGATGTAAAGAGGCACTACTATCTCTCCAAGCCAGGAGACTATCAGCTGGACTTCCTGTTGTGCTAGACAGTAAGGAAGTACTCAAGCAACAACCAAAAGGGAGAATAAAACACTGTGCTGATGGAGGTATGTCCAAGGAGCCCAAGAACCAACTGAAAGGACTCCCAGTGACCAAAGCTGGAAACATTCATGGAATAAACGACATTTGAAAAGTATTGGAGGCCATGCACAGTGGCTCATGCCTGTAATCCAGCACTTTGGAAGGCCAAGGCAGGTGAATTGCTTGGGCCCAGGAGTTCGAGACCAGCCTGAGCAACATGACAAAACTCTGTCTCTACAAAAACTAAAAAAATTAGCTGGATGTGGTGGTGCATGCCTGTAGTCCCAGCTACTTTGGAGGCTGAGGCAGGAGGATCACATGAGCCCAGGAGGTAGAGGCTGCAGTGAGCCAAGATCATGTCACTGCACTCCAGTCTGGGCAACAGAGCAAGACTGTGTCTCAAAAAAAAAAGGTATTAGATACCTAAAGTATAAAACAAATAAAAATAAATATCAGAGAATCTATTTTGATATAAATAAATGATTGAATAAATTAATAAATGAGGAGAAGAGACAAATCTCCCATGCAGAAGATTCCAAATTATTTCCATTGATACTCCACCCTCTAGGAGGTGGCATAACTCCCCACTCCTTAAGTGTGGGCAATGCATAGTTTTTTCCTTGCAAAGACTATAGTTATACAAAGGGGGAAAAGCACAAAACCTCACAATGAAGAAACCTGACAAACACTGCCTTAGCCAGGTGATCAAGGTCAACATCAATAGTAATAAATCATATTAATAGTATGCATGTACCCTTATATGTATATCTCCTTGCTGTGATGTGGTAACAACGACAGTTTACCTCTGTTATTTTCCTTCCAATACTCATAATCTCCACATCTAATTATGAGGAAATCATCAGACAAACTCCAATAGAAAAACATCCTACAAAAATACCTGGCCAGTACTTTTGAAAAATTGTGAAAATGATCAAAAACAAGAAAAGTCCAAAAAGTCATTACAACTAAAAAAAGCCAAAGGGGAAATGACGACTTAAGGTAATATAGTACTTTAGATGGATCCTTGGAGAGAAATAAGACATCAGATAAAAAGTAAGGAAACATGAATAAAGTAGGAACTTTAGACAATATGTAAATATTGGCTCATTAATTGTAACAAATATACTAATGTAAAGTGTTAACAATTTGGGAAACTGGTGCAAAGTATATGGGAACTCTTTGTACCATCTTTTCAAATCTAAACTATTCTATAAAATAAAGTCAATTTTTTAAAAGTACACAAGAAGAAAGTTGATGATACTAATTAAAACCTATTTAACTGATTATTTCAGTTTTTATTTTTTTATTTACTAGCTATCTATCAAACTTAGCACCTGAAGAAAAGGGCTAGTGGAGCAGATCAATTTTGAAAAGAAATAGAAATTGGCAAAGTTGAGAGCTGGGAACGTCACCCAGGTGAGAAAACAGTGGGTGATATGGTTGAGAAGAGTTGTGGAGAGAAACAAAGATAGACTAAGGAGTACTGAGAGAGAGGAAGGAGGTGCTGAGTGGATCTTGGAAAGAAAGGAGTCCATGCAGGGAAGGGGGCCTGGGTGGGGGAAGCCCAGCCAGAGGTCGCACAGAGGGGAGAAGCTGGGGCTTGTGAAAGTCAAAGCTCTCCCTTTTCCTGAAATCTTACATTTAAAACTAAACCTACAAATGGAGGGTTGAGGGATGTTAATAATAAATCACTACATTCTTACTACAATAATTTCTCTTCCAGCTCAGCTATACTTGATTTTTATCTGAACCGGACTATAATCCCCATCTGAATGAAATCTAGGCCAGACCTTCAGTCTTTCTCTGCTTTCATTTCTCAGCCTTCAGTGGGACAGATCCAGGTTTTAAGTGGTCTGAAATGTATATAATTTACAAATATGAATTTAGATGTATAAATCAATTTTTATTTAAAACATGAAAGGAAATTATAATACACAACACATTTGGAAAAAAACTATCAAAAAAGGGACAATAAATATGTTATTTTTTCTGGCACATTTCTACATGCTTTGCCACAGATGAATTTATGACTCTGTGCATGGTGAACCTTGCTGCTTCTCCACTACCCACCGCTTTCTGGTGCTGGAGGTGGAGGACATATGCTCTTCATGATATGAATCCTGGCCAAGCAACTTTGTGTCAGCATAGTGAGTGTAGGAGTACCCCAGGATGGCTGGCAATAACTATACACAGAAGTAACTACAAACCACAAAAACATATTCCTCTAAGTCCGGATGAACTCAATTTCCCCTCAACTAGATCTTAGAAATACCCATGGCCACTCCAATTGCACCTGACACAGGATAAGAGGGACAAAGGGGAAGTCAGAGTGGACAGAACCAAGGTTTATAATAGATTGCAGTTAAAAATCTTACTTTTGGCCAGGCACAATGGCTCACACCTGTAATCCCAACACTTTGGGAGGCTGAGGCAGGTGGATCACTCGAGGTCAGGAGTTCAAGACCAGCCTGGCCAACATGGTGAAACCCCATCTCTACTAAAAATATAAAATTAGAGCGGCATGGTGGCGGGTGCCTGTAAGCCCAGGTACTTGGGAGGCTAAGTCAGGAGAATCACTGGAACGCAGGAGGTAGAGGTTGCAGTGAGCCGAGATTGCACCACTGCACTCCAGCCTGGGCAGCAAGAGTGAAAGTCCATGTCAAAAAAAAAAAATCTTACTTTTGCAGACATATGAAATGTGTTTTAATTGCCAGAGCACTTCCCAGAGCCTTGTTCTGGCTCCAAACTTTTAGCTTCATTACCCGCAACAGTGAATTTGCCTCTATGCACCCAGTAGTATCCACTGCATATGAGTATGATTTCAGGAAGCTGTGAAAAGGCTGAGCCTACCAATTTGTTCATCCTTTTTTTTTAATGAGGTAATCAGAAATTGTAGCAGAGATCTGTTTTAATCTTTATATATTGAGGTAATATTTATAACTGATAATATACATACATGTAATGGCTTTGCTCAATAAACACTAAATAAGAGTGTGTTTGTTTGTTTGTTTGTTTGTTTGTTTGTTTTTGAGATGGAGTCTCACTCTGTCACCCAGGCTGGAGTGCAGTGGCACCATCTCAGCTCACTGCAACCTCTACCTCCCAGGTTCAAGTGATTCTCCTGTCTCAACCTCCCAAGTAGCTGGGATTACAGGCACCTGACACCATGCCCAGCCAGTTTTTGTATTTTTAGTAGAGACGGGGTTTTGCCATGTTGGTCAGGCTGGTCTCAATCTCCTGACCTCAGGCGACCTCCCAAAGTGTTGGAATTACAGGCATGAGCCACTGCACCCGGCCATAAGAGTGTTTAAAAAAATTTAATTAGGAGGTCATTGGGCTGAGGTGATTCTAGCACCTTGGGTTCCTGTGTAAGCAAACTCAAACCCAATTCAGTATAAACGGTAAAATAAAACTTTAACTAACCCAGAAATCACCAACTAACCTCTAGCTAGGACTTTCCAGGGGAATGAGTTGAGCGAGGCTACCTCTCCCCAAATGTTTCCTTTGCCTTGCTCCCTCATTCACCTTATAAAAGTACCTTTGCCTTTATTGGAGTCCCCAAACCACTTGCAGTCTGGAAGTACCCAGATCCATGGATCACTAAATGCTCAAATAAAGTCTTTAATAGAGTTTTTAATGCTTTAATGTGCCTCAGTTTACCTTTCCACAAGTGCAAAATAAAATATTGGCCTACGTCAATGAGTTCATGGCTGTGCCACCTGTGCAGTCATATGGGGCCACTGTGCTCAGAAGGGCCCTGCATTTGATTTAAGATTCTTTTGTTGCCATCTTGAAATTCCTTAAAATTTTTGAACAAAGGGGCTTGCATTTTCATGGTGCATTGAGCACACCACTGCAAATTTTGTAGTTGGTTCTGATTGTGAATTCTACTGTGGTATTTGTGGAAAGAGCTTTTTGGTGTTTATCAACATTACTCTGTCAGAAAAATAAGAGTAAATGTTTATCAGATAAAGTCTTGTCATATTTCTTGATCATTAACTATTTAAGCTTGCTATGCAAATCGTATCTATACTGTCATTTGTGCTAAAACAGCAAACCACCAACAAATGCCTACATGCATAAGATGGCACTGCACTCAGCAACCTGTCTGAGAGATGGAACAAATTGAAGATTCCCAATGCTCAGGTGATTCCCTGCTGTTCCAGAAGCTCTTGATTACACATATGCTGAACTTGGTTTACAACAGATAGAGCTTATGTAAGGAGGAATTGAAGGCATTTTACACTTCTGTATATTTTTGTCTGAGGTAAATTTACATATTTTATACCAGTAACTCTTGGAGAAAAGGTGTCTGTGATATTAGAAGTCAAAACACTAAATGTTTTTACATTCAGCACCTCTAACCCTGATGTTTTTCAACTTATTCAAAGCCAACTTCATCCTCTTCTTCAATATTCTTTTCCTCTAATAGAAATATCATGTACACATATCAAGTCTGTTTTCCAAAAGAAAACATCTATTCTTTTGTTTTCGATAAGAAATTACTGCACCTCCAATTGAAATGTCAAATAGTCCTAAAGAATTAAGCAAAATGATTTTTCTTCTAATTTGCATGTTACAACATGAATTTTAGGTTAACTTGTAATCTCAAATGTATATTCTAACTTTCCATTAACTTCAGTTGGAAATGTATGCAAAATTTATTTGAAGAGAAAATGGCACCAGAGGTTGATAAACATTTCAAGGATAAAGGTACAATTAAAATGTTCAGTGAGATCCATATCTGCATTATTAAAATGATGTTACATGCACATCAAGGTTACACAGTGATTTTTCTTAGTATCTGAGGACAAACTTCATAGTGTAATAAGTGGAGGTTGTTCTACTGCCTATTTTCTGCAGAGTAAGTGTCTCCTGGGTTTACAAAGCATGAGTCAAATATTGATGCTATTGCTTGTATATCTCACCAGATGGCGCTAGGAGCATCTATAATAGCTGAACATCACACACTAGCGTACTGAAACGTCAGAATTTCCTTAAATTGAAGAATATTTCATTTCTGAAAGAAAAAAATATTTAAAATTACTTGTGAACAATTTTGTCTACCTATTTATACATAGACAAATTCACATCTCTCAAAGTTTTTTTAAAAATCACATAATTCCATTGGAAATAGTGTACTTTTTACCTTATTTAATCATTGCCATTTTTTCAGAACTGGTTTTCCTTCTTTGCTTAGGAACATCTCTGATGATTATTCTGCTCCTGTAGCATTCTGCCAAGCTGCAATGGCTGCATCTGTAGTACCATAAAAGCTTTTTCCCCAAAACATGTGTAAACATCTGCAGGAAAATTAGAAATTGTGGCTGATGGAAGGTAAAATGCCTTATCTAATGTCAGATAAACAAACATGCCTTATCTAATTACCACATTGAATCCAAGTTTTCAGCCTACATAATCAGGGGTCATTAAATTATAGTTTTTCTGACTCTAAGACTCATTATATGAAGCAACCGTTGAAGTGGGTTGGATAATTGTGGCTTCAAATAAATAAAGTGGAATCCTTTATTTTGCTGATGTTGGGAAACAGCTTCTAATTTCCAAACTCCTGGCCCTCTGTTAAATAGCTGAAATTTTTTAGTATACAATTTCCACTAGTGTATAGGAGAAATTTTTTTCCCTACCCACTTATTATTTCACGAAGATGTCAAGGTTATGGATAAAGTGAATATGCAACTAGACGTCCACAAGGCTGGAGTGGACTCTCCCTTAGTATGGGTAGAAGGGTAGAACTGAAACTCACAGACAGCCCGGAGGAGGACAGAGACAGACCTACACAGGTGAGTCCAGAGAGGTGTTCAAGAAGGCAATAAGAAGTTTAACAATTGCTTGAAGTTTGCAATTAGACCAGATGCACTCTCTCTCATAGGTGGCTCCAGGAACTTTTTTCACAATACCTTGAAGACAAATCTTTTGGGACACACATATGTCCTTATTTATTAGCACTCATTGATGTTTTGCACAGAACTGCCTTGTAAGAAGATCCTTCCTGATTAAATGTACCAAATAATTAAAATTTTATTTTGGTTTTCAACTTTGTTTTGATTCAACTCTTCATTTATCTCTCTATTTTGCTTAATCTGAATGCTGGTTTATGCAAAAATTTTCCAAACAGCATTGAGTTTGATTTCTGGGAAAAAAAATCTGAAATTTTGGAACGATAAGACATAATTTGTAACATTCAATAGGTTTTATACGAGTACAAGGCATAGATGTGTGTTTGTCTTAATGAGTTCTAAAATTCACAGAATATTAAAAATTCACAGAATGTTTACTAATTTCTGAAGAATTATCATCACTGAAGGCATGTAAGATGTTAGGAAAGCATAAAACTCTATCAGTTACTAGGTGTGTGATGCTGAGTGAGATATTAACACCACCAAGCCTCAGTTCCTTATCTCTAAAATGGAGATAATGCCTACCTCACCAGGTTGCTGAAAGGATCAAATAAATGTAAATGTCTAGCCCAAGTCTGTCACTTATTGGAAGATCAGCCAATATGATTTCCTTCCTTTCCTAAACTCTCCTGCTCAGTCAGAGTAACTGGGGTTTTCTTAAAAATGGAGAGGCATGCAGTAAGTAAGACATGTTTAAAAATAATAAAACAGCATTTATTTTGTAAATAGGCAAACTTGCTGTAACTGAGCAGTAAAAATTGCTTTTAAAAATGTGTAATTGCCTATCTCTGAAGTAGAAATTATCCACAGAATATATTATTATCTGTCAAAGTCTTGTTTGATGGTTCTTTATTGCTTTGTTTCTTTTACTTGTCTGGAAAGTAGAAAGAAAAGGGAATGCAACTCTCACTAGCACCCAATCACTGATGCCGCCCAGGGAATTATTCTCAGTACTGTTGAAGACAAAATGCATGAGACAATTGAGAAGGTGATATTATTCCAGCTAGTGCCATAGGGAGAGTCCCACAGATCAGAAAATTACAGTGTCTCTGCAGAGTGGATTTGCCTTAAGGCATTTACAGGAAAGAGTAGACAAATTGCAGGTGTGGGGATTCCCAGCTGTATTGTTTTGCAATCAGAAGAGGTCTCTGTTATTTAAGTGGGCAGAAAATGTTTATTTCTGTGTCTTGCTAGTTCAAAAACAAACAGTTGTAACCTTAGCTAATCATTCATGAGATAAAGAATAGACGTTTGTAATTTGTAATCCCAGCACTTTGGGAGGCTGAGGTGGGCAGGTCACTTGAGTCCAGAAGTTCAAGACCAGCCTGGCCAACATGGTGAAACCCCATCTCTACTAAAACTACAAAAATTAGCTGGGTGTGGTGGGGTGCACCTGTAATCTCAGCTACTAGGGAGGCTGAGGCAGGAGAATTGCTTGGACCTGGGAGGCAGAGGTTGCAGTGAGCTGAGATTATGCCACTGCACTCCAGCCTGAATGACAGAGTGAGACTCCATCTCCAAAAAAAAAAAAAAAAAAGGAATAATGGGACATTGGGTAGAGGCAAAGGGAAGGGGGAATTTATACCTGGCTTTGTCAGCAGGTTCAAACAAAGGTGAAAAGTGTGTGTTTGGCCTTGTCACAGGTAAACAAGAAAGCCATTTACAAGCCTGATGGGGGTCACAAGAAAGAATGGACAGTGAGTGCTATGTGAGTCACATGGAGAAGGGTGATTCATTTCCTTAAGCTGTTTTTCAGAACACAAAACGGTGAGGCATTTCTGAAAACAAAAAGTTGGTGAGATTTCTTAACCACAACTATTTTCTGAAAGCATGAGGCTCTGGAAAAGTTCAACATTGTTAGTCCTCTTTCCCTTTTGATCAAGACAGATAAATTTCATTCACTGTTGCACAAGTCAAAGGTGGCCATAAATCTCCTGAGTGAGGTGAACCAGGGTAAAAGAACTATGCTTGCGAGGACTCTTAATGACATGATGTCTTCAAAATTAATTAAATCACCCATCAAAAAATAAAATTACAATGTATTTAGTTTAAATTTATAATTGACTTTTATTTTCAATTCTAGAATCAGGGAACACCTCATTCTATAAAATAGAGTGAGTGTTCAAATGAACTGAATGGAGGAGGTTAGATTTATAGAATGAAAAGAGCCAAAGGAAACAAAAAGAGAGAATAAAAAACAGACTCATCCTTTCAACGTTACTTTCCTTATAGGGTTCAAACAGAGGAGGCATCCTTATTATGCTGACTCAGGTACTAGAATCTGCTGGGGGTTTTTTTTGGAAAACTGACCTGTTGGAAAGTTCAGTTTGATTATGTGGCACTTAGCCCAAGTAACTCCATTATAATTTGGTCTTGTCTGCTAGGGCCTAACACAGGAAACTAGTCCAAAATAATGGCCTCCCATAAACACATCTATTGAAAGGTAGAGGCAAAGCTCAGTTGTTTTAGAGTCCTAGAGATCAGGCATCTATATGAAAAATAAAAAAAATATATATATATAAAGCTGGATTAAAGTAAAGACCCAAGAGTTCAACCCTGAGAAAGTTTGGTCCAGTGGATTCCAGAGTCAGTGGATGAAAACCTTTTGATTATGTAGCACTGCTTATGGAGTTTCTTGAAGTTAAGAAGTTAATGTTCTTGGTGATGTTGTCCAGTCTTGGTTACTTCTCATGTAAGGTTATGCATGACCTGAGCATTTCAGTGAGCTTTCTTAGTGGCCTAGACAGTAACTTGCTCAGGGAGAAATTCAGTCCATTATGGTCTTCTGTGGTGATAAGTCCCTCAGGGTATATATCAAGTCATCAGGTTTTAGCCCCCAGTCCTTCTTCAGATCTGGAGGTGAAAGAACAGCTACAAGGCAACTTTGAGTCTCGATAAGGATCTCTAGATAGTCAGACTTTTGTTCTCAGTGAGACCAAGTTAAGAGGGAGGGAGAAAAGTTGGAAATGTTAGTTTGAAAGGTTATAGCCAGATATTGAAAAAAAAAATGAGAAGAATTGAAAACATGGTAAAAATTGACAATTTGTTCAAGGTAACAAAATCCAGTCTAATCACAAGTAGGTTACAAAACCAGTTATTGCACAGTGGGGAAGGAAGCCAATTAAATCTCAACCAAACAGAGTTAGCACATCCATCAGTTACCTACAATTTATAAAGAGGCACAAATAGTTCAAAGACGATTGAATTATTGTTTCAAATCTGATAACTCAAAAAGATCTGCTATAGTTTTCCACTGAAACAAAGTTTTCCTGAACAAAGATAGTCTTTAAAAAAAACAGGGCCAGGTGCAGTGGCTCACACCTGTAATCCCAGCACTTTGGGAGGCCAAGGCGGGAGGATCACGAGGTCAGGGGATCAAGACCATCCTGGCTAACATGGTGAAACCCCGTCTCTACTAAAAAAATACAAAAAAATTAGTCAGGCGTGGTGGCGGGCGCCTGTAGTCCCAGCTACTCAGGAGGCTGAGGCAGAAGAATGTCATGAACCCAGGAGGCTGAGCTTTCAGTGAGCCGAGATCGTGCCACTGCACTCCAGCCTGAGTGACAGTGAGACTCCATCTCAAAGAAAAAAAAAAAAAAAAGAGGAAAAGGAAAGAAGAGAAAAAAAGTGATTATTCTTGATCATAAAATAATGTGGTTTCATTCTTACTGGATTTAGCCTGATTATGTACAGAGGTACAGTAAGAATGGTAATTTACCATATATATCTTTTTAAGTTTGCTTTCCTGGAAGTTATCATTAGGAACTCTTGATTCAATTTCAACTTTTATTTATGTAGTTATTTAGGTTTTGTTTGTTTGTTTGTTTTTTGGGACAGAGTCTTGCTCTGTTGCCCAGGCCGGTGTGCAGTCACATGATCTCAGCTCACTGCAACCTCTGCCTCCTGGGTTCAAGCAATTCTCATGCCTCAACCTCCAGAGTAGCAGGAACTACAGGCACGTGCCACCACACCTAGCTAATTTCTGTATTTTCAGGAGAAACAGGGTTTCACCATGTTGGTCTAGCTGGTGTCGAACTCCTGACCTCAAGTGATCCGGCCACCTCAACCTCCCAAAGTGCTAGGATTACAGGCGTGAGCCACTATGCCCGGGCAATTTTAACTTTTAAATGCCCCTTGAGGCTAGTATGCCAAGCCAATAATTCATCATCAGATTTCACCTATATATTTAGATTAATTCCTTTCTTCTTGAGGTCCCTCAAATATTCTGAAATTCTTAGGATTACCAGGAAGTAGCCTTCCTTCCTCAGCTCTAAGGCTAAGAAGGAACAGTGTAGGCCCTGTAAGCCCTTTAAACCCTGTAAGACAGGTAATGGGCAAGTTTTCCTAAGAGGGCTTCAAAAGCATCGGCTCCATCAAGTCAATCCAAGTTTCTTTAGTGCCTGGTCATATCTGATTAAATACGCATCATTATCAAATATGAAATGGCAGGCATGGTCTTGGTTGGTGAATAATAAGGACTATCCTTATTAATAACAGGACATAATTGGAAACATTGTTGTTTCCTTGTTAATGACAAGGGATACAATATAATCTCTTCTTAGTGAACCTATGCATATAACTCTGTTGCTGTGAAAATAAGAATATTTAATAAGAGTTTCTGATTTCTAGAGGGAACAAGCAGGGAAAAAAGATAAGAGTTTTATTTCTGTTTATAAAACAGAGTCTACTAAATTGTTATAAGTTATAGACAGCTTAACAGAAAAGAGAGAAAGGGTTCTTTACATCCAGAACACAGAATATTAAAACATCAACAATATTCCAAACAAAACCAACAAGTGTTACCCATTAGTTGATTTAGCCCTATGCAATGAATTCTTGTTCCACACAATCCTGGGGTAGCCATATCATGGACTCATTTGTGGACTGAAGTCCAGATATACTGACTCAGTCCACCGGGATGGCCTCAAAGTTGTTCATGCAATACCATCAGAAGCTGTACACCAAGGTACAGTGCCTGGTATAGTCCTTTCCCAAGGCTCTAAGACAGTCTTTCTTTGTTGATAATAACACACTGGCCTGTAGCTTATTGCAAGTGGTTTCAGGGAAGCATCATGACAAAACAAACCCTTTCTGTAGATGACAGAGATTTAAAATGGGTGTGGTTAGCTTATTATTAATGATTTTCAAAACAAAGATCTGAAGAGGATTTGTTACAGGAATAATACAGTTAACAAGGAAGTTTGATTCTTTCTGTGATGTGCAAAATAAAATCACTCAAAAAGTTAAAGACAAAATACAAACAAACATAAAATTAGCCATATTTTCAAAGAGTGGATATCATATATAATTTATGAAAATGGATGAACATAATTTTTACAGAGAAAAAGCCTTCAGATAGAATAATCTTGACATATAACATACATGACTAAACAAGCATACAATTAGAATAACCCAAGAATGTATCAAAATTATTAAGTAAAAAGGCTCAGTAAATCTGGAGGAGGTACTAAACATCTGTTATATTAATAAAACTCCAGATATGAGTTGCGTGAATTCCCAGTTGAAAACCATTGGCCTAGAATTCAAATTAAAGAAATAAGGTTACTATATGGTTAACATTTTCAAAAATAACTGAAATTATGACAAATAACACTATACTGATGTCTAATTTCAGACAAAAACAGATAAGATTTGATATTTGTATATCAAACAAAATTTACTGAAGTCTTTAAAGCAATTGGCTTCAGGCTATTTAAATTTACTTCATGCAATGTAATCTTCTGTTAAGCATTCTTTGTGATTCCTTTCTATCATGGTTATGAAAAGACAGTCTTCATCCTGGGACTAATCACAATGGCCAAACAAATAAAATTTTGATTTTAAATTTAATAACCATCTGCATCACATTTAATTATGTTTCCAAGAAACATAATTTTAATTAATGTTAACTTGTTTATCTCCACAAAAACTCAAGACAGCAGCCTTTAAATAATTTTACATATGGGTGTGTGTACATATATAAAATACCCATATATATGTATACATATATGTATACATATATACCCATATACATATACCATATACATATATATATATATATATATATATAAAGTTAGAGGCTGCTCTCCTTAATATGTATAATTATATATGTAAAAACACATATATCATATATATGTAAAAACATCATGTTGTATCCCTTAAATATATTTGATGTTTTGATATACACACAGTGAAATAATTACTAAAGTCAAGCCAATTAATATACCCATCATCACACATGGTTACCTTTTTTGTGTGTACGTGGTAAAAGTACCTAAAATCTACTCTTTCAGCAAATTTCCAGTATACAATACAGTATTATGAACTATAGTCCTCATGCTGTACACTGCATCTCTACTTATTCATCTTACATAACCACAACTTTGTAAGCTTTGACTTCCATTTCCTTCACCCCTCCACCACCCAATAGCTACCTTTCTACCCTCTGTTTCTATATATTCAAACAATAATCATTTTTAAAAAATGTCTTCTGATTTGTGTTAGTCCATTCTTGCAATGCTATAAACAAATACCTGAGACTGGATGATTTAAAAAGAAAAGAGGTTTAATTGGCTCACAGTTCTGCAGGCTGTACAAGAATCATAGTGCTGGTATCTGCTTCTGGTGAGGGCCTTAAGAAGCTTGCAATCATGGTAGAAGGCCAAGGGCAGCCAGCACATCACACGGCAAGAGAGGGAACAAGAGAGCAAAGGAGGAGGTCCCAGACTCCTTTAAACAACCAAATCTCATGTGAACTAACTGAGGGAGAACTCACTTCTCACCAAGGAGACTGATATGGTTTGGCTCTGTATCCCCTCTGGAATCTCATCTCGAATCATAATCCCCACGTGTTGAGGGAGGGAGGTGATTGGATTATGGAGGCAGTTTCCCCCATGCTGTTCTCATGATAGTGAGTGAGTTCTCATGAGATCTGATGATTTTATAAGTGTTTGGAAGTTCCTTTTTCACTCTTCTCTCTTTTACCACCTTGTGAAGAAGGTACCTGCTTCCTCTTCCACCATGATTGTAAGTTTCTTGAGGCCTTCCCAGCCATGCAGAACTGTGAGTCAATTAAACCTCCTTTGTTTATAAATTACCAAGTCTTGGGTGGTATCTTTATAGCAGTGTGAAAACAGACTAATGCAGGGATGGTGCTAAACCATGAGGAATCTGCGCCATGATCCAATCACATCCCACCAGGCCTCACCTCCAACATTGGGAATCACTTTCAGCATGAGCTTTGGAGGGGACAAACATCCGAGCCATGTCATAACTATTTGAGGTGATAGCAGCCTCTTTAAAATTTAAAATATGTAAATATAAACACTCCCTGATTTCTGCATCTGATAATTCTTTGAATTAAGATTTTCATTTCAAATTTTGTTTGAAAGGGGTTTAGGTAATTTATTTTAAGGTTCCTTTCATTATTCCTGCTGATAGACCTATGAGAATATATGTTGACTAGACAAGAGTACAGATGAAACTCTAGCATATAGGCATTGAATTTCTGGGTGTAACCACTTCATGGTCTGGGTTTCTTTAGGTTCACAAGTAGAGAGTGATTCTAACTTTACACTATAATTGGCCATTTCCACCCAGTTCAGAGCCTACCCTTTCACAGATTGTATACTGTTTTTATTAGCTTAATTTAATAGCTTCAGTCAAAACTCGGTTGCATAGAAAATATGTATGAGACAGAGAGAGAAAACATAGTTTAAAAAGATGAAGAAAATAATCAAATTACAGATACCAGCATATAGCTTTAAAACCAATAACAATTCACTTAGGTCTTAAATTCTTTGGTGAGGTACAACTGTGATTAAGCTATCGGGAATTACTGATTAACATTTATGAGACTTATCTAACCACTGTGCTTGCTTGGAATTGCCAAATGAGTAATTCATTAGTATTTCATGGGCATAATTAATACCATTAAGGAAAGTTAAATAAATTTAAATTATTGTTCTTTAAAAACATACTTTGGCTGGGCACAGTGGCTCATGCCTGTAATCCCAGCACTTTGGGAGGCCGAGACGGGCAGATCACAAGGTCAAGAGATCGAGACCATCCTGGCCAACATGGTGAAACCCCGTCTCTACTAAAAATACAAAAATTACCTGGGAGTAGTGGTGTGCACCTGTAGCCCCAGCTACTCAGGAGGCTGAGGCAGAAGAATTGCTTGAACCCAGGATGCGCAGGTTGCAGTGAGCCGAGATTGCACCACTGCACTCCAGCCTGGCAATAGAGTGAGACTCCGTCTCAAAACAACAACAACAATAACAACAACAAACATACTTCAAAGGTACTTGAGATTAGAACTGGCAAAATCTCTATGAAATAATCATTAGAACCTACTTCATGAAGGTTATTCCATTTATGTGACATCCTCGCTTATTCCATTTTCACTGAAAGATGTGTTTTCTTTCTTCCAACTCTTCTATTTAAATCCTCTTTTATTTACTGCACATAATATACACTTTTATGTGTATACGTGAGCACTGACGAACTATTTTTTGAGTTCTTCTATGCTACTGATACTATTTTGGGTGCTGGAAACTTATAGTTAATGATAGAGAGCTATTTCTGCCCTCATGGAGCATCCAGTCTAAAGAAGGACACAATTACCATATGGTGTGGTGAAATGTGATAAAATGGGGAAAGTTGAGCATGACCTGGGAGTTTTGAGGAGGGGCATCAAACAACTTTGAGAATGGAGAAAGGAAAATTCAGAAAGGATTCCTAGAGAACATAGCAAATAAAGTGCAAAGATAAGGAGGAGTATGCTGCCAGGTAGGGATGGGAAGAGAGGGCAGTCAGCCTCAGAAATTTCCATGCACCATATGTATTCACAGGTTATAACTGAAGTCAGTCGATACCTTTCAGCACAAGAACTCTGCCTTACTTATGTATCCATGTTGCCTAGGTCAGGAGCTGGCATTTACTAGGCGTGCCATAAATGTCTGATGAAAGAAATAAAGGGAAAGATGCAGACAGTTATAGTGTGTCCAGGAAGTAGATACAGATCTACTAAGGGATGAAATTTCCTGATGCCCTTGTACAAGTAAATCCTACTAGGTTATGAAAGTTAAATGTATCAGGTCACAGATGGCAAAAGTACAGGAAAAGAGACCTTTTCTTAAAAGAAGTGCCTTCTTTTTGGACAGGTGTAAGTCATGAGACAGGAGAGAGATGTTTCTTGTGCTCACATGGGACACAAGGCAGGAGTAGACCTAGATGAGATTTAGGGACATGAATCAAAGAAATCTGTGGAGAAGATGGAAGGAAGCAATGAGAGCAGGAAAGAGTAAAAAGCAATCAATTTTAAAAAGGTGGGAAAGGAAAATGTCAAAGTCTGTGTGCAAGAAATTTGAGGAAAACTGGAAATAAGAGGATAAAGAAGTGAAGGAAGAACAAATATAAAGCAACAGTAAGTAAGGTTTGAATATCCATTCCAAGTCAAATTCTTGGAGAGTGACTACAATGAGAAAGGGTTATCACATGTTTTTGGCTGTCTTATCCAGAACCTAAAGTCTTTTGACTAGAAAAAAATATATACCTTTTGTTATGATAAGAAACCAAAAGTTTTGATAATATTATTGAATCAAATACTTGCCAGACAAATAGATGATAATTTTTGGAAACAACTGCCCAAGTTTTTCCCTTCAAAAACGATTTTTTCCAAATATATATTTATGCCATTTGTTTAGCCACAAGTAAACAGTCAAATTATTTTGTTTATAACCTCAAACCCAAAAGCTTGTTCAGAACAGCAATATGAACCAGAAATAAATTACATGGTAAATCAAGCCCCTATTTTGGGGCAAGGACACTATGCAAAGTGGTTTACAGTTTGTTCTTTGCAATGTAAATGAAAACCCCAAGATATTGGCAGGAGAGTAAACTCTTTTTTTTCTTACCCATCAGTTGGGTGAAAATCCAAAAGTTTGAAAACCCAGTCTGTCGGTGAAGCTACATAGAAACAGGCCCTCTCATTTAGAACTAGTGAAACTGCAAAATGTCGCAACTTCTATAAAGGGAAATTTAACAATATCTAATAAAAGAACATATGCAGTTACCTTTTGACCCAACAACTCCACTTCTAAGAAACGATTACTAAGATATACTAGCAGAATAAAATACATAGACTTAAATAATTCCCTGCCATTTTATTTTGATACCTAAAATAATAGAAACAACCTAGATGTCTGATTCTAGAACTGGTTGAATAAGCTATGGGGTATGAACACAATAGAGTGGTATGTATCTGTAAAAAGAAAAATAAACAAGGCCAGGCACAGTGGCTCACACCTGAAATCTCAAGATTTGGGGAGGCTAAGGCAGGAGAATCACTTGAGCCTAGGAATTTGAGACCAGCTTGGGTAACATAGAGAGACCCCCATCTCTACAAAAAACGTTTTTTAAAAAATAGTCAGGTGTAGAGGTTCCTACCTGTGGTTCCAGCTACTTAGAAATCTGAGGCAGGAGGACTGCTTGAGCCTAGGAATTTGACATTGCAGTGAGCTATGACTGCGCCACTGCACTCCAGCCTTGGTAACAGGATCAGATTCTGTCTCAAACAAACAAAAAAGAAACATATGTAAAAAATAGAATTTTCTATATACTGTGTAGTTATCTCTAGTATATATTGTTGAATTAAAATGTTAGTAAAATAAATTAAAAGGTTGCATATCATGGTACTATTTAGCTTTAAAGGGTGATAAGGGAATATTTATATATTTTCATATATTTTAGATAATGGAATGATTATACATATTTATTTGACTATCTATAAAGAAAGGAAGGAAATCAGGTGAAAGAGAGAGGGATAGAAACTAGATTTCTTAGCATATACAACATTTTGTAGATTTGACTTTGAAATCATGTAAATATTTTACTTAGGTATAAAACTTATTTTTTAATTCCTAAATCTCTAAAGCAAATTGAAATACATAACATTGTGAATCCGTTAACAATATCACTATACAAATTGACTTTAAAACTCAATAATTTAACTGTCCATTCCCAGTAGGATGCACCCTAAGGATAAGAAAGGTTTGCAAAAGAATATTAAACTGTGGTTAAGAAACATTTTATTGGCATGGTAGGATTTGTATTGTAATTTTGAAACTAGTATTGTTGGAAAAGCAAACATTTTTATTAACAGGTATTTTCACCAAAATAAAAAGTAGATAAGTATATCATATATATATATATATAATATATATTGAATCATGTGTAATAATCCATATATACATGATAACTAAAGTTAATTAAAAATCTCTCTAGTCTTGAATTTTATTGGAAGTATTAAGAGTCAGTATGAGCTATAAGTATTTTATATATAAAGGCTAATGACTTTGAAGTTATATTCTGTAGACTGTATAGCCTACAGAAACTGTACAAACTGAAACACAGAAGACTAAAATAAAATCCCAAAACCTAATGACTTCTGGGAAAATATATAGCAGTATAACATATAACATTTGTGTAACTGGTGTCTGAGGGGGAGAAAAGTGAATATAAAAGAAAAACATTTAAAGCATCAAGGCAAACATTTTTTCCAAATTCCATTTTTAAAACTCTATCCAGAAATCCAAAAACTCATCAATCCCCCAAGCAATAGAGAAGAAAAATCCTTAAATGTATTACAATCAAATTACTAAATACTAATGATACCCAGAAAATCTCAAAAGCAGACAGAGACAAAACTTATATTGCATGTGTGGAACAATAATAAGAATCATCACGGAACTCTCATCAGAAACAACATGGGCT
This sequence comes from Homo sapiens, assembly GCF_000001405.40. NCBI lineage: Eukaryota > Metazoa > Chordata > Mammalia > Primates > Hominidae > Homo > Homo sapiens. Next base: position 121,534,932 of record NC_000007.14, on the reverse strand, counting down.
AGAAGACAATGGAGTCACAACTTTAAAGTGTTGAAAGAGAAAACAGGATGTATAGTCAAAGAAAATATAATTCAAAAATGAAGACAAAATGAAAATATGTGCAGATAAAAGCTGAGAGAATTCACCACTAACAGACCAACATTACAAGATAAGTTGAATGAAATCCTTTAGGCTGAAAAAACATATGTATCTAAAACATGTAGCTAAAGAAACATGTATCTAAGGAAACGTGTCTAAAGGAAGGAATGAAGAACACACCAAATGGTTCGAATACAGGCAACTGTAACAGACCTTTTCCTTGCTTCTTAATTTTTAAAACACAATTGATTGTTCAAAGCAAAAAAATAATGATTGTATTTTGGTGGCCATAGCATATTTAGAAATAAAGTACATGAAAAAAATAAGAAGGAGGGAGTATATGAAAGTGTACTGTTGAAATATCTTACATATGAAGTGTGCAATGTTAATTCAATGTGGATTGTAATAAGTTAAAAGTGTTTATTTTAATCCTCAGTAAAACAAAGTTTTTTAAAAAATAGTTTTAGCTAAAATGCCAATAGAGAAGATACTACTAAATATACTCAGTAATTCAAGTCAAGAAAAGGAAGGGAGAAAAAGGAATGAATAAGAAATGAGACAAATAGAGAACAAACACCAAATGGTGGACTTGTGGCCAAATATATTAATAATTGTATTAAATATAAATAAAGATTTTATTGTCAAGATTGTCAGATTGAATGAAAAAGCAAGGCCAAATGATGTACTGTTTGTGGAAGATAAACTTTAGATATGAAAAAATATAAAAATGTATTATTACAGTTGGATACTTTAACATACCTCTCTCAGTAATCAATATAGTTAGGGACAACCAAATCAATTTATATATAGACAATTTGAACAGCACTATCAATCACCTTATCCTAGTTGATATTTATTGAATGCTATCCCCAAAATTAGAAGAATATATATATTTTTCAAGTTCTCACAGGTAAAAGTATACATTAAATTCTTGTATTAGTAAAGAAGAAAGGTCACAATCAGTTATGTAAACTTCTACCTAAAGAAAATTTAAAAAAGAAGAACAAATTAAACCCAAAGTAAGCAGAAGTAATGAATAATAAAGATAGGGGTAGGAATCAGTGAAGTAGGAAACAGAAGAACAATAAAGAAAGCCAATGAAGCTGAAAGCTGGTTCTTTGAAAATACCAGTATCATTGATAAACCTCTAATCAAACTGAACAAAGAGAGACAGGGAGGAAGAAAGAAAGAAAGTCAGCACACAAATTCACATTTTCAGGAAAGAAAGGAGGAGGCCTGGCACAGTGGCTCACACCTGTAATCCCAGCACTTTGGGAGGCCAAGGTGGGTGGATCTCTTGAGGTCAGGCGTTTGAGACCAGCCTGGCCAACATGGTGAAACCCCATCTCCACTAAAAATACAAAAAATAGCCAGGCGTGGTAGTGAGTGCCTGTAGTCCCTCTTACTCAGGAGGCTGAGGCAAGAGGATCACTTGAACCTAGGAGGCGGAGATTGTGGTGAACCAAGATCGTGCCACTGCACTCCAGACTGGGCAAGAGAGCGAGACTCTGTCTCAATTAAAAAATTAAAAGAAATAAAACCTTTAGGAAGAAATATCAAGTTTACACAGACTTGTAGACAAATAGAGGAGGAAAAGTCACTTTCCAATTCATATTATGGGGAAAGAGTAACCTTGATACTAAAACTATATATGGACATTACGAAAAAGGAAATTAGAAACCAATAGCACTCATAAACATAAGCATAAAAATATATTTCCAAACCAAATTCATTAATTTATAAAAAGAATAATACAATGTATCTAATTATGGTTTAATTCAGTAATACAAGATTGATGTGATAGTTTAAAAATGTAACACATTAACAAGTTAAAGAAAAATCATGTGAGCATTTCGATAGATGCCAAAAATGTGTTTGACAAAATTCAATATCAATTAAAAATTGTTTTAAAACTCCCAGCTAACTCTAAATAGAGAGAGTTTCCAATCTGTTCAAAGGCATTTGCAAATAAACAAAACCCCTAAAAGCATAGAAAACATTTATACCTAACTGTGAAAGGATACTTCCCTTTCAGTATTGGATACAAGGAAAGGATGGCCACTCCAACCACTTATATTGAGTGTTAGACTTTAGAGACTCACTATGGTATAGCGCGGGGCTCTCTCTCTGCTTGGAGTACTTCTGTAATGCATCTAGCCTGCTGACCCAGGTAGGCCTTTGTCTGCTGAAACTTTAGCCAATGTGCATTCAGAACATCTATACCTACCCCCTAATGTGGAATAATGAGACTTCAGGGGACTCCATATAATGCACTACTTCTCTGTTTTTAGGTTATCCCCAATAAAACCTATATTATATCTGTATTTTGTTTGTGATACGTTTGCGTGGATACTGAATATATCCTGGAATTTATTCATACATATTTTAAACAAACATATTCTAAATGATGTTTATGAAAATTTATTACATGTATTATTTTTAGTAATAACAAAATATCAAAAATAAATAACTGCTCAGTAATAGAGTGCTGGTTAAATAAAGTAGGTATATCCAACAAATAGAGTGTTAGTCATAAAAAATCAAGAAATTCATTGTGTAACATGTAATGATCTCCAAGATACAATCGTAAGTGAAAGAACAATGCAAAGAAAACTATATAATTGAAAAATAAGGGATAGAGATAGGCAGATAGATATGTATTTATTTGTATATGCATAACATATCTCTGTAAGGATAAACAAAAGGAGTTCAGTATTAGTTAATTCTAGAGCAGGGAATTTGTTGCCAGAGTAACAATATGGAAGGGAGATTTTTGTTATACCTTTTCTTCCTTTCGAATGTTGAACCATCTTAACGTATTAACTAACCCAAAATGAAATCCAGTTTAAATTTAAAAAAATCTCGTTGCTGTGAATCACAGTAACATTTAGTTCTGTCCATGTAGTTCTATACCTAGCACATGGGATATCTCCTGCTGTTATGCATAAGATAGGTTGAAATGTGATAATGGGATTAGAATCTAGACAAGGGGATAGGATAGTGCAGACACAGATGATGACAATGAATGTTATGTGCCAAGTTCCACGACACAGTAAAAAAAATCTTTAATTTATATGAGTCAGACTTGAAGTCTCTTATGTGCAAAGCTGTGCTGAAAAGACATGTCGTAGGGACAGTTCTACAACCCCACCTTTCTTCCCTTGCCGCTACATGCCTGTCTTCCTGCTTAATCCTGCTGCCATGTAAAAACAGCTGCCTCTCACTTGTCCCCCACTTGACCTTATTTTATCTGATGCTTTAAAATCCCATTTCACGCAGTCAAAGCTAGCAAAGAAGATAAAGCAGGATTTAGAAGAAGATGGATAATAGAAGGGAAAGGAAGAAAAGCTTTCCTGTGATAAAAATCTGGAAATCTAACCACCAAATTGTAACGTAATTTATATGGGAAAATTCATTTTTGTTTTCTACACAACCAGAACATCAATAAAACACTTTGAAAGGTAACCTGTTTGTAAATTGAGGAACTTCTATGCTTATACTTCCACATGGAGGCATGAAGACTGAGTCACAACGGCAAAAAAAAAAAAAAAACTCCTCAAGATTGATACTTAGACCCATTTAGCAAGGAGGCCTTCTTTTTCTTGAAAATAAATATTATATTGAATTCCATTTACGTATAGTTAATGCTGGCCAGTTTGTGGAGATTGTGGAAAAGCAAAAAAAAAAAAAAAAATGTTAGCACAGGCTTCAAGGGACAATTCTAAAGACCTTCAAGACAGTGACTTCAAGTAGCTTTTTTCCCTCATCTATCACTGACACAAAAATATGTGAAACAGATGGTGGTTCTTGGCTATATATAGTTTTTGTTGAAACTTGTTAAAAACAGTTTGGATCATGATTAAGAAATCTTACCACCTCTTAGCTGAAACATACCCCAAGGTTTTTCTTAGAAGGTGTTAGAAAGGCAGCTGATGATTATAGTCAATGTTTCCTTCTTCTACAAATAAAAAAAAATCTAAAACCACCAATGGCCTTCTGGATACAAGCAAATAAATACACAAAATCAAAGACAACTGGGAGATGTTCATAACTAGTCTAGTTTTTTTATTGAATAAACAGCTGTACTTTGGGTTATTGACATACATATACATTATATGAACTCTTACTTTGACTTAACTTTTTTCTTGCATGAGTCATTGTAGTCATTAGACTGTTTACTGTTTCCTGTTTTGCCCTCCTGGGTGCTGAGTAGATTGACACGTCTTTGCTCCCTTGTGTTTGAATGGGGCTGTGTGATTCATTTGAGCCAGAGAGTTGTGAACAGTGTGTGGTGTGGCTCCCCTGGGCCTGTGCACTTAAGTACCAATGCCAGACCGCAAAAAATTTTTTGTTCCTTTGTCACATTAACCAGAAACAAGTAAGATAGTGGCCACTCTTGCAGCTGAGTTCCTTGACTGACCACAAGAAGCAAAGTTTCATTACCGAACTGTCGTGGACATGCATCAGGAGTGAGAAATAAAGCTGTATTGTTTTAAGCCCTGAAAGTTTTTAGTTTGTTTATTACTGTAGTGTAATCTAGCTTACCCTGACTGATACAGATCATGCTGAAGTCACTGGCAATAAAGCAACAGCCAATGACTTGCCAATGGAAAGGCAGAGAAAAGGAAGGTCTATTCCCAGAGAGAGCATTGCTTTTTCCACGTGAAACAGGACAAAAAAGCAAACAAACAACAAAACAAAAAACAAGTATTCCCAGGCATATATCTGCAATGCTACAGCTGTCCTTTAAGAATGACTCTCTTAATTATGCTCTCGTGATTGCCAAAACATAGAAGCCACTGGAACGAATTTGAGTAAAAAGGATTATGGGATCATTAGGATCTCATAAGTGAAGAAAATCTTAGGAGGTGGAGGAAAAAAACATTAAAAGAAAAACACGTAAGAAAATTAGAGAACCAGTTCAGGAAGTTGACTGGGATTTCTACAAGAAAGAAAAATGAAGGAGATAAATTAGGAATTAAATATAGTTTTCTAGAAATGAAGTTTTTAAAATTTCAGATTGAAAAAAATCCACTGAATTCTCTGCATAAAGATTGAAACCTAACAAGATACACCATGCTGAAATATCAGAATACTGGTGACCACGAGAGGATTCTAAAAAGTCTAGGAGAAACAGGGGTAGGAAGAAAGAAACTGAGAGAGAGGAAAAAGAAAGAAAGGAATGAAGGAAGGAGAAGAGAGAAAGGGAGAAGAAGAGAGGGAGGGAGGAAGGATGGAAGGAAAAAAGAAAGGAAGGAAGGAAGGAAGGAAGATTTCTGACAAAGCATCAATAATCATAATGCATTCTGTATTAGGATGGCATTAGGTGTTGTGTAAAATAGAATCAAACTATAAAATAGCTCAAACATATTAGTTTATTTCTTGTTCAGGTAAAAATCCAAAGTTTCTAGTTAATGGGCAGTTTTTATTTAGTACATCAGGGACTAAGGAACTTTCTTATATTGGGGGTTTCTGTTCTCTAGAATGTCATTATCACCACATTCAGCTGGAAAAATGGTGGGGGGAAGTATGTAGGAAACGTATTATTTTCTTAAAGCCTTTGATCAAGAAGAAAACACGTCACTTTTACTAAAACTGCATTAATACCAGAGCAATCATAACTATAAGCAAGGCTGAAAAAATGCAGCATTGTTGTGCAACATGGAATAAGAGGGACAGGATTTTTAGTGACTAGCCAGCAGTGTAGAGGGAGTAAGAAGGCCCAGTGAGTTCACTAGCAGTAAAGAGGGCTGGTTTCCTTTAGGATCTAAGAAAATAAAATGATGCTTCTGTGCAGGTGTGCAACTGTGCAATAAAAAGAGCATCAAATAGTAAAAGTTTGCGATGCTTGCTTGGAACTGAATCATTTTGATATGACTAATTAGGAAATATGGCTTCATGTGTATTATTATACTGGCACCTGCTGGGTGATATAAATTTGGTGGGTCTCTTTAGGGATATGTTGGCAATACTCCCTTTCTTGGAAAATGCTTAAGGAAGCTTCAGCTGGAAAGGAGACTCTCATGGGGATCCTGAGACACATGAGATTCTGGTTACCATCTTTGCATCTTTTTCTATCAAACAAACCACACTCTACAGCAATATCTGGAGTAGTGCTTCTGTCCTGTGACAAGAGTGGAGAATTATCTTCACATTTTCACCTGGAATGTATTTCTACCCTACAATTTAGTACTCTGCCAAATTACCAATTACACATGAGAATAGAATAAAGACATTTCCACATATGCAGTTTCAAAACTTTTTCTACCCATTGGCCCTTTCTCAGAGATATTTTGGAGGATGTTTTCTACCAAATTGAGGGAGTACGCCAAGAAAGAGGAAGACATAGGACACAGAAAATGGCTGATCCCTTCCAAGAGATAAAGAGAATTCCCAGGACGTCTGCTATTAAAAAGCCTCTGAAAGAAATATCTCTCAAGAAAGGAAATCAGTATATTTCTGGGTGTGTTTAAATGGTTGACATAAGATTTACACATCTAGAGGAGGAAAATTAGTGACAAGTAAGTGGAAGTTCATAGAACAAAAAATGGCACAAAATAAATCTCTAGTACAGACAATTGCTATTCTTCCTCCTTTCTTCTCTTCTCCCCACACATTCCTCCTTTTGTCCTCTTTCAATTGCTCCATCCTCCTCCTCTCTTTCTTACATCCTTCACTTTCTGCTGTATTCTTCAAATAATTTGAGATGCTTTATATGACATACATGCAAACACTAAAGGATAAAACAAAAACTGAGAAAGTTGGAGTAAAGGGGAACAATAAGTGCAAAAAACAATTAAATAAAACTAATTATTACCTCAGCCATGCAGAGGTAGAAAGTAGGAATTGGGAAGGCTTGCAAACAAGTCTCGCCAGAAAGTTCCAATGCCTATACCAGTTGTTTATTGAGGGTGTCCATTTTATTTTCTGTGACGATCACCTCATAATCAGAAAGAATGAGCCCAGGAGTGAGATTGGAGTTGGTCTTATTGCAGGTGAATGAGGAGCCTGTGGCCATCAGGCATGAAGTGAGATCCCCTCCTCTACACAATGCCAAGTTCTCTGTAAGGATCAAGAACCTTAGCAGCAGCTGAGAAAAGGGTCAATAAATATGTTTTAATCAGTAACATCTATATTTTATATGAAAATATAAATACACATGTGTTTTATTATTTTATACTTTGTCTAACTGGTGACATTTTGAGAGGTATTTATATTTCTCCATCTCAAATGTTTGTCAGTGATTTTGCTTATGATATATTCCTACAGGATGTATTTGGATTGATTGTGATATATATTAAATACATATATAAGAACATCAAGTTCAATGATATAATCATATAAAATAAGATAAGAAAAATGTGGTGCTCATTCTTAGCTCACAGGGTCTCATGGCTCATTTGCCCTTTTGTTAAATTAAAGGCAACACAGTCCAGTGAATTGTGCATAGACATGATAACCAACATCCTTGAATGAAAATCTTTGCTCTAAAAATTAATAAATATATTACTTTCAATTTTTTAAGGAAGGAGCTTAGGTTGTTTGAGCCTCAGTTTCCTTCCCTATAGAAGTAGGGATGATGACAGCAATCCCTATGAGTTTCTGTAATGATAAAAAGAGAACACTGACCTCTAGATGGGCACAGAAAAAATGGTAGTTATTATATCCATGGAAATGCTAAACACTCTCCACCCTCTGTCTTCTATCTTTCCCATGCATATTTAATAAGAATACTTCTTTTGTACCTGAAATGTACATTTTTAAATGTCCAAATTCATTTATATATGAGCATGTATGTTGTAGGAAAGACCTTCCCATTTTAACTAAGTGACCTATGATAGATTAGCGGTGAAACCACTAACCGTCCCCCCAAATATGTTTAACTATTTTGTGGCCATACTGCCACCCTTGAAGTTAGCTAAGTAGACCATGTGACTATGTTCTCCCAGCTGCAATGTGAGAAATGATATGGGCCACTTTCAACCAGAAAATATGCCCATTGTGCTACTCTTAGCTCTTTTTCTTTTTCAAGATAACTGCAGTGGTAACTATCAGGCTGTGATGGTTAATACTGTTTGTCAACTTGATTGGACTGAAGGATGCAAAATACTGATCCTGGGTGTGTCTGTGAGGGTGTTGCCAAAGGAGATTAACATTTGAGTCAGTGGGCTGGGGAAAGCAGACCCACCCCTAATCTGGCGGGCACCGTCTAATCAGCTGCCAGCAAATATAAAGCAGGCAGAAAAACGTGAAAAGGAGAGACTGGCCTAGCCTCCCAGCCTACATCTTTCTCCCGTGCTGGATGCTTCCTGACCTCGAATATCAGACTCCAGGTTCTTCAATTTTGATAACTAGGACTGGCTCTCTTTGCTTCTCAGCTTGCAGACAGCCTATTGTAGGACCTTGTGATCATGTAAGTTAATACTTAATAATTATTAAGTATTATTAATACTTAATAATTATTAAGTATTATTAATACATACTTAATAATTATTAAGTATTAATAATACTTAAGTTAATACTTAATAACTTAATACTTAATAACTTAATAAATATACTTTATATATGTGTATATATGTGTATATATATACACATATATATACACATATATATACACACATATATGTGTGTGTGTATATATATATATATATATATATATATATATCCTATCAGTCCTGTCCCTCTAGAGAACCCTGACTAATACACAGGCTGATAATAAAATTGATATTTTTAGGATGACATAGTCATCATCAGTCTGGATCTTCAATGATTGTGTGGAGAAAGTACACCCTACTGAACTAAATACCTCCCAGGATTGCTAAGTGAGAAATGGATGGTATTTATCCATTGATATTTTATGGTCACCAAATGGGCTAACCTTCCAATCTCAGTATTTGTATCTGAAAAATAAGAGAGTTGGATCAGATTACTACTAAGATCACTTCTGGTAATAACGTATCTATGATCCTTAACTTTAGGATAGTGCAAATTTTCCACAAATATTAATTTTTTTCCAACTAATAGAGAGCTGCACATTAAAAAGAATACTTAAAATACAGGTATTTGGAAAAGCTAGAGAAATATGCATAATAGAGAAAATAACTGGTATATCTGAGAGACTAAGGGGAAAAGAATCCAGGGGAAGCAGGGAGAGAGAGAGACTACACAGAGTGTATAGAATAAACAGATTTCTGCTTGGCCCCAAATCAGGGAGCTGTGCTTCTTCAAAGCCAACAGAGGAGCCTTGTGCCCATAAAGAACGAAAGAGTGTAGCATGATCGCTTGACTGAGGATAGAAACAGGGCTAAATTGAGAAAGAAATAAGACTTGGGGAAAGTCAGACAAGAAAAACCCATGTTCAAGACTGGAAATTGGAAACCCAGTTAGAACCACTGGAACCTAACGTTACCCAGAGTCAGACTGGGCGGTCCAGCAGCCCACTGTTACTTTGCCATTGTTGAACTCAAGTGTGCATTCTTTTTGCCTTTTCTGGTTTTATTACATTCTCTAAAAAGTGCAGCAACAAAATTTGCAAATAAAATAGAAACCAGATCCCACAGGAGCATAAACAGTGGTTTTATAGCAGAATGGAGTAATAGTTTCAGTTTGTTTGCCAAAGCATTTGCTTCATGTCAAATTGCTGAGAAGTGGTAAAAGTTAGGATATTAACCAAGTGCAGGCAATGAGTAGCAATGGCAGAAACCATCAGACAGAAACCTGAAGGCAGAGGATTGTCCAAGGAACCAGACCAAAGAACCAAGGTCTGGAACCAACCATTTGAAATGCAGCAATAAAGCAGACTCTTTATTTTAGTGCGACTATATCCCAGACACTGTGTTAAGGATTTTATAGGTATGATTTCATATATTCCTCCCAAATAATTTTATTCCCATTCTACAGGTTTGAAAACTGAAGTGCAAAACAGCTAGAGGAGTAAGTAGAGAACAACTTCTAACAGAGATCGTCTTACTACTTAATATCAATATCTTTCATACTATCAATATCTACTTGGATTAGCTACATATTGCTAAGTGAGCTAAACAGTTGCTAAAGAATAAGAATCAAACATCGTTATTAGAATTGCACAAGGTTCAAAGACTGAGTCTGAAAATAAACTTTTAAATGTGAGTTTCTTCCTCTATCCCAGTCTGACTGGCTGACAATGGTCCCTAGACTGTTTGCCTTTCTGGCCTCCTCTCCTTCCAGAGAGCTTGTCCTTCTCATGTGTCCCATCCTACCACCCACCTAGCACAAGACCTAACCTGAAACAAATAATCCATTGGCCACTTAATAATCAATTGGATTTTCTCTATCAAATATTTGAACTAAGAGTTAGAAACTGACATTAGCTGGGAATAGGTAATTGAGCTGAAAAACCACGTGGCACCTGTGCAGCCATAATGCCTACAAAGAAGATGAGCCATTCAAAGACAGTCTTTCCTGTGATAAATAAAAAGGATGGGATAACGGAGAATGAGAAGAGTAGAGAAGGAAAAGGGGAAAGAGGGTTCAATAGCCCGTAAGTGTCAGAGTGCACCCTCAGGTGTTGACTTTTCCGGGTCCCATGTTTGGTGTCTTAAACATCAGGCTCTGCCTTTTGCTTTCCTATATTCTGGGATTCCCCAGTTCAGAAAGTGACTGTAAAATAAATGGAGGTACATGCTAAGGTCACATATGGAAATACTCAATAGTGTAAAGATGGTAATTCATTCCAAATTGATCTATAGATTTAATATAATCCCAATCAAAAGTTTCTCGTTGTTTATGGAATTAGGCAAGCTGGTTCTAAAATTAATATGAAAATTCATAGGCATGGAATAGCTAAGAAAAATATTGGAGGACTTATACTAACAGTCAATAATTAATATAAAGCTACAGGCCAGGTGCAGTGGCTCATGCCTATAATCCCAGAATTTTGGGAAGCCCAGGTGAGAAGATTGCTTGAGCCCAGGAGTTCAAGACCAGCATGGGAAACATGGCAAAATCCCCATCTCTACAATAAATACAAAAATTAGCCTTGTGTGGTGGCACGTGGGAGGCTAAGGCTGGAGGACTACCTGAGCCCAGGAGGTTGAGGCTGTGGTGAGCTACGATCGTGGTATCGCACTCCAGCCCAGGCAACAGAGCAAGACCCTGTCTTAAATAAATAAATAAATAAATAAGCTACAGTAATTACATAAATAGTATTGGCATAAGGAAGAACTAATAGGTCAAAAGAACAAAATATAGAATTTAGAAATATACTGGCACAATAATAAACATTAATTTATCATAAAGATCACAATACAGAATACAGCAAAAAAAAAAGTCTTTTAAATAAATGTTTCTGGGTTAATTGCCCAATAGTATGCATATGGAGAAAAAAGAATCTTGACTCTACCTCATACCATTTACAAAAATCAATTCCAGATGGATTGGGAATGTGAAAGATAAAACAAAAATTACCTAAGGTATACATAAGAGAATATCCTCATATCTTTAGGATACACAAAGATATCTTAAGTCACTAAAAATAAAGAATAAAAGAATAAACAAATGTTATTGATAAATTGGACTGAAGGTAAATTGGGTTATCCAGAATAAATAAAGAACCCCTGCAATCAATAAGAAATCAGTAAGAGGGTGGATGTGGTGGCTTACACCTGTAATCCCAGCACTTTGGGAGGCTGAGGCAAACAGATCACTTGAGGTCAGGAGTTTGAGACGAACCTGGCCAACATGGTGAAACCCTATCTCTACTAAAAATACGAAAATTAGCCAGGCATGGTGACTCATGCCTGTAATCCCAGCTACCTGGGTGGCTGAGGCAGAAGAATCACTTGAATCCAGGAAGCGGAGGTTGCAGCGAGCCGAGATCATGCCACTGCACTCCAGCCTGGACAACAAAGTGAGACTCCATCTCAAAATAACAATAATAATAATAATAATAAGTTAAAAGAAATCAATAACAAAAAAAACAGGCAGCTTAATAGAAAGTGAACAAAAAACTTCAACAGGTTCTTTACTAAAGATTAGCCAAATGTCCAATAAACATAAAAATGTGCTAAACATCATTAGCTATCTGGTAAAAATAAAATAAAAGCACAATGAAATACTACTAAACAACCACCAGAGTGGCTAAAATTAAAACACACACACAGAAACTGACAATTCTGAATGTTGGTTAGGCTGAGGAACAACTGTGATTCTCATTTATTGCAGGAGGAAGAAAACATTTGTTAAGCCATTTTAGTATTTTGAAGAGTCTACAAAGCATTTGTACATGTGCTTGATATAGCAATTATATATATATGTGTGTGTATGTGTGTGTATGCATATATATATATATGTATATATATATATATGTATATATATATATATATATACACACACACACACACATATATATATATATAGATGTAGATAGCCCCAACAAAATTGCACCAAAGGATGTGTCCAAGAATAGTTATGGTAGCATTATGTAATAGCCAAAGACTGGACTCAGTCCAAATGAGGGAATCATGTGCCTTAACTGTATTCTGTCCTCTGCAGGACAAGACCCTAGAAAAGCCAAAATCATGACAATTGTAATAGTGACACTTTATAGGGCAGAGTTTAGGTATGCTGATTTCCTGAAACACTTACAGGATGTACACTCAGTCCTACCTTCTAATCACAAGATGGTCCCAGGCAGCTGGTTTGAAATGTGTCATGCATTCAGAGGTTCTGTGCAAAGATAGATTGGGAAGTAAAGGTAGTCTGCTCCACCCCATCAAGTCGCTGAACCTGGGGCCGATATGAAAGCAAACTGGATAAGTGTGTAGATTCTGCTAAGCCACAATTTCAGCAATACGTCCAGTGTTGTTTTTAAAGAGTGAAACACTTCCAAATGAGATTTAGCAGCAGCTCACTAAATTTTTATGTAAGTTGTATTGCCAGGAAAGAAAATTGCAGCTTGCAAACAGGAAACTGTGCCTGACTCAAATCAGCTCAACAGGGTGTCTGGCCATTCATGACTGATAAAAAATATAGTGCTCCAGAGGGTACCCAGCTCCATGAGGGTATTCTCCCTGTTATCTATCTCAGGGCAGCCCTAAAAAATAGTGAAAATGATTGAAATTTTCCTGCTAGGCAATACCCAAGGAACTTCATTTACTTCAAGAGAGTGAGATGGCATGCTGATACCCATGGCACTTACTGATCTAACTCATCATGTAACTTACAGCCCCTGGCCTCTTAGTGCCAATTGAAAAGGCCATTGTGAAACTGAACTTCTTCCCTGAAGGCTGTTTATGCCTGCTTAATATAGGAGGTCTCTTCTCCAACCCCCACTTCCTTTTTATACTATTGATTATTGGATGTTGTCTTATTTCGCACCCAGTTGTTTGCAAGGAATCTTGATTTATTCAAAATACGAGAAAAAGATGAGAATTTCTCAGAAGGAAACTTAAGGTCAGGACACACCAAATTTCATGAGTGGAACCAGGAAAAAAAATTGAAATTGACTTGACTCTGTTCTTTTTAAGTGTACATGATGTGTTTTTACTGCCCTTTTCTTTCCCTCTCTCTCTCTCTCTCTCTCAGCTACAAAATATAGGTTGCCTCTCTTAAAGTTTTGAGAAAATCACATAAAACTTGAAGGGAAAGTTGTTTCTGTTAGGCAAAATGCTTCTATTTCTGTTTTCAGTGTGTTAGTAGTGGTTAAATTTAGAGTTTACTCCAGCAGATCTCAGACTTTTGCACAGATCAGAATCATCTGAGAGGCTTGTTGTTAAATCACAGATTGCTGAGCACCATCCCAGAATTCCTGATTCCATAGATCTGAGGAGGGGCCTGAGAATTTGCATTTTTCATGAGTTCCCTGGTGATGCTGATGATGCTGGTCGAAATCCCACTGTAAGAGTCACTCATTTATTCCACAGTCTGCATACTGGTGAAGACTGGAGAGGAGGAGAGGACAAGAGGAGGAATAGATATCACCTGGTGATAGAAGGCCCTAATACACAGGAACTGGCTGTGGTTGTCCTCTTCCTACCAGGTTTAGGGTGAGCATTTTTGTAATTGTATGTGTGACAGGCCGTAACTGGAAGTATATTTATGAAGGAAAAGATATTTGTGTGTTTGGAAGACTAAAGAGTTTATTAGACAGGTCTCATTGCTTGTCCTTTCTCCCACTTCTTCTAGAAAATCTATGCCACTCATAATCCTAGAACAGGCAGTGGTTCATAGCTCTGTTGGTCCAGTTGTCCTGTGTCTGTTTGGATTTACATCTGTTCCTGTTATAATAGTGCTCCTTTTACTCTCGAAAGTGTGGTCACTCAGTACGTAGCAGATGACATCCACTTCTTTTTCCCTTCACCTCCCTTCCTCAAAGCTGACTTGACTGGGGAAAACTACTTCACCCAAGGCTAACCAAGCCATTGGCTGGTTAGCAACGAATCAGCTGCTAACTCTTGAGAATTTATGCTAAAAGACTGTAAGAGATGAAGTCAGAGGGTAGCTCTGGGACCTGAAAAGTCATGTGGAGTCAGGGCTGGGGAGGCCCTTGGGAGACATAGTTAGCCATATTCAGTATGACTAAGTAGAGAAAGCCAGCCAGGGAGCAGCAGAGGAGTAAGCCTGAAGAGGAAATAAAGCAGCTACGCAGAGAGAAACCATGAAATGAAGAAGCCGACTGAGATACAGCAGTTCCTGAAAGACAGGGTTCCTGACTTTCCTGTTCCCAGAGTCTCCAAGAAGCCTGGCTATAAATATTTCCCCAGGGTTCTCTAAGGTTTTCAGGTACTCTTTAAATAACCATCCTTTATGGGAGCTAGCTTGAAAGGGTTTCTTTCCTGTGCAAGCAAAAAAGCATTGAGTAGAGTGCTACTGACATTACACTGTTGATGTGCCCCAGGCGGCCTCTTCAGCCCTGGCTCTATATGTCTTCTTTGCTTTCTGAGCTGCAGAGACACTTTGGTCTGACATCATTGCTCAGTAACTTCCGTGTTCGATTCTTATCCAATGCTGCTGGGCAAAAGTGGAACAGAACTAACATTAGCAGGGGTAACTATGTGGGTAAGTGGAACAGAGGCACACAATTGTAGAACTCACAGTAAAATTTGAGATCGCGGAGACTCGTTCCTTTCTTTTACAGATAAGAAAGCCTGAGGGAAGTGACTTTTCCAAGATCATAAACAAGAAAATATACCCCAAAGATTATTCTTCACTCCCTACTTTTGCCCTGCCAGATTTGCTTTTGTCCAAAACGTATTTGATGGGGGGGGAAAAGTTCAATCTACAATTAAAGTTAAGGATGGAAGTGAAAAGGGCCTAGAAATGGCAGCACTGAGTTTTATTGACTTGGAAAGCTGTAATCCAATAGATGGAAAAAGCACAAAAATACAATCCTATTCCATCATACAGGACCTGAGTACCTATATGTACTCAGCAGGGAAATATAACCTGAAAGTACCAAATATTTGGTTCAAAACAATTCATTCTAACTCCTACAAAAACATGTCAGTACTGAGATTGATCGTACTGATTTCCTTCTTTCTACCATAGCTAAGGACCCAGATAGAAACCACATAAAAAATATTAGCAGCACTTTTCATGTATCCTTCCACTAAAGTATAATCTGGCCAAATGTGTTTCAAAAGCATTTTAGGAAATTTTAGTATTTATTAACTTATACTATTGACATATTGTCAAGTTATACAAAAGAACTATTCCAAATATTATCATGATAGCTTATAATTACAAATATTAGAGGAATCTTAAAAAATAACATTGCCTTTTCCAATACCATCTTTCTCTCTAAAATGGTACCACCCAGCTGTGAAGTGAATACCTTCCTTAGGAAAAATCCTGCTTTTAGCAAATACAGTTGTCTGAAATTGGGAAGACAGTAACAAACATCAGTCTTCATCTGAACTGTAAGTCTAACATAGCAAACTAGCTCTCCATAACATTGGCCCACTTGTCTCTTAATCTTCAAAAGGAAGTACTGTGTTACCCCTCAGCAGGCAACCCCAACACAAGTTACTCTTAGGGAAGGTCTCCAAAAAAGCCTACTTTCAAATTCCCTACCCACTACCTCAACCTCTCTCTCAGTGTTTACTCATGCTTTTATTATCAACTATCTGAGGAAAAAACACAAAAAACAAAAAACATGTCTTTGCCCATTTCAGGATGAGAATGAGACCTTCTACTTGTCTCCCATATCCTGTCCTTCCACTCTCTTCTCTTCATCTTCACACTTCCCATCTCACATCTCCCTTCACTGACTCTTTCCCATGCCCTATAAATATATTCAACCCTCTCTCATTCTAAAAAAACAAAAACTTTATAAAATCATATTTACCCTCAAGGTGAATTTTCCATTTCCTTTTTTTTTTTTTTAGCCGCTAAACTTTTCACCTCCAACTTGTCACTTCAATTACAGCAATTCTGTATTAGTTGCTTCTCACATTGCCGTAAAGAAATACCTGAGACTGGTAGTTTATAAAGAAAAGAGGTTTAATGGGCTCATGGCTCTGCAGGCTGTACAAGAAGCATGATGCTAGCGTCTGCTCAGTTTCTGGGTAGGCCTCAGAAAACTTACAATCATGGTGGAAGTTGTAGGGGGAGCAGGCACATCACAATGGCCAGAACAGGAGCAAGAAAACAAGAGAGTGAGGGGGGAGGTTCCACTTTTAAATGACCAGATCTCATGAGAATTCAGTCACTATCACAGTGACAGTTCCAAGGGGGATGGCGCTAAACCATTCATGAGAAATCCACACCCATGATCCAATCACTTCCCACCAGGCCCCACCTCCAACATTGGGGATTACACTTCAATATGAGATTTGGGGAGGGCCACACATACAAACTATATCAAATTCTCCACTTTATTGAAAGGAAGTTTCTCGTCATCTATTATCAAAGTCAACCATCTCTTCTCATTCTTCATTTCACTCTTCCTCTTGGCAAGAAGCAGTTCTATTGAACACCACATACTTCTTTAAATTCTCACTTCAGCTTTAATTTGCTTCTGTGATTCCCTTCCTACGTTTCTGAATAATATTTCCCACATGCTTGGTAGTTCCTCTTCTTCTCTACACCCAGTGAGAGGGAGTGTTCCCCCAGCTTCTCTCTGAACTATTTCATCATCTCCCTGCTTTAACACTCACCTCTACCAGTTTTCCCCTGACCTCTACAATTTCAGGACTGCCCTCACTTCTGAGCCTCAGACTTAAATCTCTGCTGTGGTTAGAATGTGTCCCCCAAACTTCATGTGTTGGAAACTCAATCCCCAATGCAACATTGTTGAGAGGTGGGTCCTTTAAGAGGTGATTAGATCATGAGGGCTCTGCCTCATGAATAGAATAATGCCATTATAAAAAGAATGGGTTCCGGCTAAAAAAGATGAGTGTATACTTTGGGAGGTTGAGGCGAGTGGATCACCTGAGGTCAGGAGTTCGACACCACCCTGGCCAACATGGTGAAACCTCATCTCTACTAAAAAATACAAAAATTAGCAGGATGTGGTGGCAAGCACCTATAATCCCAGCTACTTGGGAGGCTGAGGCAGGAGAATCACTTCAATGCAGAAGGCAGAGATTGCAGTGAGACAAGATTGCACCATTGTACTCCAGCCTGGATGACAAGAGTGAGACTCCATCTCAAAGAAAAAAGTTGAGTGTGGCCCCCTTCCTCTTTCTGTCAGGCTCTCTTGCCCATTTGCCTTCCACCATGAGCTAACACAGCATGAGGCCCTTGCCAGAAAGCTGACTCCTTGATACGGGACTTCCCAGCCTCCAGAATTATGAGCCAAACAAATTTACTTTCTCTGTAAATTACCCTGTCTCAAGTATTCTGTGATAGCAGCAGAAAACAGACTAAGACAATCTCCAGCTGCTTGCTTGACACCTCCATATGCATGACCAAAATCAGATTCATGTTATTCTCTACAAAACCAAATTCCTGTAATATTCCCAGTGACCTGACCTGATATAATCTCTCAAGCTTCTCATCATGAAGCTCACTGCCTATTAATTTATTTTCCACATACACAGAACCACACAGTAATTCTGCCTCTGATGTTGCACACACTGCTACAGCTCTTTAGCATCTATTTCCTCCATTTTCCTCTTATAAAACCCCCACCGATCCTTCAAGGCCTAATGGATGTCACTTTCTCCATAAATTTCTTCCCATTTTTTCTTAGACTAGATTATCACATAAGTGAAGGGTTTGTATCCCTGTAGAGTTTTTATAGCTTTTAATTTATACCATACTGTCTTTCAGAGTTTTGTACCTTTTTAAATTACTACATGTATATTACATTTGCTGTGTGCCTATTGTATGCCTAAATTTGCATATATGTTAACATTAATCCAGTCGTTTCTTCAACTAATGTTAATTAAATGATCAATTGTAATCTGCTTATATTAAGTATCTTTGGGATATGACAATGAACAAAATAGCCAATGTTCCTGCTCTGTGAACCTTATGGAGGTGGTAATTTTATATAGACGTAAGTGCTGTGAGGAGAGTTCAACAAGATAATGTGGTAATGGCTGGGGGCTGTTTTTACTAGATGGTTAGGGAAGACTTATGTGAGGAGGCATGACAGAGCCAGCCAGGTATGACTTCACATGCAAACACTCATAAGATCAGAATGAGTTAGGAACATTCCAGGAACAAAGGACCATCAATATGGCTAGAAAGATATGGCCAGGAGATCAAGTGATTGGACACAAGCGGGAAAGAGAGAGAGAGGGCGAGAGAGAGGGAGAGGAGCCAGATCTTGTAGGATCTTGAAGGCCATGTTGAAGAGACTACATTTCATTTTAAATGAGTTAAGAAATCATTGGAGGAGAATTTTGAACAAGAAAGTGAGGTGATCTATTGCATGCATTTAAAATGTCATTCTGGTTCTTGTGTTGAGAATAACGTGGAGGAAAGACTAAGCAGAGAGAACATTTTGGAAACTATTGAGAAGTCTGGTGAGTCAGAATGGAAGACGGTAAGAAGAGGCCACATCTGGGACTCATATTAAAGTGAGCATTCTTCAAACTTGCTAAAATATTGAATGTAGGCATGAGAGTAAGAAAGTAATCAAGTATAAGTCTTCTGTTTCTGTGTTGAGAAATTGGGTGAAAGATCCTGCTATTTCATAAGTTGGGGAAAGCCGGGGACAAAATTTTTTTTCATTAAGGAAAGGGAAGCCGAGAGTTCCATATTGGACTTATTAAGTCTAGGACATATTAGACATTTATAATCCTTGCAAAAATCTTACAAGATTGATATTATCATCATTCCATTTTACAAGCAAGGGAATGAATATTCAGGAATGTATTAAGTCTTGTCATCCTGAGAAGTGAAACTAGAATCCTTTCTTGTGTCTTTCTAGTATCATAGTACCTGATGCTATGGTCTTGAATGTTTGTGTCACTCTGAAATGCCTATGTTGAAATCCTAACCACCAAGGTAATATATTAGGAAGTGGGAACTTTGGAAGGTGATTAAGTCATGAGGGTGGAGCATTCCATGAAAGTGATTAGTGCACTTAAAAAGGAGGCATGAGGGAGCTTGGTCGCTCTTTCCACCATATAAGGACACAGTGAAAAGACACCATCTACTAACCCGAAAGTAGATCCTCACTAGACACTGAACCTGCTGGAATCTTGATTTTGAATTTCCCAGCCTCTAGAACTGTGAGAAATAAATTCCTTTTGTTTATGAACTACCCAGTTTATAGTATTTTGTTACAATAGCCAAAACAGCCTGAAATACCTGAGGGGCTTTTAAAGTGCCCTATTGCTTCCCTATAAGGTATCCAATAGATTTTATGATCCTTCCTTGAGGGCAGAGGTTACTCAGTAGGATTCTCCATATCATTTAACATCAGCTATGTAAAACGTGTTTCTGTAAAAACAAATCATCCAAAATATTTTACAGTTTAAATCTTACATATACGCATTACATTGGAAACTTTGAAAGTGGAGTCACTTTCCTCTGACTGGAGGAGTATAGTCTTCCTAAGAGGCATCCTTCCATATCCTCAACAGAGAAGGCAAACTGGGACAGTGGGAAGAGTACCTTTCGTCTTTATACTTAAGTACCTGAGAACTGCTTTATCGTGTACCTTGGCTTCGAAGAAAAAGCTAAGCTGTTATGTTGGTAAGCAAACTAAAAGAACTAAAACAAGTAGGCAGACTTCACAAACACATAAATTACAAAATACAAGTCTGCCTTAACAATCTCCGAATCATGCGTTACAATTCATTTTTATTGAGACCATCTTAAAAGCTATGGTTTTATTAATAATTTAAGTGACTGTGATAAAGATGGTCTACGTCACTTTTTAAAAAACAGACATTTGTGTATTACTAAAAGCCTTTATGAATTATATAGTAACCTTCCTGATTCCAATAGCTAGAATCTTCCTATTCATTAGCCCCGTGAAACATTCATACTAGTCTCTGCCTAGGGAGTGATTTTTCACTGTACTCAGAGAGCTTCCATTTATATTAATGTGCATATGCATAACAAGAGTAACTCTTTAGTTCTCTTAAACTTTCTAATAGTTGCTATGTTGTACCGCAGAAATAGCCATGTTTTTATGAGTACATTTCTTATTTCAGTTGATTCAATCTGCCTTTTCTTTTTCTAAAACTATTAAGCTGGATAAAGAGCTTTGATCTTTTTCAGTATTCTGCTTGAGTGAACCTTGTATGGAGCAAAATGATGCTTGCACAACAACTACAGGGAAGACGAAGCGCATATGGCAAACAATTTTCTCAGACAACTGGGCCCTTTGATTCAGTCCAGTTCAGTGATTAAGGCAGTGATTAAGAGTGCAGGATCTGGAGTCCCACTTTCTGGGTTCAAATCCCAGATCTACCAGTTATTAGCTCTCTGAGTCTGGTCTTCATCTGCAAAGTAATCATAATAGTAGTATCTGCTTCAGAGATTGTTTGAAGATTTAACCAGTAAATACACCTTTGTTTTTCTTACAATTGTTTCTGGAGTTTGACCACAAATATGTAACATGTATTTAATTTCCATTTTACCAAGTATTTGATCTTTTTCTCCTTAAAGCAATTGTCATTCAACAGAGAAAAAAAAATCAGAGTTCATGGCCTGATTGTGGAAATGAGTAAAGAGAAGGTAGAGCTAATTCAGACCTATGCATCAATAATATGCCTCACAAAGTAGAAACATATATAAACTTCAATAGAAGATTGTTTAAAGATGTGAGAGTTGTTAACCATAACATGTTTGGCATCTCAGAAATAATGTTTGAGTAGTAGAAACAGTGCTTTCTCAACCGAATTGCCTCTGCCTAATTATGTACTGGAAAACCAAGCAGAATTTGAATTAATATGTTTTTCAAGAAATTGTAAGGCAACAAATAAATCCATGCACCATTCCACTGGTCTGGAAGCACAACTATTTAGGGATCATCATATGCTGAGCATTCTATGGGTTCCTAAATATAGCAACAGCCTTATGATTGTTTTTCAATACTTCACCAAGATCTGGCTCCTGAGCTACGAAGAAAAACATTTTGTAGAATCATGAATAATAATAGAGAACAATACTGTGCTTAGTATTTCCTTTCTCTGGAATTCTCTTCCTCCAGCCATCTGCATTTCTATGTCCAATGTCAGCTTACAGACAGGCTGTCAGGGACCACAATATAGAAAAAGAATATACCATCCTCCTGCCCTAAACTCTATCCCATTGTTTAGATTTACTTTTCTTTATAACTCTTAAAATCACTAGACATATTTTAAATTTATTCATAAGATTTGATACTGTTATTTGGTCACCGTATATCCCCAGTTCTTGGTAAAGAGTCAGTGCTAAATAAATATCTGTTAAGTAAATGAATCAATTTCTCTCCACATTCAAATATTATATATGTGATATATGTGACAATGTTCACTTTGCACATTCTGAGGAACCATGAAAATAACTGTGCAAACTGAATCCAGGCAAAGCAGTCTTAATAATTTATGCAAAAAAATTATGTCTGTTCATGACCTTTCAAATTTTTTGTTGAAATATTTAAAACTTCTGTCAGTTATGAATGTATAGGTATGTCAAAAAATAATAAAACTAACATTTATTTAGTACACTATAATCAAAAACAGCAGAAACTTGAAAATTAAAGTGCTTTATTTTTTTGTAAAACATTTATCAAGAATAGTTTGAACAGTACCTGCTTTCTTCTCATTGCGCCACTTACAATAGGGAGGAAACATTTTTTACACCTGGGCAAATTTTCACTCTCCTTATTAGGCTTAAATTAGCTTCTAGTGTTGTATGCTTTGTGCTTTCAATGTCATGACATTTCTAAGAATTCTTTTAATTCTTCATCCTTTTCATCACAACCACTTTGCTCATTTATGCTGATGAATTCACCTTTACTGAGTCCCTCTGGCTGTCTATTTAGAGCTTCTAGAGCTGTGGCAGGTGTAGGAGCCCAGGGAATATTTCCCCTTCACCCTCTGATGGTTTGCTGGAAAATCAACTGACAAAAGGCAGGTTAATTGGAGAAAAGGCATACAAATTTATTAATGTGCACATGGGGGACAACCACAGAGTGATTACCCCAAACCCTCGTAGGGGCTCAGAGCATGGCCAAAAGCAGATTATGGTGGTAAATCCGGTTGCATTGGCAAGACAGGTTATAGAAGTGGGGAGACGAGGAAGGCTGGCTAGCAAAGGTGGTCTTGTTACGTAAGTGAAATCTCAGAGATAGAAACCCTCAGAGATAACAGATGGTAATGTTTTTTCAGACCTTTTAAGGTATCAGACTCTAGGTTCATCTTTCCTAGGTCCAGACAAGGGAAAGCTTCTAAGAAAACCTGGCTGCATCAATGCACATTCTCTACAAATGCAAATGTCCCCATTAAGAGACAGCTTTGCAGGAGTACTTCTGTTTGCAGGCCATCTGAACAGCCATCTCAAAAAATTATATTTTGGGCTGGGCGCAGTGGCTCATGCCTGTAATACCAGCACTTTGGGAGGCCAAAGCAGGTGGATCACTAGGTCAAGAGATCGAGACCATCCTGGCTAACATGGTGAAACCCCATTTCTACTAAAAATACAAAAATTAGTTGGTCATGGTGGTGTGCACCTGTAGTCCCAGCTACTCAGGAGGCTGAGGCAGGAGAATTGCTTGAACCCAGGAGGCAGAGGTTGCAGTGAGCTGAGATTGTGCCACTGCACTCCAGTCTGGTGACAGAGTGGGACTCTGTCACAAAAAACAAACAAAAAAAACTATATTTTGGGGTGAAATATTTTTATTTCTTTCACGGGGTTACCTCTCTACAATGAGCTATTTTAACTCCATTTATGCTTAATCTGTATCTTGCAAAGTTAGTTGCACAGTGCTGTAGAAGTTTCTCCCATGCTACATAGGTATTACCCATTTTTTCTTTGTTAGGAATGATAAATTACTCTTCAAAAGGTTTAATTGTATAATGTTCCTGTCCTTTGTTCAAAAGCCCAACCTCCTTGTACTCTTTGTTTCCAGCCTGCCAACAACTCTCCCACTCTAGTTGCACCCTGACATGCCCAGACATGTCCAGACATGCCTTGTATTCTAGTGGATGGATCACCACTCCTACCCCCTCCTCCTCTTACAGACTGTGCATTTACCCTGTTTAGAAAAGTTTAAGTCTTAGCCAGTCAGGATCAGTTTAGATTGTGCAGTCCAACCCTAGACACAGGGACAGGAACTGCATTAGGGATAAAAACCACTTCTCTCCTTTGTTCAGTGTGCTCTTGCAATCGTAACTGATGCAGGCAGCACCCTTCTGCAGAAGCAAATTGCCTTGCTGAGAAAAATTTTGCGTAAGTGCTGGTTCTTCCCTGCAGCACCGAGCATTTGTTTCCAACAAGCCTGGGGGCTCATCTGGGATTCCCATTCTCCTCCAGGGAAGGGTCTCAGATCACCTCTTGTGGGGAGATACATCCAGCTGCCTCATTGTGGTGGTCTCAGGGGTAAGGAATCGAGACCCAACCAGCGTGACAAATAAACATGGATCCTCAGCAACATGGGAAGAAAAGGCCTACAGATACCGGGGTGACCAGGTAACTCTATGCACAGACCAAGGTAAGAAAAACTGCAGGGGCAGTGAATTATTTCCTTGGTGGTCGGGACATTCTGGCAGTTGAAAGTGTGTGAATGAGATGCACAATTGAGCGCTAAGTGTAGAGTCCTGATCTGTGGTTCCATGGTCACCTCATATGGCTTATGGTGGCTTGCCTGTCGGGGGTTTATACTGACCCACCAATGTTAAGAGGTACCTAAATTCCCTCTGGGGAAGTGGCCAGAGACAGAAAAAGCAAAAGTATAAGAATGCAAGAAACCTCCAGCAGGGGGTGTTGAGCCTCTACAGCAGAGTACAAGAAACCTCCAGCTGGGGCAGGGGATGAGCCTCTAGAGCCAAGGGAGCAAGAAATCTCTAGTGAGAGAGGTTGAGCCCCACACACTTGGGACACTCAGGGAAACACCTAAAAACTTCTGGGATGGGAAATAGCTCAAGCAAGATGGGGGATAAAAAGGAAAAGACAGACAGTATAATCCCCTTAGACAGCCCTCTAGGTCTCATGTTAAAATATTGGAAGGATAATGAAAGAACGAAACATAATAAAAAGCAGCAAATGATAAGATATTACTGTTTTATTTGGATTAAAGAACCTGTCCTCAAACCCTCAGTCTTCTGGCCCAAGTTTGGGTCTAATGAGGATTGGATTTGCCAACTTTTAATAGAATATGTCAATAACAAAGGTCCTGTCTCCCAGGAGGAAATAGACTATGCCCTGTGTTGGTGGCAGGGGTCTGTTCTTCTAAATCCCTTAAAAACTACAAAAGACAAGCAGGGAACTGCTTCCCCTGAGGAAATTAAGATCCCTAATCTGAAACCATCCACTAGCATGTGGAACCCTTTAGACCACCTTCCTCCACCAGCGTCCGCTCCCACCACTGCCACCTCTAACCTCCCTCCCCTTCAAGCAAATGCTGCTGCCCCTAGTCCTTCCCCAACTCACTCTGCTCTCCCCCTCATAACCCTGACTCTTGGAGTCATCTCCAGCCTGAATATCCTCCTTTAGGAAGGCTTCAACATGAGATAGAAAAATGTAAGAAGGATATTCAAAACTTCCCTTTCCCCTCTACCACCAGAGGATCGACCACCAACTTTTTTCCTTAAGGGAAGTGCCTCTAGGAGGAGGGGACATTGGCTTTGTGAATGCCGATTTAACCAGCTCAGAAGTTAGAAACCTGAAAAGGGAGCTTAGACCACTCTTAGATGATCCCTATGGTATGTCAGATCAAATCCATCAATTTCTGGGACCCCAGTTACATACTTGGGTTGAGTTAATGTCCATCTTAAGCATCCACTTTTCGGGAGAGGAAAAAAGCATGATCTGTAGGGCTGCTATGATGGTTTGGGAATGTGAACACCCCCTATCCCAGTCATAATGTCCCTGCAGCTGAACAAAAGTTCCTGGCCCAAGATCCTCAATGGGATAACAATAATGCAGCCCATCGAGGAGATATAAGGGATCTCAGAGATATGATAATTAAAGGGATTCAGGAATCAGTTCCTCTAACTCAAAATATTACCAAAGCTTTTAACATACAACAGGGAAAGGATGAAGGACCTATGGAATTCTTAGAAAGTCTCAAGGAGCAAATGAGGAAATATGCTGGATTAGACTTAGAAGACCCCCTTGGACAAGGGATGTTAAAGTTCCATTTTGTTACAAATAGTTGGACATTACAAAAAAATTACAAAAGATAGAAAATTGGAAAGACCATCCCATAGAAGAGCTTTTAAGAAAAGCCCAAAAAGCATATGTACAGAGGGATGAGGAAAAGCAAAGGCAAAAAGCAAGAATTATGTTTTCTGCCATGCCACAGAGAACTCTCCAGGAGAGAGCCTAGGGAAATGGAGCTTGTAAATCTTCTAAGTGTCTGGCTGTTAGACCCTACATGGGAAACAAAGGGATCAAACCAGAGGGTCAAGGAATGAGAAGGGAAAAAGGGCAAAATAGGCGTTTCAAATATGGGAAAATAGGTCACTTCAAACGAGAATGCCTTGAATGGGAAAAGGAAAGTAAGGTCACTCATGGCCTTTGAAGAAGAATAGCGGGATCAGGGACTCTGTCTCTTTCATTTCAGATCCCACCCAGAGCCCTTCATAAATTCAGAAGTGGGACTTACATCTGAATTTATTACCTTTTTAATCGACTCAGGGGCGACTTGCTCCTCTGTCTCTTATTCCCCATCTGGTGCAACTTGTTCAGAAGAAGAACTTCTAATCTCAGGAGTAAAAGGAGAAGGATTTACAGCAAAAATATTAGAAGAAACAAAGGTCAAATATCAGAATCACTCCACTAATATTAAATTCCTGTTAATTCCAGAGACAGAAACAAACTTATTAGAGAGGGATTTAATGCTAAAATTAGGCTTAGGACTCTATGTTAACCAGGGAAAATTTCTTACCTCCCTAAACTGACTCACCACCATAGATGAAGAGTATATCCATCCTGATATCTGGTCAAGAGAAGGAAACTGGGGAAAATTAAAAGTTCCTCCAGTTAAGGTCAAATTAAAAACCCCTGGGGAAATAGTAAAAAGAAAGCAATACCCTATTCCTCTAAAACAAGAATAGGTTTAAAACCTATAGCTGAAAGTCTTATCCACAATGGACTCCTTGAGCCCTGTATATCCCCTTATAACACTGCAATATTGCCTGTAAAGAAGCCAGACGGGTCATACCTGCTAGTACAGGATCTCAGGGCTATTAATCAAATAGTTCAAACTACTTACCCTGTTGTCCCCAATCCTTACACTAACCTGGAGACCAAGCCCTTGTCAAGAGCTGGAAAGAGGGAAAGCTCAAGCCCACTTGGGAAGGACCTTATCTAGTGCTCCTGACAACTGAAATGGCTTTTTCAGAAAAGTATCTTTGCCCTTCCTGGATAAATAAAACTGCCTGTAAGAGTGACTCTTACACCAAATGAGCATGAGGCAGTCAGTGGAAGTTCTGTTTTGGTTGGGGAGATGTGGTCTGGACCACCAAGTATCAAGGCTTGACCTCCCCAGGAGGAGGTTGCACTAACCTAAAACCCTACATCCACTTTACCAAAAAGACTACTCCCTCTAATTGTCAACTCCAACAATGTAACCGTGTGCAAATCTCTACCACTGTCCCCACCTTTACCAACACTAACTCCACTTTAGGTCACTTCTATGGCCTAGTAGCTGATATTCCTGGAATAGACCCTATAGGATCCTTTGAGATCTACTTCATTGCTCCCCACCCCCTTCCCTTTCTCCTCCTTCTAAACCTCCCAATCAAATAGTTGTTCTTCCCATACCCTGTGATGAAACTACAGTAGACATTGTAGACGTTAAAGATTTAAAACAAACTTTAGCCATTGAAATGAGATTCCAAGATGCAAATGCCTGGCTGGAATGGATTAAATATTCTGTTCGCACGTTAAACAAAAGCTACTGTTACACTTGCACGGCAGGCAGACCAGAGGCCCAAATAGTCCCCTTCCCACTTGGATGGTCTTCTGACCAACTGGGCATGAGCTGCATGGTGAGTCTCTTTCAAAACCCCACAGCCTGGGGCAATGAGGCATGCAAGACTCTCTCACTGCTATTCCCTGAAGTGAAGGGCTCTGTGGGTCAGTCACTGATGGCCATCCGGCCTCCAGTGTCTGATGTTAATTTTACCTCGTGTCTCTCATGGCATGGGGAAAGATTAACGTCCCTTGGAGACCTGAAAAAGTACAGTGAAACCAAGACTTTCCAAGAGTTTACCAGTCAGACTGCCCTTGTTTATTCCCGAGTAGATGTATGATGGTATTGCGGTGTACTACTATTGGGTACTCTGCCATGTAACTGGAGTGGCACTTGTGCTCTGGTCCTATTGGCCACCCCTTTCACCCTGGCATTCCGTCAACATAAAAAGAAGGAGAATCAGACAAAAAGAAGTGCTCCTCATGGGTCTTTTGACCCTCACATTTATATAGATGCTATTGGGGTCCCATGAGTGGTACCAGAAGAATTTAAAGCTCAAAATCAAATAGCTGCAGGATTTGAATCTGCACTGTTCTGGTGATCAACTATAAACAAAAGTGTAAATTGGATAAATTACATCTGTTATTATCAACAGCAGTTTGTCAATTACACAAGAGATGCAATCAATGGAATAGCTGAACAATTAGGCCCCACCAGCCAAATTGTCTGGGAAAATAGAATAGTCCTTGACATGATGTTAGCAGAAGAAGGTGAAGTCTGTGTCATGATTGGAGTCCAATGCTGTACTTTTATCCCTAACAACACAGCCCCCAATGGAACAATTATAAAGGCCTTACACGGGCTTACCTCCTTATCAACTGAGTTAGCCAAAAATTTTGGAATAACTGACCCCTTCATGAGTCTCACGGAAAGATGGTTCGGTAAATGGAAAGGGCTTATGTCCACAATATTAACCTCTTGCAATTGTCATAAGTTTACTCATTTTTGTAGGATGCTGCATCATACCCTGTATCCATGGGTTAATGTCAAGACTTATAGAAACAGCTCTCACAAAACCCTCCCCTATCCCTCCTCCTCCATTCTCAGATAAGCTCTTGTTCCTAAATGATCAAGAAGAGCAACAAAGCCAAATCATACTAAAAAATTTTAAAGAGGAAGAATTGTCAAAAAGCAAAGGGGGAAATTGTTAGGTATGATAAATTCCTCTTCAAAATGTTTAATTGTATAACATTCTTGTTCTTTGTTCAAAAGCCCAACCTCCTTGCACTCTCGTTTCCAGCCTGCAAACAACTAGCCTCCTGCTCTAGTTGTGCCCTGACATGCCCAGACATATCCAGACATGCCTTGTACTCTACCAGGCGGACCACTCCTACCCTTTCCTCCTCTTACAAAGCACATGTTTACCCTATTTAGAAAAATTTAAGTCTTAGCCAATTGGGATCAGTTTAGATTGTGCGGTCCAACCCTAGCCAATAAAAGAAGGCCACAGGGACAGGAACTGCATTGGGGATAAAAACTCCTTCTCTTCTTTGTTTGGTGTGCTCTTGCGATCGTGACTGACACAGGCAGCACCCTTCTGCAGAAGTAAATTGCCTTGCTGAGAAAACTTTTTGTCTGAGTGCTGGTTCTTCCTTGCGGCACCCAGCATTTGTTTCTAACACCTTCCTGCCATAATGCTTAAATGTTTTCAATTGCATGCTTTATGTCACATTTCTCCAAAAATTCAGTTAAAGAAGTTGCATGATTTCCAGCTTGTAGTATCCATAGCCTGTCTTCAAGTTCATATAAGAAATGAGCCTTTAAAAGTTAAAACAACTCCCTTGGCCCATTGGCTGGATAATGCAGTTCTGTTGGTGCTAAAAAGCAAATTTTCCACATTCAGAAGTCACCAGGAGAATGAGGGTAACAGTAGTAGTGCTTTAAAAGTTAAACTACTTTGCTTACAGCATCTCTCTACTGTTGGGAAACCAGGAGGCAACACAACTCCATGTTTTGCTTTCTGTGAGTGAACTGAGTAACAGATGTGCAGTGACCAATCACTGACAGGCTTTTAAAGAGGTGATGTGAAGGTTGCTGATCATGATTGGTTGCATCTGTTGTTTACATAGCGATTTGTGGACCAATATGCTAGCAGCAAAGTTTGTACTTCCTGAAACATGGTCATGGAAATTCCAAAGAATACCTCACTGGTTGTGTCATATACAAGAAAATTTTGAATTGTTTCCACAATTAAGACACTGACTCCTAATCAAGTGTGTTAACCATGTAAGTGATGTTAACAACCTGACATTGTTTGGTTTGAACAGCACCACAGTCTTAATTGTGAGAGTCGAATGGGCTGTAGCACCCCCAGAAGCCTATGTATAATACTTGGTAGGTTCTGAAAATGTGTGAAATTTGTATTTACAGAGAGAAAAGCAACTTATAAAGTGTAGGAGTAGAAAATATAAATTTAGGGAAATGATAAAAGAAGCAGAAAGAAGAAATGAGAGTAAAGGAGATATTCAGTCAAGTGTCTGAGTAAGAAACTAGAATTTGCCTGGACTGCATTCTTTAGCTAATTCAAGGAATTTATGGACACAGGAACCGGGAAGCAGAGAGTGAGTCATCAGATCCTGGCATCAGGAGACTGCCTGGTGGAACAGTTTTAGCCTAAAGGAGAAGGTTCTGCTAGATTTCCATTTAAAAGAACCTTGTTTGTAAGGACCGCATTTAGATAAACATCCAGCGGACCTGGGGGTTTGAAGCCAGGTGGAACTACAACCCCCGTGTTTCTACTGCCCAGGAGAGCAATCAGTATTGGCTCCATAGCTTGAGGCTATGAAGTGGGACATCCACACTGAAACCGAGAAAAGAAGTGGGGCCCTGAGTACCTGTGTTACCAGAAAGGGGTCCAGATCCACGTCTCAAGAGAGGGTTCTCATGCAAGAAAGAATTTGAGGTGAATCCATAAAATGAAAGCAAGTTTGTTAAGAAAGTAATGGAATAAAAGAATGGCTATTTCATAGGAGGGCTGCATGTTGCCCATTTTTATGGTTGTTTCTTGATTATATGCTAAGCCAGGGGTGGAATTTTTATGCATCCCCTTTTTAGACCATATAGGGTAAATTCCTTACATTGCTGTGGCGTTCGTAAACTGTTATGGTGCTGGTGGGAGTGTAGCAGTGAGGATGACCAGAGGTCACTTTTGTCGCCATCTTGGTTTTGGTGGGTTTTGGCCAGCTTCTTTACTGCAACCTGTTTTATCAGCAAGGTCTTTATAATCTGTGTTTTGTGCTGACCTCCTATCTCATCCTGTGACTTAGAATGCCTAGCCATCTGGGAATGCAGCTCAGTAGGTCTTGGCCTTCTTTTACCCAGCCCCTATTAAAGATGGAGTTGCTCTGGTTCAAAGGCCTCTACAGCTGGCAACTTTTTATCATGAGAAGAAGCAACATATTTTATTTTGTTTACAAAGGTGCACTCATAGCCACTTAGCTCTACTTAACTCCAGCCAGACACCCCCACCACCATCCACTGCTGCTCTCTCATCAAGATTTCTCCTTATCAGCACCGCTTGTAAGCACAGGTTTCTAGGCTCACATCAGGCACTGAGTTTGTCGGACTCTTACCTTCTCTCCATTCACATTCACCAACAAGAATCCTTGGGTCCCTGCACCAGGTTATCTATATTATACAGCTTTGCTTTCCAAGTTGGTGAAAGAAAGTCTTACTTCCTAGATCTAAGACCCGACATACCTGAATACTCATTTCTTTCTTTTTCCCTGGAGAGAACAGTGTTCATTATTGAAGCGGCTATGTTGCTGGTGTATATACGCCAGGGTTCATTATCGTGTGTCACAAAAATTTAGGACACAGACACACAGGAGTAGTTTAGGAACAGAGATTTAATAGGCAGAAGAGAAAAGAAAGAGAAACAGCTCTCTCTATAGAGAAAGGGATCTCTGAGTAGAAAGGACTGGGTGGTAGTGGCAAATGCACCAGATTATATAGTCCAGTTTGAGGAGGTGGTGTCTGATTTACACAGGGCTCACAGATTGGTTCAATCAGGTATGACGTTTACATAGTGCCTGGGGAAGGCTGGGGCCCCACCCTAAGTCTATTATGCAAATGAATGCTCCTTGGCCGGTTCGGTCTTTTCTGCTCTTTCCTGTACACATGGCTGGCAGAGAAGGGAAGATGGTGCTGCCATCTTGAACATGTCTAGTTCCTAGTTCCTGTCAGCATTCACCCCTGCAAGCTCCCAGCTTGCTTGTCTATGTCTGCAGCTCGACTTTATAGGCTGCTCTTTGTTAGATGATTTGGGGCTACTTTTCATTAAAAAGAAAGGCCTTGCCGAGGACTCCCATACCTTTACTATCTGCCTAAGTGATTTCTTCTTAACTCCTATATCATTATCTACCACTGCTGGGCATGATTCCCCCTTCCTCGTGTTATTCAACTGAACTGGGGTCCAGGTGCCTGGCACAATAAGGCCAAATACCCACACCGAGGTCTGCAGTGGGAGTAAGGAGGGGTTTACTTTGCAGGGTGCCAAGCAACAAAAGAATCAGGTACTTCATGCTTAAGACCCGACCTCCCTGATGGCTTGCAAGCAAATATTTTTTAAAGCCAGGGGTAAATTCAGGAAAGCAGAAGTTATAGGCAAAATCATAAATTAATACAAGGAGGTTATAAGTTGGTTTGGTCTAAAAAGGTGAGCTATTTTGAAGTAGGGGCTTACAAGCCCTAAACAGATTCAAAGATGTTCTGATTATGCAATTGGTTAGGGAAGAGCTTTGTTTTAAAATTTGGGGTCAGCAGAAAGATGTGTTAGGTCTGGCTCCTGGGCATGACTTCTAGGCCCTTCAGGAGTAACTTTAGAACTAAGAACTGGAGTCAGAGTTCAGTCCTCAACTCTCCCTTATCTGAGGTCTACCTGCCAAGAAAAAAAGGCTTCTTCATTTTTTTTTTTTTTTTAATACAGACTATCACTTTGTCACCAGGGCTGGAGTGCAGTGTCATTTGCTGAAAGCAAAAAGCTCCAGTGAAAGGCTTTTGGAAATATCTACTTAAAAGATTTTACTTATCTGATGTCACATTGCCTTTTAATTTTTTTTTTTTTTTTTTTTTTTTTTTTGAGATGGAGTCTCTCTCTCTCTGTTGCCCAGGCTGGAGTGCAGTGGCATGATCTCTAGGCTCATTGCAACCTCCGCCCCCCAAGTTCAAGTAATTTTCCTGCCTCAGCCTCCTGAGTAGCTGGGATTGCAGGTGCCTGCCCGGCTAATTTTTGTATTTTTAGTAGAGATGGGGTTTCACCATGTTGGCCAGGCTGGTCTCGAATGCCTGACCTCAAGTGTTCTCCCCTCCTCAGCCTCCCAAAGTGCTGGGATTATAGGGATGAGCCACTGTGCCTGGCCTGCTAGTGGGTTTCTGGAAAAAAAAAAAAAACTCAGGGATATATACTAAGAGGTTATCTTTAGCTTCTGTAGAGAACATCTCATGATTCTAATTCCCTTGGCTATTTTTTTAAGCTACTATTACCTTCTTGCTTACCAAGTTACTCATTTACTTCTTAAGGATAGCTAGGTGCCTGGAATTTCCCTTGAAAGAACTTAAGATTTTCCTTTATTTCCATGCTTGGGAAGAGGAGGGCCCTGCTCCATCTTGTCTCGTTTCTATTTCCAATCTATCAGTTATATGTCCCTACCCATATCCACTGATTTCTTATTGGGAGTATTTTATCACAAACTATAAAATGCATTTAATTCTTACTCCAGAATACGAAGTCAGTTATTCTTGTTTATCTTTCTTCATGTTCACACATTTTCAGAACGGTATGCTACAGCTCATTTGACTCTCAAAATTAAGATTGTAGTGTTGTTCAAACTAAACAATGTCAGGTTGTTAACAACCCTTACAGAATTTTATTTTATATAAGGCTTGTTTTGTGTACTTGTAATTAAATAGTTGTTTCCCTTGTCTGTAAGTGTGGCCACAAGATTTCCTTTAGTATCTTTGAAATAAGTTTGTTGCCTTCTCCAAACAACTAAGCGACTAATACATGGTTAACACACTTGATAAGGAGCCAGTGTCTTAATTGTGGAAATAATTCAAAATTTTCTTGTACATGACACAACCAGTGAGGTATTCTTTGGAATTTCCATGACCATGCTTCATTTATCTTCTGGTTTTGTTTGTTTGTTTGTTTGTTTTGAGACGGAGTCTAATTCTGTTGTCCAGGCTGGAGAGCAGTGGCACGATCTTGCTCACTGCAAATTCTGCCTCCCGGGTTAAAGCAATTCTCCTGCCTCAGCCTCCAAGTAGCTAAGATTACAGGCATGTGCCACCAGGCCTGGCTAATTTTTTATTTATGTACTTATTTTTAGTAGAGATGGGATTTCACCATGTTGGTCAGGCTGGTCTCGAACTCCTGACCTCAAATGATCATCCCACCTCAGCCTCCAAAAGTACTGTGATTACAGACATGAGTCACTGCACCTGGCCCATTCATTACTGTAGTTTACTTGACTACAGGTTAATAAAACAGTGACTACTTAGAGACTTGAAATTAGGTAACTGGTTACAAAGGGTGGGACAGAGAAGCTGGGGATTCCAAAAATAAAATGGCTTTTATTTAGTATAACATAATACTATGAGGCAAAAGGCAGAGATGGCCCCAAATGGCCTATCAAACAGGCTTCAAGATAAACAGACCCGGTTTCTTCCTGTGACTTAAGCAATGCAAAGTTAATCCACACAGAAACTCCTCTGAGTATAGTTCATCTTAGGCCAGGGCTCTCATAAATCAATTTTGCATAAGAAACTCCAAAAATGTTATTAAATATGCAGCTACCCCAACTCCACCCTACAGAGATTGAATAAATTGGTTTGTGACTGCCCAGGAATCTGGGAACCACCTTTATTTTAAGTTCTGCCTCATGAGTTGACTTACTGCAAGATGTGAAAATACTGCACCTGTTTAAAGATGAATTAGCAAGAGCACTAAATGACAGACTTCTTTTTCATGACTTAGATATAGGAGATTATATATATACATATATATGTGTGTGTATCTCTAACTTTAGTGTGCATACGATTTACTTAGAAAGCTTTTAAAACATTGATTGCTGGCTTCCAACCTGAAGTTTCTTATTTCATAGGTCTGGGATGGGCATTGGAATTTTGCATTTCTATAATTACATGTTACCAAGAGTTACAGATGCTGCAGTTCTCAGTACCACACTTTGAGAACCACTGATTTATAGGATATGCCCCTGTTAGTTTACCTTTTGACTTCATGGTAAAGACAATTTAGAAACCAAAAGTCTACATATACTAATTAAGTGTCTAATGTTTGCTGGTTCTGACTTAGGTGTTGGCGATACAGTGATGAATTACACAGACATTGACTGCATCAGTTTGATATAAATAAGTAACCCATGTTACGATGGAGAACCATCTCCACTGCATGCCTGAAAATGTGAGCAATAGAATCCTAAGGGGGAAAAAATGACGTTTTGAAGATTGCTTTCTATTTCAGAAAAAGGTTATAACATAGATGGTAATTACTCACACTTTCCTTCTCGGGACACCACAGCTTTTCCACAGCAGTGTAACTGAGAGAAGAACTGATCAAAATACAGACAGCCAGACATGGTGGCTTATGCCTATAATCCCAGCACTATGGGAGGCCAAGGTGGGTGGATCACTTGAGGTCAGGAGTTTGAGACCAGCCTGGCCAATATGGTGAAACCCCATCTCTGCTAAAAATACAAAAATTAAGTGGGCATGGTGGCAAGTGCCTGTAATCTCAGCTATTCCGGAGGCTAAGGCAGGAGAATAGCTTGAACTTGGGAGGCGAAGATTGCAGTGAGCCAAGAGATTGTGCCACTGCACTCCATCCTGGGCAACAGACTGAGACTCTATCTCATAAAAAAAAAAAAAAATTAAAAGACAATGTGACATCAGGTAAGTAAAATCTTTTAAGTAGATACTTCCAAAAGCCTTTCACTGGAGGTTTTTGCTTTCAGTAAATGCCTTCAGCAGTTTATTCTTGAGTAGCACTGAATGACCTTGCATAGGTGTGAATGCAGTGCCCAGCAGCATTTAACAGAGTTTAAAGAAGCCAGGTCAATGGAAGAATTTTTTGAAAGTATATATTAGAATTAACTTGTATAGAGCAGAAACTTTGCACCAAGCACTCTGCTAGGTGCTTGAGAAGTAGTTTAGCATAATGGTTAAGGTCATAAACTTCAAAGCCAGATTATTTGGTTTTAATAGAGAGGTGACCTTGAGCAAATTACTCAATCGTTGATTTAATCATCTGCAAGGAGGAAATAGTAACAAAGTCTACTTCACAAAATCTTTGTAATAAACCAGTTATTACAGGGAAAGCACTAAGAACAATGTCCAACCCATAGTAAACACTGTATGTGTTAGATTTATGGTTTTTGACAAAATACATATTTTAATCTTAACAACACTAAGGTGTTTAAGTTCTGTCTTATTATTAGGTCTGTCTTAAAGTTGAGAAAGCTGAAGCACAGAGTTAAGTAACTTTCCCAAAGTCACAAAGTAAGTGGTGGAACTACTACTATCAACTCAGGCAGTATCACCTTGGAACTCACTTTCTTAATCTCAATGCCATGCTGCCCCTTGAGAGAACTGATTATTCAGCCTAGGCATGTAAGAAGACTTCTTCTCTAGAAAAAATTAATAATACAAAAAAATTAGGCAGGCATGGTGGTGTGTGCCTATAATCCCAGCTACCTGAGTGAAGGCTGCAGTGAGCTGTGATCATGCTACTGTACTCAAACCTGGGTGACAGAGTGAGATCCTGTCCAGAAAAATAAATAAATAAATAAACAAAAACTTATTTTTGAGAAGGCAAAGCTCATAACTTTTTTTGTTTTGTTTATTTTGTTTTTTTGGTTTTTTTTGAGATGGAGTCTTCCTCTGTTACCCAGGCTCGAGTGCAGTGGCACAATCTCAGTTCACTGCAACCTCCGCTTCCCAGGTTCATGTGATTCTCCTGCCTCAGCCACCTGAGTAGCTGGGATTACAGGCATGCATCACCACACCTGGCTAATTTTTGTATTTTTAGTAGAGATGGTGTGTTGTGGGAAGTCAGGGACCCCAAACGGAGGGACCGGCTGGAACCACGGCAGAATAACATAAATTGTGAAGATTTCATGGACATTTATCAGTTCCCAAAATTAATACTTTTATAATTTCTTATGCCTGTCTTTACTTTAATCTCTTAATCCCGTTATCTTCGTAAGCTGAGAATGTACATCACCTCAGGACCACTATTGTAT
The DNA here is from genome assembly GCF_000001405.40 of Homo sapiens. NCBI lineage: Eukaryota > Metazoa > Chordata > Mammalia > Primates > Hominidae > Homo > Homo sapiens. The sequence goes on along the minus strand of NC_000007.14, from coordinate 121,498,029 downwards.
AAATTGATTGTAAAACATGTGTGTTTGAACAATATGAAATCAGTGCACCTTGAAAAAGAACAGAATGACAGCGATTTTCAGGAAACAAGGGAAGATAACCATAAGGTCTGACTGCCTGTGGGGTCAGGCAGAATAGAGCCATATTTTTCTTCTTGCAGAGAGCCTATAAACGGACGTGCAAGTAAGAGAGATATCACTGAATTCTTTTCCCAGCAAAGAATATCCTGGGGAAGGAATGCATTCCTGGGGGGAAGTCTCTAAATGGCCGCTCTGGGAGTGTCTGTCTTATGGGGTTGAGATAAGGACTGAAATACACCCTGGTCTCCTGCAGTACCCTCAGGCTTACTAGGATTGGGAAATTCCAGCCTGGTAAATTTTTGGTCAGACTGGTTCTCTGCTCTCTAACCCTGTTTTCTGTTAAGATGTTTATCAAGACAATATGTGCACAGCGGGACATAGACCCTCATCAGTAATTCTAATTTTGCCTTTGCCTTGTGATCTTTATTGCCCTTTGAAGCATGTGATCTTTGTGACCTACTCCCTGTTCGCACACCCTCTCCCCTTTTAAAATCCCTAATAAAAACGTGCTGGTTTTGCGGCTCAGGGAACATCACAGACCTACCAATATGTGATGTTAGCCCCAGAGGCCAAGCTATAAAATTTCTCTCTTTGTACTCTTTCTGTTTCTTTCTCAGACTGGCTGACACTTAGGGAAAATAGAAAGAACCTATGTTGAAATATTGGGGGCTGGTTCCCCAGATAATGGGGTTTCACCATGTTGGTCAGGCTGGTCTTGAACTCCTGACCTCATGATCCACCCCCCTCGCCCTCCCAAAGTGCTGGGATTACAGGTGTGAGCCACTGCACCCAGCCAAAGCTCGTAATATTTTTATATGTAAATCTACTTGGAGCATATAACCCAACTGCAAGTCACATACTTTAGAAATATTTCCAGCCGATCCACATTCTCCTCAGAACAATGAGGAAATGAAGCCCTTGTTGTAATTATTCTTTACAGAATTGAGTTCTGTAAAGTGAACAGTGCCATTTAATAGAAAGAGCATTTCCTTTAAAGTCTGACAGACCTGCCCAGCTCTATACAGGCAAGTTAACATAAGTTATCTGAACCTGTTTTATCATCTGTAAAATACTGGCAGCACTATCAACTTCATGGCATTGTCTTGTGAATTAAATGAGATAATATATGTAAAGTGCCTAACCCAATCCCATGGCCATGGTGGGCATTTTTCAAAATATCAATTCCTTCCTTCGGTAAAAATCACAGAGGTGATAGTATATAATTCCTGCCAGAATCTATTGGTCACACAGTCCCTCCCTGGTACAGTATGGGAGGGCACTATACAAGGACATGAATACCAAGAGGCAGCAATCATTAGGGACCATCTGAGAGCCTGCCTTCCACAATGTCAAATCTGAACAATTCTATAGCTCTATCCAAAAGTATGCTGTCAATTTCAGGGTGGGATCTTGATTCTCTTCTGCTTCTGGAGTGGTGTCACCTCCTCGTTTCTTCTCTTCTACGGACTCCATGCACTTTTTTGGAAACACCTTTAATAGCAATGCTCTTCTTTTGTATTAGTCTTTACCTTTTACAGATCATTTTATTATCTTGTTTGAGCCTCACACAGCTAGAAAGAGGACAAAGCTGAGGTGCATATGTGTGTCATTCTGTTTCCAAGGTAAAGTTATTTTTAGTCTTCCAAAGCTAACTTTACAGCATTTACCTTGTCAAAATAACCATTCTATATTATTAATATTAGTGAAAGGGTCATAATCAACTGACACAGTTTAGAAAAGTATTTTTCTCTCTCCCATTATAAGTAATTTTTTTAGTCTGGCTAGACATCTTCAGCATTATTTTCTTATTTGTATTTTAAAATCTAATGATTACTTTCTGCTACTTTGCATTTTTTTAATCTGTCAAGTATAAGGGGTATAATTTTCTCAACTACAAAACATCTTGCCAAATATAGTCACATCCTTAAATGTTTTCCTATATTTTTTTAAAAAAACTAGTGACTTCAATTATTTATTTATTGGAGGTAAATGAGACAACTTTGACAAACTAATCTTCCCACTATAACAAATGTTATTTAGTACTGGGGATCTTTTACCACTGAAACTTTATATCTGCAAAGTATTTCTCTGAATCACAGAATCATGGTTAGACTTTCAAATTCACCCTGTTTTTCTATTTGGTGAACTGGCCCAGTAATTTAAAAAAAAAGTTAAAGAGGAAGTTTAACATCCACCCTACTTTCTTTTCTGTGCTGAGCCTTGAGTTCTCTAAGGCTCCACTTTCCCTTTCTCCTCATCTGGTCCTCACTTCTTCCCTGCAATCCACTACAGCCAAATTTGCCTCAAAAATAAATACACTTCCTGGCCTGGGATTGTGGCTCCTGCCTGTAATCCCAGCACTTTGGGAGACTGAGGCAGGCGGATCGCTTGAGCTCAAAGTATGAGACCAGCCTGGGCAATGTGGCGGAACGCTGTCTCTACAAAAAAATACAAAACATTAGCTGGGCATGGTGGCACGCACCTGTGGTCCCAGCTATTTGGGAGGCTGAAGCGGGAGGATCACTTCCACCTGGGAGGCTGAGGCTGCAGTGAGCCGAGATCATGCCACTGCACTCCAGCCTGGGCAACAGAGTGATAAATAAGTAAACATAACATATTTCCATCCCCCCAAAACATAGATCCTATATGTGCTTCTTTCCTCACCAAAAAGCATTCTCCTTTCCCATTCCTGAGTAAAAATATATTAATATTCTAGCATTTGGATAATCATATCTCTTTCTTCCATCTTCAGATCCCACCCCCTCTCTGCTACAGATGAGGTTTTCACCTGAGCTGCCAGGGTGGAGTATTGCTTCACCAGTATTTTCCCATTTACTTCTTCTATCCTTCTTCAGCTGAATGCTAGTCCTAAGGCAGTTTATTAACTCCTCACAGATCACACAAAACCATGGGTTCATAAATTGATTCACCAACCCTACTTGATGTTTCTGGGTAAACAGGGTAGATAGAATGAGCTCCTCTTACATTTTTGTATTTCGTAAAAACATATTTTCTAATATGGCCACTTAATGTGGGCTTATCTTAAGGTAGATCTTCACAAGCCACTATATTCTAGTTGCTTGAATAGCCCCTACTGTATTGATATTGTGATTTGTCTACCTATATGGCCCTATTCTCTCCAAGACATTTTTTCCCTCCACTTTTATTTCTGGAGTGTTGCAAAGGGCCTGGCACATAGTAATCATTCAGTAAGCTATGCATTGAATAAATATGCTTTTAAATGACCAAGGTATGACTCAAATTTCTAGATAAATCCAGTCAAAATATCAGCTGACATATAAAAACATTTACATTCCCTGGTAAACTTGTAAGTAAAATGCCATCTCTAAATTTTTCAGTTGAATGATGCACTTTCTTAAAAATGTGAATGGGAAAGTCTATTTTTTCTTAGAGTGTCAGTTTAAACAAAAATTATACATTTTAGACATAGATAGATACAGATATAGCTATAGACAGGGACTTCTCCTATAAATGAGGGAAAATAAAGTGCAGCTAGAAAGTTAACTAAATGAAGTTAACTAAGATCAATACATAGAACCTTAGCAGCAATATGTTACTGCTCTCTCTTAACCCTAAGAAACAAAATAGCTTTTAAAAGTGCAAATAGGGTGGATATAATTTTTCTTGCACTAACTTCAAAGCATATTTCAAGGTTTTCTGTTCAAAATTCCAAAATAAATCACTAAGTTGTTTTGTCAATAAACTGGGCAAATAAAAACCTATTTAGTACAATTACTATGGCATATTTTGGGGTTTCCTTCTCCCCGTTTGCAAAGTGCACAGGTGTTTAAACCAATCCTCACTAGATTTGGGGCAGAAAAAGAACAGGATGAGTTTAGAACATCTCACTATGCCAAAAGGAAGGACTTGTTTAGAGATTATTAAAGATATATCAAAAGGAGACTAGAGGCAAAACTAAAGACTCAGAAAATAAATCAGCGGTTGCTCTGGAGTGGAGCAAGGAGTTGACAATAAAGGGACTCAAGGAAATATTTTATTGTGATGAAACTATTCTCTATGTTACTTTGGTGATAGTTACATACTTCTATATATTGAGCAAAATGCATAGAACTATACCCTTAAGAGGATGAATTTTACTGTATGAAAACCACACTGCAATTTTACTGTATGAAAACCACACTGCAATTTAAAAAATAGTATACCTGAACTGAATTTGGCCTAGTGGCCAAATTTGGAACAATGTTTAACATGACAAAGAATAGTAACCACACAAAAAGCTGTAACTTGACTATTCAGAGTTTTATTTGTAATAGTTTAAAACGAGAAACAACCAAAATATCCCTCAGCAGGTGAATAATTAAACACATAGTGGCACACCACACATGGAATATTACTCAGCAATAAAAAGAAAATACTGCCGCTACACACAATAACTTGAATGGATCTCAAGGGCATTGTGCTAAACTTAAAAAGCCAGTCTCCAAAGGTCATTTGCTGTATAATTCATTCACATAGCATTCTCAAAATTGCAAAACGATAGTGCTAGAACACAGATTAGTGGTTGCCAAGAGTTAGGAATGGTGGGCGTTAAGGAGATGCCTATAACTATGCATGCAGCATGCTGGAAACCTTCATAGTGATGAAATAGTTCTGTATCATGATTGTAGTTATATTTACCTTAATCTACACATTTGATAAAGTGGCCCAGAAATATTGTACTAACGCTATTTTCCTGGTTTTAATATTGAATTATAGCTACCTAAAATGTAACCACAGAGGAAAACGAAGTGAAGCATTTTCAGGGCTTCTGTGCATTATTTTTGCAACTTCCTACACATTTATAATAATTTTAAAATTGAAAAGTAAAAAAGAAGATAATATTATTATACTAATAATATAAATGGTATAAGTAGAACATATAGAGAATGGCATAAGTAGAACATATAGAGAATGGCATAGAGAATGGTTGTATGTTTAATAAAAAGAGAATCCATGAGTCCGTAGTTATCTTAAGTACTGGGAAGGTGGGGTCTTTTTTTTTTTTAAACATGACCAATTGTATTAGTTTTTAAGTTATTTATTCACTTTTTCATATTTGCCTACAGTAAAATTTTTTAGTAGTATACAATTACATGAGTTAGATAAATGCATACAACCATGTAACTACCACCAAAATTAAGATATAAAATAGTTCCATCGTGCCAAAAATTCCCTCTTATTTCCCTTTGTAATCAATACTTTCCCCCACCCCAACCTCTGGTAGCAGGAGACATGTTTCTGTTCCTATATTTTGTTTCTTTCAGAACATCATATTTTACAAGAAATTCTACAACATGTAGTCTTTGAAACTGGTTTCTCTCACTTAGTAAAATGTATTTAAATTTAAGATTTCACCACGTTGTTTCATGTATCTGTAGTTTGTTCTTTCTTTTTCCCTGAGTAATATTCTACTGTATGGATGCAACATAATTTGTTTATCTATTCACCCACTGAAGAACATTTGGGCTATTTCCAGTTTTTGACAATTATGAACAAAACCACTATAAACATTCACATGCAGAGTTTTGTATGAACTTAGGTTTATAAAAGAGCTTTTTCCACAGAATGCCAGCAAATAAATATAGAAGAAATAACAAAATTAAAAAATCACTCATTTGCAACCAGTGAGATAAAAATTAATTCATGGAAAATCATCATTAAATGCAAAACTACTGAATGAAAGGTCATTAGGGAAGAGGATATTTAGGTGATCCCAAAGAATCACCTCACACAGGCCAGCTTCACGAGCGTGAGACCAGTCACACAGGGCCCTATACTAAGTAGTGCCTCCTGCTTGCTTTAATGCTCCATTATTGCCATATTGAAATTCTTAATAATTTTAAAACAAGGAGCCTAGCACTGTAATTTTGTACTGTGCTCTGCAATTATGTAGCTAGTTCTCCACCCTAGGTGACTTTCTGAAAAGGTAATTTAGCAAAGGAGAAACCTAGAAGTCCCCTTAACTGAATGATCTAATTTGGCATCATCAATAGTAGAAAACACTATTATGTGTCCCCTGAATTCGTACAATGGCAAGCAAACATCACCTATGTAGTCTTCTTGTCAAAAATATTTAACCGGCAAGGTGCAGTGGCTCATGTCCGCGATTACAGCACTTTGGGAGGCCAAGGCAGGAGGATCATTTGAGTCCAGGAGTTTGAGACAAGCCTAGGCACCATAGTGAGATCCTGTCTCTACAAAACATTTTAAAATTAGCTGGGCATGGTGGCACGCACGGGTGGTCCCAGCTACTTGGGAAGCTGAGGTGGGAGGATCGCTTGAGCTCAGGAGGTTGAGACTGGGGTGAGTTGTGTTTGCACCACTGCACTCTAGGCTGGGCAATAAAGGGAGACTTTGTCTAAAAAAAGAAAGAAAAGAAAAGAAGGAAGGAAGGAAAGAAGGAAAGAAAGAAAGAGAAAGAAACAAAGAAAGAAAGAAAGAAAGAAAGAAAGAAAGAAAGAAAGAAAGAAAGAAAGAGAAAGAAAGAGAGAAAGAAAAGAAAGGAAAGAGAGAGAGAAAGAAAGAAAAGAAAGAGAGAGAGAGAAAGAAAGAAAAGAAAGAAGAAGAAAAGAAAAGTTTAACCAAAACCTAACCATGAAGGAACAATCACACAAATCCAGATGGTAGGACAATTCCATGAAAATGGTCTAGACTCTTCAAAAATGTCATTTTGTGAAAGACCAAAAAATGTTCAGGAAGGGGGATAGTTCTAGAAATATAATGATCAACTGCAAATCCTTGATTGGATTCTTTATTTTTTTAAAGAAAGATGTATATTTGGGGAAAATTGGAAAACTCTGAATAGGGTCTCCATGTTAAATACTATTTTTGTATCAGTGTTACATTTGGGGGTAATAATAATAAGCATAGATGGTCTTTTAGTTTGTTTGTTCGTTTTAAAGATGGGGTCTTACTATATCACCCAAACTGGAGTGCAGCGGTGTGATCATGGTTCACTGTAAACTACAACTCCTGGGCTCAAATGATCCTCCAGACTCAGCCTCCCAAAGCGCTGGGATTACTGATATGAGCCACCAGGTCCAGCCAGTAGTTTTACATTTTAAATGATATTTATGCTGAAATACTTAGGGATAAAGGTTCATGATGTCTAGAACTAATTTTTAAATACGTAATTTTTTAAAAAATGTTAAATGATGTACATATATTTAAATCTATTTAGAGAGACAGAGATAAAGCAAATGTGTCAAAAAATTTTTAAATCCCAAAACCTTTTATTCACAACTTCGCTAGTCAGTTTATCACATTCTTTCTTTTTTTCAACTTTAGCATTACATATAAAACATATATTATAAGAACGTGCATTTTGGAATGCAATCTGGGTCCAAACTCTGTCTCTGTTCTTACTACGGGTTTAAACTTGGGTCAAGAACCATGGGGAGAAAAGTAACATTAATATCTATTGCACAACTTGTGGAAATGTTTCAAATAATAAATTACAGACACGAGAAACAGCACCATCAAGTCCTTGAGAGCCACGTATATACTCATTTTTTCATTATTGTGTCCTGAATGCTCAGCAAAGCAACTCAGTAAGTCATCAAAAATATAGAGAGAATGAATTATTTTATGATCTATAGTATATCAAGTAGAAAGTGTCATGTTATATTAAGTGAAAAAGTTCCAAAACAGCATGTAGAGTAATGATTACATTATGGAAACAAATAGAGAGAGAGATATATATATTTTAAAATTCTGCAATCATTCTACCAAGCCCACCCTCACCTCACAATCCCTACCATCTTTGCTTAGAGAGAGAGGGGGCCACAATTATCTGGTATACAGAGGGTGGAGTGATCAGCACCAAAGATCTTTGCCTAGAAACTGGAAAGTGTGACACATTGATATATGCATGTTGATTTATATCAGTCAATATTAAACATATAGCACCCAAATTTCCATATTCAGTCCTCATGCTTCATCTCCTCCATTTATCTGCTCTCCTGCTCCATAAGAATCTCAGGAGTTACTGCAGTTGTGTCTGGAGTTTGGGAGTTAGGGAGGAGGAAGTATACAGCCATTGATCAAAAATGCTCTGCTTAATACACTTCCCTCCCTGATCAATAGCTTTACATTTTTAAGAGAGGAGATTCTTGACTCAGAAGGGATGTTGGTACTTAGATTTTATTTCTTCAAGGAGATTGCACCTGTCTTCATTTGTCTCGAAGTGTTCATGATCTGTTGAACTCTGGGCTCTGATGATGTCCTCGAAAGCAGGCCAGTTTTCTTCCATGCACCCCCTGCAGCAGGAACAGGTTATGTTAATATGGGTTAATGCAAAGTCAAAAGAAGAGGAGAGAACAGAGATGAGAACAAGCAGTAACTGAACCAGTGTGGGGGAAAAAGGAAAAAAACAAACAGATGGGAGTAGGGATTGGGAAGATCTTCAATAAATATGTGAAACTGGCCTTCACCAACTTTTACATACTTTTCATGACATTATGTGAGCTGCTCTTAAAGAGCAAAGGGAAAGTGGCCACCACTAACTACTAGGGCTCCCTCTCTTGCTTTCTAATTTAATTTTTATTGCATTCAATAAAACATTAATCTCCTCACCCTCCAGTCCTATAGCTCAGTAAATACATTTAATTATTTTACCAGTCATGTCTGATAGTCATCTTCTTATTTTAAAATGAGATGCTCTATTAGTCAGGATTCAATGAGAGAAGCAAAACCAGTAGGAGATAGTTAAGAGATTGTTGCAAGGGATTGGCTTATGTGAATTCATGGGGCAAGCCATCAGGAAGGACAAATTAGAACACCTGGGATTTGGCTGAAGCTGTTCTACACTGGTGACGTTCAACTCCACTCTTAAGTCTTTTCAACTGATTAAATCAACCCCACCAAGATTATCTAGGATAATCTCCTTCACTACTTTAATCATATCTATAAAATACCTTCAAGGAACACCTGGATTAATATTTGGTTGAGTGAGGACTATAGCCTAGCTAAACAGACAAATCGGAAGGCCATCACTCATGCTTACATCACCATTTCTTGATTTATCCAGTTTCTATGTTATCACTTACCTTATTATTAAGTTGAAGATTTAGACTGTTTACAGCCTCCACCCTCTCGCTGTCCCCCAGGAAACTCCCCGCAATATAGTTATAATGTATTTGGGGTGGATAAACCAATATTCAGTGTTTACATTGTTAAGTCTGCATAAATATTACTCACAGCAGAGACAAGTAATATACTACTGGGTTACCTTTCTTATATAACTGTTGATTTCCTGAAATTAACTCTCCTTTTGTGGTGTCTTTTAATTTCTTTGTGCCTATCACTAATTTTGTCCTAAACTTTTGCACAGAACTCTACAACTCCTTTTAATATATTTAAGCCCATGAAGCGATCTGTCAACTGGATTTTTTTCCTTGGAGACCTCTCCATCCTCCTGCTCTGATCTGGAAGCATTGCTCTCTAAGCCTGCTGCAGGTGTGTCCTCCTGGAAGTTTCCTTCACCTTCAAAGTGAAAGTACCCTTTCCCCCTTTCTTATGTGGAATTCTCCTTCTCCTGGCTCCTGGATCTCCTTTGTTCTTGGCTTATTCCCTGATTAATCACCCTCCATAACTTCCTGAGAAAATAAAATATGTTGAAGAATCATTTTCACAAAGGCAAAATTATGACTTATGGAAACAGAAAATGAATACATGTCAAAGTCAGATGTCATGACCGGTGCAAAGATCATTTGAAAAGCTAGATATTAACAGGAGGATAACATTGCTGGGTTAAATGCGAAACTGGTTAATGCCCAATGCAGTTGTAAACCATAATTTTGAGGGTCACTTCTTCTACTGGGCAGGAAAGAGATTATTTATATCTCTATCAGAAAAATCTAATTATTAACATGTGACTTTACTAAGTCTGAAAACTTTATTCAGTAGTAAACCATGAATAAAATCAAAACTTTCCGTTACATCAATGTCTCACAATATCTTTTCATTTTCTTATCCCTAACAAGCCTTTTTAGACATATTTTCTAATTTCGATGTTTTAATACCACAGATTTATTGTATATTTGTTCATGTACTATATGTATTTCTATACTTATATGTAAAACTATTAAGCATAAAGCTTAGTGTTTTTATTCAATTCAGAGTTAAGAATAACTTTTAAGTTAACAATTAAATTAGCATTTTAAAATTTTCTGACTTTTAACTTTATAAGTGTATTTGATGGGTAACTTTTCATGTAACTTATTACATAAATTGTAATTCTCAAATTACATATGCAAATTAGCAATTTATATAAATACGTGACAATATAATCAGACTATTAAAAATAATTAAATCTTTTCAGCAAGAATAAAACTATTAAAAGTTGAATTAATTTTATAAAAATTATTTTCAGTGAAATTAGCTTTTAACTTTTGATTGATATAAGAAAATAACTTCCAGATATTCATTCAGATGATGTGGACATTTTGTCTTTTTAGGCTTGACATAATTAATGATGGCCTGAATAACTTTATAAGAATCAAATAATAAAATATAAATTATTTTTACTTAATTCTCAAGGTCCAAGTCACACATGAAAACACTGATGATCAAACAATATCACATTTTCTGGACTTTATTTTCTGTGTCAATATTGAATTTATTTTATGTTTTGGTATCTAAGAGCTCCTTCTTATTCTTTGCACATCCTTAAAAATAATATCATATTTTTGTTTCATGGATGGAATATCTTCTCTCATTCATCTAATGATATTAGTTATAATGGACTTTTTGTACAGTTCTTATATTGCCTGTTTTTACTGTGCTTTTTCTTTCTCATATTACAGACTTTCCAAAAACATCTGTTGATCATTGGTTGTCTGTTCATAATTAAGAGAGAAAAACTAAAAGCAATTTGAAGATTTTATAACATGGACAGGAGGGCTTGGGAAATAGTGAAGATCCCCTATTTGGAGTGGGAAAAGATATTACCTTGGATTTGCCCAGTACAAGTTCCTAACATATTCTGAAACATTCCAGAAATAAGAGGCTGCCTCCATGAACATTTTTTTAGCCAGTACTCTTTACGGTAAAGTAAGTATTAGAACTGGATGTTTGTTGACAGTACTAGTCAATAACATACTTGAGCTGTTCTCTCTCAGGTCATTTGGGTTGTGATATGTGGTGTAGCAGGGAGAAGTGAAAAACTAGAGAATTAAAAATACCACAGGGTTGATCAACTCTACTACTTCAATATGTTCAAGTAACAGTTTTGTTGTTGTTGTTGTTGACCAAGTAAAATGCCAAGGTCTTTATTATAGATTGAACTCTGTCCCTGCAAAAATTATGATCCTGATCCCCTAGTACCTCAGACTGTGACTGTATTTGAAGATAGGGCCTTTAAAGAGGTGATTAGTTAAAATGGAGGTTCTTAGAGCAGACTGTAATTCAATCTGTGTGGTGTCCTTATAAGAACAAGAAATTTGGACACACAAAGAAAAGACACCAAGTGCACGAGTACCCAGAAGGACAACCATGTGAAGAGGCAGTGAGAAGGTGCCACCTGCAAGCCCAGGAGAGAAGTTGCCACCTGCAAGCCCAGGAGAGAAGTTTTGGAAGAAACCACACCTGCTGACACCTTGGTCTCCAACTTCCAGTCCCAGAGTGAGAAGAAAATAAATTTCTGTTATTTTTACCACCCAGTCTGTGATCATTTGTTACGGCACGTCTAGCAAACTAATGTAGTCTTCCAGTAGGCTTTATCTAATAATAACACCCCCTTCCCATTTAGCATGGAAGCCTGAATCAAAGGGGTTGTTGAGCTCATCCTGTTCATTTAAATGTAGCACGATCCATTGAGAAATGAACACAGATACCATCCTCAGGCAAAAGCATGTGCTTAGAAATGCCATCTGGCAGTCCTCCTGATATCCCCACTCTAATAAGAAAAGTAAGTCAGGCTCTTAGATGCAATCAACAGGTGACTAAGAAAAAAAAAGTTTATTTAAAGCATATTTAAAAATCTCAAAATTGCTAGGAAGGCTAGCAAACCAGACTTCAGGCTAACTTTTCAGGACAAAAGCCCAAAACCTCATGACAGAATTGGCCTGATGAAAAAACCTGCTGTCGCTGCTGCCTTCCCACCTAGTACTAAAGGAAACTTGGCAGATGCCACCCCCTTGGTGCTACTTCTGTGCCAGGAACTCTGCCTCGAACCCTCTGGGAAACTGCCCTTCCACTGCCAAGACTGAAAGTTGAATACATCTGCTGTGGCAGCCTCCGCCAAAATGGAAGTTTCCCTCAAAGCCAATCCCCTCTCGTTGCTTCTGATACATGTAGCCTAGGCCCAGCGTCTGCATTTTATCTGCCGGCAAGCCTCAAAATTTGAGTTGTGACATAACAAAGAAGCAGGTCTCATTGTCTGGGAATTTATCCAAATACTGAGGGATCTTTCAAAGATGAAGGTTAACCTTTACAATTACAACATTATTAGAGACCAATTCAGACTTGCTGCTATGACTTACTAACCTTCATTTTCCTTTCAGCACTCAGTTTTGTATCTTCTCCCGGAATTTCAGCTTCTGTAACCCTAGATGAAATCCTCATTTCAACCCCTGGAGTGATGCTTATTGGCCAAAATAGCCTATCCAAGCTTTCTCTCTGTAGAAGCAAGAGATGGAATTAAGACAGGAACTTTGTCCCTGTGTCCCCACTGATAACCAATTTCAGATGACTTGTCTATGGTGTCTGTTAATGAAGCAATTTGTTGAAATCAATTAGATAAAACATAAAACAGCTGCTCAAGGAAGTAGATGCTGTTAATCTTAGGAAAAATATTATTTGTATTTCTTAAACTGACAATGATTCAGTATACAGGTTTCTTTTGTTTTTTGTTATTAATAGAATGATAGGGTGTGTTTTGACAATGGGACTAATATTAAATTAGATGTGCCACTTGGGAAAAAAGCCATATTTTCATAAGTAAAAAATAGACAAGTTCATACTGATGGAATATGTCTAGCTCACAGTAATCTTTTGATGCCTTGTCCACATAACTATCTTTTGTATCTCCAAAAAAAAATTTGAGGACAATTTTGAGACCCTGGTGTCATCATTTGTTGCTTTAAACTTCACCACATTTCCTTTTGCTTCCATTTCTACCACACACCTATATGGGAAACCCAACTTATAATCCTTCTAAAGTATTACATCCCAATTTCTTAAACTCCCAAAAATCTTTTCTCTGACCACATCGTATTTTCCTCTCTCCTCTTCCTGTATTATATCTACTGAACTTATTTTCTCATTGCACTGTGACTTCCAAGCCCTATATATTTTTCCATTCTTCTATTACATCACCTTTTCTTAACTTAACTTGCCATCCAACTGGGCCAGAATCCCATGACCACATCCCAAATTCTCACCATTAGGTAACTCTGCCTTTCTTTTGCTCAGCTTCCACATCAAAGCTGCCAAACTTCGTGAGAGAAAGTCATAAAATCATGCCAGTGAGATTGTTAAGCATGTATCCTCTAACTTCAGGTGTCTGCCATGCTCCCCCTAATTCATATATATTATTTCATGTAAATGTCCTAATTTCATAAATTGTTCAAAAAACTTATTTCCTTAACCTGTCTCTACCTAACCTCTTACCTTTGCCAGATGAATATTTATCTTTTACTCAATTGAGCAATCATCCACACCAAACCCATGCTGCCTGCCCAGAGATGAAATGCTACAAATAATAAGGCATAAAGTGTGATTATATAAGATTATAACATGTTGTTCCCATGGCCACAACCCTGATTTGGGTTCATATGCAGGGGCCAATTTGCCATGAAGCAAATAAGCTTTGTGGCCCTTCCTTTTTACCATCCCAAGACCTTGGAAGGTACCTGCATTACTTTTTCTGTTGCTGTTTGATAAATTACTTCAAGTTCAGCAACTTAAATAGCATAGATTTTGTCTCTCAATTTCTTTGATTTGGAAATCAAGGTATGGCTTAGCTGGGCCCTCTGGTTCAAGTTTTCTCATAAGGCTTCAATCATGGAGTTGGCCAGAGCAGGAGTCTCATCTGAAGGTTTGACTTGGGAAGGACTGACTTCCAAATTTATGAGGTTGTGGACAAATTTTAAGTTCTTCAAGGGTTGTTGGTCTGGCAGCTTCCTGCTGTTAGCCAGAAGCCACCCTTAATTCCTTATCACAGGAGCCTCCATAATATGACAACTTGCTTTATCAAAGCCAGCAAGGAAGAGAATCAGCTAGCAAGACAGTAGTGACTTATGTGTCTTAATCCCATCACGTTGCTCACATTCTGTTGGTTAGAGCAAGCCACTAGGCCAGGTTACACTCAAGAAGAACGGCTTACACAATGGGCTAAATACCAGGAAGCAGGGATTTTTGGGATCCCGGGGCCCTAGCAAAATATTCGCTAGGTCATATAATTTAATAAATTTTCAAAAATAAGACATTTTATCTGCAAATGGTTAAGACCACTATCTCCAATTCTACTTTCCTTCCATCACATGTCCCCTAGGAGCACCCCACCCTCCCTTGTCAGGTGGCATTGGAATGATTACAGGAACTTTGTAATACAGATAAGATGGAATTGAGGTGGAGATACATTTAGTTTGGGTTTTGGGTTTTGTGCAGTATGCTAAGTGGTTTGTAGTCAGTTCTTTGGGTAACTAATTTATTTCCAGTTACTCTGGTATAGGACTGGTTTTTAGAAATACACCAATTCCCTACGATGCTGACTCAACCAGCTTTGTGAGATAGAACAGAGGTCATACCTTTATATGAACATGTTCTCAGGCTTCCAGCACTGGCAGAGTTAGGGGATGAAACAAAATATTGAAAGGTATAGAGCCAGAAGCTTTTTTAAATGGGGTAAGTTCTTTCAATAATTAGCTGTGTGTGGCTGGAAGTGGAAGAATCGGTTCTTGACAAGTTCTGTCTTGCCAAGAATACATTCAATAATTCAGCATCTGCAAACATAAACATGCCATTTTTTTTCTTTTCTGATGGCTAATTTGTGATATAGAATTATTAGATTTCCGGGCATAAAACAAGAGCAAGTACGTCTCTGGGCAAAGTTGTATGTTTTATGTATTCAAACATACTAGAGGCCATCCTAGTGTGAAATTAGCAGGAACAAGTTGTAAAATTGGAAGAAAGTTCCTAAACTATCAATTGTTTTTTAAACTATTACTAATCATACCACAGAAAAAAGTAAATCATCTTTCTGTTCTCCTTATAGAAACTTATGTCACATGTCATAGGAAGAGGCAATTAAATGAATACATAGCTAAAAAGTGTAAGAAATTAAAATGTTATAAAATGTGTCAGGTTGTTGATTAAAATATTCTGATTTCTTTTTAGTTTTGCTCATAATTATGGTATTTCTTAGCCTTTAAAATACATAATTATTTTCTTTAAAAAATTTAGTTTGAAACTCAATTTTGTATTCGTTTTTTTAAAGTGTCCAAACTGCATTAGCTTTGGGGCCCTACAAAACCTGTTTGGCCTGGGCAAGGGTAGCAGCTTTCTAAATAATCTTCCTCACTTCACTCACTTCTATTCAAACCCATATTACTCACAGGTTCCAAACAATCTTCCTAAGGAAACAGTCAGTGGTCTGTGAAAAAATCTTTACTGTCTCCCCATCATAAAAGTTACCTAAATTCTTCATCCTGATAAGTAAGGATCTCAGTCTAATTTTCATTTTTACTGTCAACAACTACCTATTTTAGTTTCAGTTTTCTCTGCCATGATAACTATTTGCAACAAAACTACTTGCTGTTATAGAGGCATCACTTTTGGTCATTTCTCTCATCATTTTCCCTTTATTATCATTTTTATTTTTCAAAATCATTTTTATTTGCTACCCATTCATTAAGAGCTATCTCAAATGTTGTTTCTCTCATAAACTTTTTTCCCTGCTCTCAGAGCATGATAGCTTCTCCTACCTTCTGCATGTTTATAGCATTTTTACTCCATTCTCAGTGTTTTTGTGTTTCACCACTGTGTATTGTACTTTTAACATTTTTTAAAAAAATATTCTTATTCTCCTTATAAATCCTAAACTCTATGAAAGCAAATATTGCTTCTTTTTCATCATAACCTCTCTAGCACCTCTTAAGCTGTACTGGTAGAACAGTAAACATTATTATCTATACATAATTGAATGAATGGATAATGCAACCCTTGAATAATAAATGAATTCATTCATTTATTTCTTCATAATAAACAAATATTTATTGAGGCCATACTGTGTGCCAATACCTGTGGCCATTGCTGAGAATCTAAAAACATGCAAAAAAATAAATAAATAAATAAAAAATAAAAAATGTGCTCCTTGCCTATAGGAGGTAACATTCTAGTCAGGCAGACAAACATTAATGCAAGAATCACTCTAACTAATATAAAATTTCATCCTTAACAGGGTCTATGTAGTAAAGATGCATAGAACTGACTGTGTACAGTACGTATGATTTTAACCATTCAGGACAATTTCATGTACATTTCCCACGATGAACCAGAGATACCATTTCATTTTTAAAAGTCTTCTGCAAGGAAATAGCTAAATTATATTTGATTTTATTTAACTATTTCCATAATGTGTAATTCCTTAACTAATGCATTATTTCATTTCGAAAACTTTACAAGATTAGAACAATGGTTTGTCTCATTTCTTAAAAATCGGCATGTTTTTGGTGCTGCTTTCTGAGGGCATGAGTGAAATTGAGAAGGCCGAAGCTTAGTCCTTTTTTCTGGGTATAATGCTCCTTTTATGTGCATTGTGGCTGTTGATAGCTGAGCTGATCCTGTCTGTAGTGTTCTTTCTTAGTCTGTCAGCCGCTGACCAATGTCTTTGCTTCCACTAAGTATCTTGTCCTGCAACCTGCATTGTAGATGGTCTGCCTGCTGCAGAGGTTTCTCAAATTAGGTTATGTAATCAACTGAATTCTGTACACCCAAAAAAGATTTGCTGCAGTCCTCACTCCCCAAATCTCAGAATGTAGCCTTATTTGGAGACAGGGTCTTTACAGAGGTAATCAAGTTAAAATGAGGTCATTAGGGTAGGTCTCCATCCAACATGACTGCTGTCCTTTAAAAAAGAGGATATTTGTGAAACAGAGACAGACATTTACAGAGAAAAGAGGATGTGAAGACACAGAAAGAATGCCGTCTACATGCAAAGAATGCCGGAGGCTGCCAGAAGCTAAGAGGGAGGCACAGCCCTCAGAATGAACCAACCCTGCAGAAACCTTAATCTCAGCCTTCTGCCCTCCAGGACTGTGGGACAATACATTTCTGTCATGTAAGCCACTTAGTTTGTGGCACTTTGTTATGGCAGCCCTTGAAAACCAATACATGGTATATTGTCACAGCAAAATTTGTGCAAAACTAATATCTCCAGGATTTTTATCCTCGAGGATTTTTATCTCTCTAGGATTACTTACATTTAAGCCTGAACGCAAATTTGGAAACAGCACGCACTGTTTAAACAGTATATGGTCATTAAAATATAAGAACCAAAAGCTCTGTTGGTATCAACATTTCTTTTCTGGGACTTACTTAACTTCACCAGGCGAATCTGGCTGGGACTTCCTCTTCTCTGTGCTGCTACCCTGAGGGCAGAATGAAAGAATCCAAAAATGCTTTTCAGCTCAGGATGAAAGGGGAATGTGCAAGGAGCACAATGTAGTTTTATGTAAAAGTCTCTTAATGCTTGGGTTGCTACCATATTTACTTTAGGGATTAAAGAAACCATTGTATGTCCTGGCTCGGTGCAGAAGGCATTTTAAAATTCACCCAAATGGCTGTTCCTGTGAAGGACTGCCTGCAAAATAAATAGCTTCTGTTGCTTTCACAACAGGACAGCAGTAGGATGCTTTCCCCATCTGGTTTAAAAGGGTGAAGGAAAGGCATACAACATATATCTGCTGAATAAAAGAAGTTGTTATGTTTATTTAATCTACATGGGTAGAATTAATTTTTATAGGTTAAATAATATTCTTTCAAGAAATACTTTTTGAGCACCTATAATGTGTTAAGTGTTGAGAATACACAGGTGAGCAAAAATACGCAGAGTCCCTCTCTGAGTGAGTTGGCAGGATATTGAAGGAAATAGATAGTGAGCACACAGCAAATTGCAACATGTATAAATGTAAAATTCCAACCGTTACAAGTTCTATTAAAAAGCAGTACATGTTGCAATGATAGTTAGTAACGGAATTTAATTTAACCAAGGAGATCAGGGAAATCTTGTATAGAGTTTGTACTTCTTTTTCACTACCCAACATCTGAGTTCCCTTCAAATGTTTGGAGAATTTGCTACATGATAAGCCTTGGCGGAGTCATAAAATGCCTCCCACTCTAGCACTCTAGAGGCTGAAAATGTCAGATACTTGCCTTCCCCGCTTCCCTTGTAACTAGGATGCAATGGGGTGTCTCTCTCTCTCTCTCTCGCTCTCTCTCTCTCTCTCTCTCTCTCCCCCCCTCCTCCCTCCCTCTCTCCCTCTCCCTCTTCCTCTCTCTCTCCCTCTCCCTTTCCCTCTCCCTCTCCCCTCTCTCTCCACCCCAACCTTTCCCTCTCACATTGATGTGATGCAGAAGTGGCAGTGGTACAAACTCTACCATGCAGTGCTTAATGATGATGGTAGAGGTTTCTTCTCCAGACCAGTGTCTAAGAGTGGTTAGCATGTTATTCCTAAATACTAGGACTTGGTTCTCCAGACTGCATAACCATTCCATCTGTGAGGTATCAATATCCTTTTAATACATTATTTTTTCTGCTTAGGTCAGAAAATGCTTCTATCGCTTATAGATACAAACCTTGAATAATACAATTCTCCCTAAGTGTCACTTGAGCTGAGATTTGCAAGATGAATAGGAGTTAATTAGAGAAGAGGAAAAGCAAAGCTGTTCCAAACAGAAAGAAAATCATGGTGAGAGTGACAGTAAGGGCAGCAGTTTTGAGAATGAGGAGGAGCCAATGGTATGACTGAAATTGGACAGGTAGGTAGGCAGATCATGAAGGGGAAATCATTGGGCTGAAACGATTTTAATATAAATGGAAGAAAATTGTGAGACTTCAGTAACATTTAGGAGGTATTGTAGAGCTGCCCAGGACAGGTTGATAGCTTTAATGGCAGAAGGTGATGGAGGGAAGTATGAAGGCTTGCACAACAAATTGGATGGCAATGTCATTCATTGAGATAGAAAACACTACAAACAGAACAGATTTAGGTATGATTAGGCAGGCAGGAAAATCATGGCTTTGCCAAAGAAACATGAATTTTAAGTAATTTTAAAGGTATCCTATAGGAAATGTCAAGTGGGTAGATAAGTCTATCAGTCTATATAGTACAGAGGAGAGGTCAGGGTAGATATATAAATTTGGGAATCATTGCTATACATGTGGTAATTGAAGCTTAGATAAGCTCCCTTAAGGAGAGAATATGCAGTGAGAGAAGGAAGAGCCTGGAGCCAAGCCTTGATGGTGCCCACTGAATATGGGTTGGGTAGAGAAGGAGGCAGCAAAGAAGAAGCTAGAGGAATGTGAGGAAAAGCATGAGACTGTCTGGTTATGGAAACCAAGGGAAAGTGTGATAGCGAGGAACAGTGGGGTCTGCTTAGCTGGTTAGAATGCTCTTGAGATTCTAAGGTACAGTAAGGATAAAGAAATGTCTGAATAATTCAACAGCATAGGTGTAACTGATGATGTTAGGGAGATCTGGGTCCATAGAATGAGGGGACAAAAGCCAGATTGGAATTGAGGTGAGGAAATGAGACAGCAAATGTAGAAAATTTGCCAGCTTAGCTACAAAAGGTTAGAATGAGATAAGATTTTAGTTGGTTTGGAGGTGTGGTTTCAAGGGAGATTTATTTCCATATGTTTGTTTGATAAAAAGAGAGAGATTTGAACTTGTGTATAAGTCATGAGAAGGATTGAATTGAAAAGGAGAGGCTAAATATTTAAGATGGAGAAAGATTAACTAACACTGACAATTTCCTGAGAAGGTGAATGGGCACAAAATCTATAACTGAAGGGAAAAGGGACCGGCCTTAGGTGGCAAGAAGGGAGGGAAGGAAAGACGGATGTGGATACTGATATATTTGCATGTTTTCTAGGGAGAAATTAAGGTAGTTCTTGTCTGATGGCTTTAATTTTCTCAGCAAAGTAGATACGTTGGGTTAGGGACAGATAACAAGCTTGAGGGAAAGTAAAGGGAGGTTTGAAAAGAGTTTGAGAGTGATTTGAACCAATCAACATAGGCACATGCTGGGTAGTAGGAAGTCCCTTTAATCAGGAATTCTCCAATAGAACCAACCAAGTCTTTTGAGTAATTTCCTTGAGGAGGCAGGGCTATAGATGTACAATCTGTGCAATCTTTGTTGCAACTTCATAGCTGTGCAACATGTGCAGTTGTACAGAGCCCCACACTTAGAAGAACCCCACACTTGGTTTAATACTCTGCCATCCGTCCTTAGAAATTCTTAAGACTTTTTTTTAAAAGGAGTTCACTTTTCATTTTCCACTGGGATCTGTAAATTATGTAGCCAGTCCTGCCAGAAGGACTTTAGAGTCCTGCCCCTACTGTTCTAAGATCCTGACATTTTATTTGAAATAGTAAAACAATGATTAGGAATAGACTTTGGTCATCTTAATGGACTCTTTTTTAAAAAATATCAAGGCATAGTATTAAGAAAATTCTATTAAAATGTCTAAACATTTGTCTCATTGCTAAAATATACAAGAAAATTACCATTTTCACACAGATTGGCATTGGTGTGAGTTGCCATATCTATGGTAACTTGCAGTGTTAACCTAACTGCAAACAAACTGTGAGCTCTAAGAGCCTTTGGTACATTTCAATCAATTAAAATGATTTATTCGTCATATAAAGCTATATTTGTAAGTAGTATTATTGAGTTCCTTATAGTTTATAACTTTGGAATTTCAAGCCTAGTATGCAAGATTTGTTCATTTTCTTCATATAGTTTGCATATTTAATCAACTTATTTCCCAAACTAATGACATTGGTGTTTTTATTCTGGCCTTGTGATCCAAACAGGGTTCCCAAAATAGAGATTTAGAGGAGGGTGCAAATGACAATGTGTTTTTGCCATCTATAAAAATGAAAAAGAAAATAAAACTTTTGGTTATATATTGGATCATATTAATAAATAATAATACTGTCCATTGGGAAATGCTATGAAAATATACTGACAACTGTTCCTGGAAAGGGTCTCTAAGGAGCAACCTTGTTTGCATTGCTTCTGTAGATATTGGTGGGAAAACTGTTGAAATTTAAGTCAGATTTATAGGTTAACAGATTTTATCAAGAATAATTCCAAGGTTTCAATAATTATATTATGGTTTTGTAAGACATTTGCATGAGGGGCAGGTGGTTGAGGGATATGGAGATGGTTAATTTTATGTGTCAACTTGACTGGGCCAAGGGATGCCCAGGTAGCTGGTACAACATTATTCTGCTTCTCTATAAGGGTGTTTCCAGAAAAGATTAGCATTTGAATTGGGAGACTGAGTTAAGAAGGTCTACCCTCACCCACATGGGTAAGCCTCAGCCAACCTTTTGTGGGTCTGAAAAAAAAAAGAAAAAGGGAGAAGAAAGGCCAATTTATTCTCTGTGTTTGAGCTGGGACATCCATCTTCTCCTGCCCCCTGCCACTGGCATCTTTGTGTGTGTGCGTGTGTGTGTGTGTGTGTTTAAGAATATAACCCTTTTATTGTTCTCCAGTACCTATGATGGTTTCATTTTCCTTTAAAGGAGACAGAAAGTTTGGAATATGACTGGCTTTTTTAAAGGAAAAGAGGGGTGGATAGCAACACACAGAAGTAAGTGACTATCTTAACACATGGGAACAACTAGGCCCACACCTGGCATGCTTCCCAGCACAATCTACTTTATCATCCCTTTAAAAAATCTGGCGTAATATGTAGCAAAACATACAAGTTACTTTTTGTCTCTCCAAAAACAAGTTCAAAGGTTGTTGAAGCTGACTAGATTAGGCTTGTGAACACACACCACCAAAGAACTGCACTTTTCTCGACTTCCTTGGTTTCAGCCAGTGGGAGACAAGAGGCCCTTCAGGTCATTGGATTCAAACTGAATTCCACCATTTTCTCCAGCTTGCTGATGGCAGATCATGGGGATTCTTGGCCTCCATAATCTCATGAGCCAATTCTATTTTTCTCTCTATCTCTTCTCTCTCTCTCTCATAAACATATGTTTCTGTTAACTTCAGAAAAAAATATATTTTTAAAATTCTATTTGCTTAATTTTTATTCACATATCACTGAATATTCTCAAAGGATGTTTTATAAGGTCAATAATCCATCAGATAAGGTTGGGTGTGGTGGCTCATGCCTATAATCCCAGCACTTTGGGAGGCTGAGGCAGGTGGATTGCTTGAGCTCAGGAGTTGGGGACCAGCCTGGGCAACATGGTGATACACTGTCTCTACCAAAATACAAACAATTAGCCTAGTATGGTGGTGCATGCCTCTGGTCCCAGCTACTTGGGGGTTGAGGTGGGAGGATCTCTTGAGCCTGGGAGGTTGAGGCTGCTGTGAGCTGAGATTGCACCATTGCACTGCAGCTTGGGTGACAAAGTGAAACCATGTCTCAAATAATAATAATAATAATCAATCAGATAATATATCAGTTGAATTTTCCTACTGCAAAACTGTCACCTACCATTCCCTTCTTATCTTTTCTATGTTGAATATTCTGTTTCCTGGACCTCAGGTCTTCCCTTTTTTTCTGTTTTCTTCTCTCTCTCTCTCTTTTTTTTTTTAATTTTACTCTTTCTGTTGAAAGAGCACATATTTCAATAGCATTTCAAGAATGGGGATGAGACAAGCCAATTTCTGTGACATTTAATTGTCTGAAAATGCCCTTATTCTACCTTCATATTTGATTGATAGTTAGTTTGGGTAAAAATTTGTAAGCTGAATATTACGTCTCTCAGAATTTTAAAGACATTGTTTTACTGTCATCTAGCTTTCAAAGGGCCAAATTTCTAGTCTTCTGTATACAACCTACTTTTTTTTTCCTTTGGGAACTTTCAATATACATTCTTTGCCCAAATGAAATTTTGTAATCATATTCTTTATTGTTGTTCTTTTCAAATGTATTACACAAGGCATTCAATGTACCCTTTCAAAACATGTATTTTATTGTTCTGGAAAACTTATTGAGAGTTAGCTCATCTGCATTTTCTCTCTTCTCACTTTCTTTGACTTCTGTTGGTCATATATTTCATTTTCTGCATTATTTTCCTCATTTTAAATATTTTTATTCATTATTTTCTTCTAATTTCTATGTAATTTCCTAAAATTTACCCTTCACCTTTAAATCTCAAGTGAAAATTTTCACTCTGTTATCTTAACTTTAATTTTCAATTCCACTTTAAACTTTCTGGTGTTTCTTTCACATGTCTTCTTATTCTTGTTTCATGATGCAATATCTTCTTACATTCTGAGGTCAAAAGTTATTGTGTTTTTAGAATTTGTCTTCTACATTTTTCTCTGCTTTCTCTATGTTCCTTTTTTTCATGTTTTTTCTGTTTTGGGGGTCTCTTTATACTGAAAGTTTCTCTTAAATATCGAATTCTTAGCTAAACATTCTCATTAAATTTAAGGCAGTTAAGAAACTTGATGGAAGTTCTGTGTGTATAGGTAAAGCTTGTTAGTGAATTCTCTAAAGGATAGTCAGTGATGAGTGGAATTTTTCACTGGGTGACCCACAATGTCAGTAACTGAAGTCATTTTTCCTGAGGATGTCATTCCTCTTCTCTCCTGCCTGGGAGATTTATGCCTAGCTTCTGGAGTCTTAAGAGAAGAGAAGGCAGGGCTAGGGACTTTCAATTCCATTTGCTGACTCTCGCTTTATTTCCCTGCTTTTAGAATTCTCTCTTTGCCTGAATAAGTAGCTTTTCAGTTCCAATTTCTCCAAAGGAGAAACAGCTTCCTTCTCCTTCAGGGATAGAAGGTAAGATAAGGGTAGTTGCCTGATCCTGTGAAATGCAGGGGCCCTTTGGAACTCCCAGCTCTATCTACAGGGTCTGAACAAGTCCCCTGAACAATGCCTGGTGTCCCAGGTCCATAGATTTCCTGGGACTTGCTTCCTGTTGGCACTCTTCCTGGGTGGCCTGTAAGCTTTGTTTCATCTTCTACATCAGGAGCTACTCCTCCCTATTCTCCCTAACACGTATTTTCCAAAAACGTGTTAACATCTGTGGTCCATTGTTTTTGCTTCTCCTTGTATATTGCCTCCTCAGGAGGGTGACTAAAACCTGTTATTTGACACTGACTTTTCTTTATTGATTTGAATGCTATATTATTTAGAAATAGCATACTTCAGTGCAAGTTGTGGCTATGAAGGCATTCTCTACTGCATAATAAAACCACCATAAAATGTTCTTTGACCTTTCAAATATTAGAGTTTACTTTTAAGGGCAATAATTAAAGTATGTCATACTGAAAAGCTCTAATGTGTCTAAATTTCCTAATCAAAGGTTTTTATGTATTGAAAGGAAATAATAAAGAAAATAATACTTCCCAGTGTTGCTTATGTGTGCATCACTGAACAGCTGCTTTCTAATTTAGCTTTCACAAAAATCTTTCGAGGTAGGTTCTACCATATTGCCGTAACTATTTTTATATAGGGAACCCCAAATCAGAGGTTAAGGGAACTTTCTTAGTGCAAGACGTAGCTAGAGAATAAAGGAGTCAGGGTCCAAGCCAGGTCTGACTTCAAAGCCTACATTCTCCTACAATTTAACCAAGTGATGTGACTCATTGCCCCTCCCAAGGTGAGACTGACACATTCTGCAGAAATTGATAGGTTTTGTCAGCGTTCAAGTGATAGACTATAATCAATTAACATCTCCTTGTATATTTTTCTGTAAATCGTGGCTTACAAATTGTTTTCTATATGTCATAGCTATCTCTAAAATTATGTATTCACATTGAAAGGTGAAAACACATTTCAAGAAACACACATGCATAGTTAAATGCATTTTTCTTATTAAAGTATTTTACTTTTAAAAATAATTTTAAAGACACTGCCTCAGGACACTGCTCTTTTGATTTTTTAACTTAGAACCCACCTATTAAAACCCTACATATGGACACAAGGAGGGGAAAAACATACACTGGGGCCTGTCAGGAGTGTGGAGGGAAGCAGAGCATCAGGGTGAATGGCTAATGCCTGCTGGGCTTAATACCTAGGTGATAGGTTGATAGGTGCAGCAAACCACCATGGTATACGTTTACCTATGTAACAAACCTGCACATCTGGCACAGGTATTCCGGAACTTAAAATTAAATTAAATTAAATTAAACAACAACAACAACAAAAACCCTCCTAGATGCAATACTTTGGCATACATGGAACACAATGGCATTTGAGCAAAGAAGGTTTTAAAATAATTGTTTTGCTTTTGTACCTACCTTTTTAAAAATAAGATAATATAGCACAAAAGAGCTTTAGCACTTTTGATATGGTTTGGCTGTGTCCCCACCCAAATCTCATCTTGAATTACAACTCCCATAGTTCCCACGTGTTGTGGGAGGGACCCAGTGGGAGATAATTGAATCATCAGGGCGGTTTCCCCCATACTGTTCTCGTGGTAGTGAATAAGTCTCACGAGAGCTGATGATTTTACAAGGGGTCTCCCCTTTCACTTGGCTCTCTTTCTTTCATTCTTTCTTGCCCACTGCCATGTAAGAAGTCCCTTTGCTCTTCCTTCATCTTCCTCCATGATTATGAGGCCTCCCCGGCCATGTGGAACTGTAAATCCATTAAACCTCTTTTTCTTTATAAATTACCCAGCCTCAGGTATGTCTTTATTAGCAGCATGAGAACGGACTGAGACAACTTTGGAGCCAGGCAGTCCTGAGTTTTGTTTTCACCCATAACACCCAGTAGTTATGTAAATCTGAACAAATTTCTTAAGCTTGTTTTATCTCCATTTTCTAAGCTGGTGGTGATTATAACTAACTTGCAAGTTTGTTGAGATGGTTAAAAGAGGCAATGTCTAAAAGGCCTTGTAGAGTGCATTCTTAGTGCTTGTCTCAGCCAGGTTTGTTCATTGCAAAGAAGAGTCCGACTCAAGCTAGCTCAAGCAAAAGGAGTTACCAATAAAGCTATGTGTGAATGGAAAGTTCACTGAGGAGTCATCAGGGATGAAGACAACTCGAGAAATGGGTTTCCAAACTCCTGCTTCGTTCTCTACCAACCTGCTTCCACTGCTCATTCATAATTTTTGCTCCATATAACTTCTATTTGCATGTATTTTTGACTTACCACATTATGATTACAATATCATATGGTATCTTTCAATGTACCCTTTTGCTTCTGCCTCTGCTAGTAATTGGCAGTTTATTTCATTTGTTTTTAGTCCACATTTGCAGGAGCAATTATCTGATTGACCCAGCTTATCTTTTCAGTTTTTGACCTAGCTTATAGGTAATATAGGTTCCTTGCCAGACTACAACTTGGTTTCTTTAGCTTTGGTTCAATCATTGGTAACTAGAAAAGGAAAGACAGATGGCCCTCCCACGCAATGCCACTGACCCTTCTGCAAGTAATAATGTGGTCGTTTCCTTGGAAGTCACATGAGTTAAGTAGATAAGCCTAACAACTCTAGAATCACAATCTACAAGTTTTTTTTTTTAATTTCATATGCCTGAATGACAAAAGTATTTTGCAGATTCATCATTTGTTCCCTAATCTCATTCTATTTTTCTTTCATCTTAGAGGATTCGGTAATGTTGTCAGGAACAGAAAACAATGATTTACCAATAATTTCAGCAGTCAGTTTACCATTTATTCTGGACCTGTCAGAGTTAGTACAGGTAGATGGCAGAATTGAAAATCAATTTACTGAATTTTTGCTAAGATTCCTTATGGGTTCAGCACAGTGCTAAGTATTGTGGTTCATTTAAGCAAGTGTAAGAATCAGGCCTTATTGTTAAATAATTCAATCTTGTTCATTTATGAGAGAATAATTCAAATGAAATTTTTCTGGAACAATTAATAGGAAGGTAGTGAGAATGGTGGAAAGATAAATGCATTTGAGGCTAGATTCACTCTCACTCTGACTCTATCATTTACCAGTCAGCTTGTTTTCTGGGCCTTAATTAATTTAAGATGAGGGAATTATGGCTGGCTATCTCTAAAATTCATTTCTAACCAACAATCTGTGTTTGTATTTTTTTTCTTATAAGACAAAAAAGATTCATTTTTATTATTTTTCCTCTTGCATTTCACCAATTGAATTTAGAATTTATTGCATAGGATTTATACTACGAAAAATGTGTCCATCCCTTATTCACAACTTGTGAAAAGTCCAATGTCCTCCACAAGATTTTGGTAATATCTTGGTAGGCTTGGTGTTTAAAAAATTATTCTGACACTTGTTAAAATGGTAAGGAAGACTTCATTCTAGATTAATGCACTTGTGATCAACTCTGTTGAAACAGGAGATAGAGCTAAACTCTGAACTCTCCAACAGCAAAAAAAGTTGGAGATTTATAACCAATGAGCAAAGCGAAGAGTATAGTGGATAAGAAAGTAGTAAGAGGAGCATAAAGGGTAGAGGAATTCTTGCTAAACAAATCCAACATGACATGATTCTTGCTAAGATAGGCCAAAGACATACATCAAAGGTTGAGTCCTTGGCACCTGAACCTGATCAGATCGCAAGGGTAATCACATTATGAGATTATATACACATATAAGCACCTGATATAACAAGGGTAATCATATACATACACACACACACACACACCCCTATATATATGCATACATATACACATATATACACATGCACAGATATATAAACGCACACACAAACCTACTGTACTGCCACTTGTATAAAATATATAGCACAATTATGTACAGTATATAATATTTGATCATGATAATAAATATGTTAGTTGGTTTAGGTACTTAGTATATTATACTTTTAATCTATAATTTAGAATGTATTCCTTCTACTTATTAAAAAAAGTTATCTGTAAAACAGCCTCAGGCAGGTCTTTCAGAAGGTATTCCTGAAGAAAGCATTATTACCATAGTAGATGACAACTCCATGCCTGTTATCGCTATTGCCCCGAAGACCTTCCAGTGGCTCAAGATGTTGTTTCAAGCCACCTAGTTTGGATAGTTTGTTACAACAGCCCTTGAAACTCGTATAATAACCCCGGTGTTACTTGATGTTTTCAATATCCAAAATTGTGCTTGGTAATTCCTGAAATAGGAGACTTACTACTTCCAAAGGGAGTATATTCAGTAGTAGTAGAGCCCAATGTGCTGGAATGTCTCAGGAGGATTTTCAATTTGCTTCCTGGACCTTTTGTTTATTATTCTCAAACAGAAGATCGTGACATCTTTAAATCCCACAGTTTCAGCAGCTTTTAATAATAATTTACATGAGGGTGTTTCTACAGCAAGATGTGGAGGCGGAAGACAGTGGTATTGATGATCCTGACTCTGAGTAGGCCTAGGCTAATGTGCATGTTTCTTAGTTTTGAATAAAAAAGTTAAAAAGTTATAAAAATTAAGACAGAGAAAAGTTTGTAGAATAAGGACATAAAGAAAGAAAATATTTTGTACAGTTGTACAATGTGTTTTTGTTTTGAGCTAAGTGTTATTACAAAATAGTCAAAAAGTCTTTAAAAATTTAAGTTTATAAAGTAAAAAAGTCACAGTCAGCTAAGTTTAATTTATTATTGAAGAAAGAAACGTTGTTATAAATTTAATGTAGCCTAAGTTTACAGTGTTATAAAGTCTAAGGTGCTGTACAGTTATATCCTAAGCCTTCACATTCACTCACCACTCACTCACTGACTCACCCAGAACAACTTCTAGTCCTGTAAGCTCCATTCATGGTAAGTGCACTATACAGATGTAACATTTTTATCATTTATACTGTATTTTTACTGTACTTTTTCAACATTTAGGTATGTGTAGATACACAAATATTTACCATTGCGTTACAATTGCCTATAGAATTCAGTACAGTAACATACTGTACAGTTTTTTAGCTTAGGAGCAATAGACTATACCAAATAGCCTAGGTTTGTAGTAGGCTATCCCACCTAAGTTTGTGTAAGTAAACTCTATGATGTTCACACAACAACAAAATTGTTTAATGATGCATGTCTTAGAATAGCTCCCTACATTAAATGACACATGACTGTGCATACACGCCATCATGGGCTGAACCTAAACAGTGAAAAATAATGACTGAAATTCAGTTGGTATACTTTTGAAGTGGTGTGTACAACATACTTTTCCTGTGAATGACACAGAAAGGCACAGAATTTGAAACTTTACTAATAAATAACTAGAATTCTTTGATAGTGATTATACTATTACTTAGCTCTCATTTGATACATGTTTCTAATTCCTTTCTTTATTGTTTTTCACCTGAGCTGGAGTTTATATTTGATCTCCCCTTGACCTCTTATTCTCCTTTTCCCACCTATTCTCCTTAAATAAACTCATTTTCTTGCCCTAGTGAAAATTCAAGTCCTTTTTGATTTCTTATCCCTTTGTGATGATTAGGGTATAAATCTAGAATGCTAGGTGTTATTGTCCCTTCCCTCCACTTTCTCTCCATTTCCAAATTGCAACTAAGCCTTTTCTTTTTTTTTTTTGGGGGGGGGGGTGGAGTCTCACTCTGTTTCCCAGGCTGGAGTGCAATGGCGCGATCTTGGCTCACTGCAACCTCCACCTCCCAGGTTCAAGTAATTCTCCTGCCTCAGCCTCCCAAGTAGCTGGGACTATAGGTGCAAGCCACCACACCCGCCTAGTTTTTGTATTTTTAGTAGAGACAGGGTGGTTTAGTTGGCCAGGCTGGTCTTGATCTCCTGACCTCGTGATCCACCCCCCTTGGCCTCCCAAAGTGCTGGGATTACAGGTGTGAGCCACCACCCCTGTCCCAAGTCTTTTCATTTCTACCACCCAAATATAGGACGGTAGATTAGAGCAGAATGATAGATGGTAGAGTAGGCTTATGGCTTTCCTTGGTTTTGAGTATTTTAAAGGCTTTCCATGACCCATGAAATTGATTCCATATGCCTTAGACAGACATATAAGGCCTTTATGATTTGACTGTCATTTGTCAACTTTACATCAGGTTGTTTCTTCCATTCGTCTCTGTTGTGGTCATATTACCTGACCTTTAATATGTCCATGCCCAGCATTGGCTGTTCTCTGTGCCTGACACACTCTGCATTGTCTGCCACATAAAATTGTACATATCTCACATCAAATATTACCTCCAAGACACCCCTTTCTTTACTGTGGTCTCATATCCCTTTGCATAACATTTTATTTTGGCATATCTCCCATTGTGTAGTAACTTTCTTGCTTGCAAGCCTTTTTCTCCCACTAGATCAAGTGAAAAACATTTTTTATTTGTCTTTGCATCCCTAGCATCCAGTGCAGTGCCTGACACAGAGTATGCGCCCAATTCATGTTTGTTGAATGAAAAATTATTTTGTGTTACAGGCCCTTTTGGCAGAAGTCTAATTTCCTTTTTTTTTTTTTTTTTTTTTTTGAGATGGGGTCTTGCTCTTGTCACCCAGGCTGGAGTGTAATGGTGTGATCTCGGCTCACTGAAACTTCTGCCTCCCAGGTTCAAGTGATTCTCCTCCCTCAGCCTCCCAAGTAGCTGGGATTACAGGTGCCCACCACCATAGCCAGCTAATTTTTTATATTTTGAGTAGAGACACGGTTTCACCATGATGGCCAGGCTGGTCTCGACCTCCTGACCTCAGGTGATCCACCCGCCCCGGCCTCCCAAAGTGCTGGAATTACAGGCGCTAATTCACTTTCTATGACATAGAAAGTACTTTCAAAGAGTAAGCTTCACTGTTGTAAGCTAAACACTTGGTAATTTTAAGAGATTTATCTTTAGTCTAAGATCTGAGAACATAACCCTCATTGCCCTCATTCTTTAAAACCTTCTACC
The DNA here is from genome assembly GCF_000001405.40 of Homo sapiens. NCBI lineage: Eukaryota > Metazoa > Chordata > Mammalia > Primates > Hominidae > Homo > Homo sapiens. The sequence goes on along the minus strand of NC_000007.14, from coordinate 121,466,950 downwards.
ATACCTCCTCCTAATAATAAGACTAGGAATATCATACTCAAGCATCCATTTAAAGTACATGAAACCATTTTACCCAAATGTGAGAATTACGAAATCTTAGTATCCACAGGGATATTAGCTGTAATATAACTGTTATGGGTTGATTTGTGTCCCCAAAAGGATATGTTGAAGTCCTAAGCCTCAGTACCTGTGAATGTAGCCGTAATTGGAAATAGAGTCTTTGTATAGGTAATCAAGTTAAGATGAGGTCATACTGCATTAGAGTGAGCCCTAATCTAATCTGACTGGCGTCCTTATAAGAAAAGAAGAGACACAGACACAGACACACAGGGAGAACGCCATGTGATGACAGAGGCAGAGATTGGAGTGATCCAGCTGCAAGTCATGGAACACCATGGATTTAACCATCAGAAGCTAGGAAGAAACAAGGAAGGATTCCACCCAGATATCAGAGGAAGCACAGGCCTGCTGACACCTTGGTTGCAGACTTCCGGCCTCCAGAACTGGGAGAATAAATTTTTGTTGTTTTAAGCCACCCGATTTGGGTAGTTTGTTACAGCAGCCCTTGAAACTCATATAATAACCCAGGTCTTACCTGATGTTTTCAATATCCAAAATTGTGCTTGGGTAATTCCTGAAATAGGAGACTTACTACCTCCAAAGGGAGTATATTTGTAGTAGTAGAGCCCAGTGTGCTGGAATGTCTCAGGAGGATTTTCAATTTGCTTCCTGGACCTTTTGCTTATTATTCTCAAATGGAAGATCATGACGTCTTTAAATCCCACAGTTTCAGCAGCTTTTAATAATAATTTACATAAGGGGTTTCTACAGCAAATGAGAATTGAAAAATGGAGTCTCCAAGTGTCAGGCATATGGGGCTTGGTGGATAGTTTCCCTGAATTAACTAGAGACACTGGTATTATTTCAGTGCAGCCTTACTCTAATTGAAGGATGGTTTACATTTGTAATTATATCCTTCCAAGAAGAGGGAAATTATGTGGCTGCCTTCCTCCCACCCAGGCCTAATGATATGAAAGGAAAGGTTTGCCAGTTTTCTATTTCCCTGGCTGTCCTGGCACCTATTCGTGTGGAAGACAGGAATAGGTATCAAAAGCCCTAACACTAGATTAAAAGAATTAAAAGTCAAAGCAGCTAAGAATCCAAGGAATATTATGGGATTAAGAGAATGAGAAGGCTGCCTGTAAAGTGCTTAAGCGTCTCCTGGCTATGGAGTAAAAGAGAAAAACATCACTTGAGTTTAGGATTACTGTCTCTCAAGAAAGGACAACAAAAGATTTTTGTGTGTTTTTACTTTCCAATGCCCCATGACGTTGATGCAAGTTGTAATTTGAAGATCATTTCACTTTTTCAGTTAGCAAAGCTTCAGAGAAAACAGCAAATGATTGCCGGGAAAGTAAATGAATACTTCAGACAACTGCCAACAAAGGAAAATAAATGTTATCTCTAAAAGAAGTGAATGTTTACGAAGGTAGAAATATATATAGGATGCTTGGATAGCCACTTAAGTTGTTAATCAATGGGAACACTGAAAATTTCTATAAATGAAAAAGTTGCAATAGTTATTATTCACTTCTCCCTTGATTCTTCACCAATTTAAACCATCTCCCCTACCTCCACCACAACACAAATGATTTATTTGTAAGGCAAAGGGAATTAAAGGAAGCAAAAACATAATTGCCATGCATTATCCTTTACATAAAATAACGAATAGAGAATAGAATAGCTTATTAGCTTTGGTTTTTAGAGTTTTACCTAGAACACTGTTTTATATCATTAAAAATGTGATGTAGTACCATGGACTTTGCCTCACCTGCTCAGCTCCATGCTGTAGTCAGCACCATGATGCTCTCATGACACCGAAGGATATCTCTGAGGGAAGACATGGCTGTTCCCCTCAAAGAAGTTTTCAAATACTGAGGTAAGAGCTCTCAGATGGGCTACTAGGCCTTCTGTATTTACCTCATTTGGGTTTTCTGAACAAAATTCCTTCAGTATAATTTCTAACAGACTCACCTGGACTAACATGGAAAATAAAATTCAATTTTTTTTTTTTTTTTTGAGATGGAGTTTTGCTCTTGTTGCCCAGGCTGGAGTGCAATGGCACAATCTCGGCTCACTGCAACCTCCGTCTCCCGGGTTCAAGTGATTCTCCTGCCTCAGCCTGCCCTGTAGCTGGGATTATAGGTGCCCCCACCACGCCCAACTAATTTTTGTATTTTTAGTAGAGAGGGGGTTTCACTATGTTGGTCAGGCTGGTCTCGAACTCCTGAGCTCAGGTGATCCACCCGCCTCGGCCTCCCAAAGTGCTGGGATTACAGGCGTGAGCCATCACGCAAGGCCCAAGATTCATTTTAAAGGCAGGCCCTATCCCTATTTCACATCACCCAGCCCTGCACAGAACTGGGGGAAGGGGAAGACTTGGAGATATTCCAACCATCACTGCGTCCCTGACTTTAAGCCTATAAAATAGCATGCTGCAGCCTCTGCTACTGTTTTCCAAAATCAAGCATAGAAAGATGCATGTCAAATCGAAATCCAGGGAACAATATAAAAGACTGAACCAATGCTCCATTATTTCCTTCTATTTCTTCTTTGAATTTGGCCATCTGCCTTTTTCATTGTGCTTACTTATTTATTTCTCTGGCTCTTTCTTCCTCATACTTGCAACCAGCTATTGTCTAGGAATCCCTCTGGTCCTCCTACTGAAAACAAGGCATTCTAGTTTATCTGTATTGAATGAAAGCACAAATTACTCAGATTACACCTCCATAGAGATGGCTTCCAAAGAAATCTTTCCTTTTTAATTGACTTTCTAGATGTGAGGCCAAATGTCTCCAGTCCTAGAGATCGCTTATCCTGCTGTTCCACAGTCACGCTAAATATTCTGCAGGAGCGTAACCAAATGTGGTGGTGACAGCCTTCCACCCAGGGGAACCACAGTATATAGAGAATTTACAAAACAGAAATTAGTAAAAGCAACTAAAAATTGGTCTGCTTTATATTATCACCATATGCCAGCAATTCTACACGATAATAGTGGTGGGGCCGTGCATGTGGTGTGGAGGTGGGATGACTGCCATCTGCAGCCCCTACCTCTGGTAAGCCCTCCTCTTGAGTCCTGACATCGTCTATAGATCCCGGGGAAAGGCAATTTTTTTTCCTTGATGATTCCTAGAAGCTCCTTTTTGGTGTCCAGCCAACCCTTTCAACCTTCCATTGACCTATTTGGGGGTGTCCATGCCTCTGGTTCTGGGACACTTTACCCTTGGTCCAAACATTCTTTTCTGTCCTGTTACTCTTATTGAAAGCTGAGGCCGTAACTGTCTTGACCCTAGGTGAACTAGGCTTCTTGCTCTGTGTTCCAAATGAATTTGGGACTTAGTTTTGCCATCATCCAGTAGCTTGAAAAGTGAGTTTTGTGTAAACTTGAAGCTTTGATATATTTATAGTGAAATGATTACTGAAATAAAGATAATTAACATATTCATTACTTCACATACTTAGTTAATCATTTTGTGTGTGTGAGATAAGAACACTTAAGAGCCACCCTTTTGTAAATTTAAAGTATACAATAGAGTATTATTAAATATAGTCACCATTTCTGCTTTTATGAGTTTAACTTGTTTAGATTACATGTATAAGTGAAATAATGCAATATTTGTCTTTCTGTTGCCTGGTTTATTTCACTTAGAATAATGTCCTCCAAGTTCATACCTGTTGTGGCAAATGACAACCTTATTCTCTTTTAATTGCCAACTGAAGCCTTATTTTTGTCTCTCCTTCCTCCATGGAAATCATCTTTTGTTATTTAAAAATACCTTAAACCAGAGTTTCTCAAACCTTAGTCATTCATGTACCACCTTCATAAATTTTTCTGTATCTAATTACCACTTATATTCACCTAATAATTATTAAAATCATGGCTCATTATATCAGTAACTTTAGGAAGCCTAGTTGTAAACATACAGTATCAATAACAGAAATCTTTCCACTAAAGAAAAGGAAGGCTGCTCCTTTTCAGTGCAATATCATTTTGTACATAAATCATTTTTCTAGATGAAAGGCACTATAACTATATTAATTTTGTTATTAACATACTTACTATTGACATTCATTAATGCCTTTTTTGAAAATCAAGAGTGAAGTCTGTGAATTTAGGAACTAATTGTAAAAAATAGGACACTAAATCAGTAACTAGTCATGGTATGGAGCCCTTCTAATTTCTCTACCTTTTTTAAAACACAAAATTTCTAGGAAATTGAGAGATTTGAGGCATCTAATCAGCAGATCGAATTATTAATCAAATTATCTGCGTGATCTAAATTATTTTTTAAACAGGTACTTTTATGTTGCTTGTATAATTTTGTGTAAACTCTCAGTAATTGAAAGTTGAGTAATCTGTACAAGGATCATTGAATACTACTTTGAGATTGACTACATACAAAATCTTCCATTATGTTGAGTGTCATTTTCTAACAAGCTTATTTAAGTTTTAGGTTTTCAAAGTGGCTTTCTCCATGAGCTCCAAAAGTTAGAAATGAACTTCTGTCATCTACTTTTATTCTTTTTTATATATAACCTTTGAATCACAAGAATGATTGTGGAAAGGTATAAGAAAGCTGTAGCTTTCAATAACCACTGCAAACAGTAGGAAATTGAGTTTTTCCAGTGTTTAGTAACTCGAGCAATGATCAAACACTGAAATATCCCGTTCTAGTTATTTTGCTCTTCAGAATTCAATTAATGTCTTTCAAAGACATTGGAAAGCTTTTGAGATAAAATGACTAGAAAATGAAAAGCTTTTGAGATAAAATGACTAGATTCCCCAAACTGTGTTGTTTCTCATCACTCTCATGAGAAAGGGTAATACAAACTCTTGGAATCAAAACAAAAGAGGAAACAAACAGTGACTTGAATGTCTTTTCGTCTGCATGGTGAGATAATACACAGGAACTCCTGAGTTAACGTGGGTTTCTTAAGCTACAGCCTCTCAACATTGAGAAAGCAAAATCACTCCACTATTCTTATTGTTTAATTGTGCCCTCATTGCCTGAACATTGTCAAGGTTAGATTCAAAATCTCTTACACTTCTTGGGATGCAGAATAATCTTATTATTTGGACTTGGGCCCTAATCTGAGTCTAATAAAGTAAGGGATATTTGTGTTTAATGAGTAAAAATGTCATGTGCCATTATTAAATCTTAATGGTTAAAAAATGAGGTGATGTTGCAATAAGACAGAATTGAACATTAGTGATGTTGCGTTTGAATAAACTGGATACTAGCAAACTTTTCTAGTATATGAGCATAAAACATACAGTATTTTAAGAAATACTGTAGTTTTATTAACTGAATTGAAAATGCTTAATTGATGTGATATATTCCAATTTTTAACCCCGATGAAAATTTTATATTTGAAAAGTGAACTAAACCATGACTCTGGTAGAAAAACCAAGAATAAAAAGTGTCATACTGCTAAGGAAATTCAGATTTCTGAGGATTTCAGGGCTGTGTTCTAAAGAGTTGGACAGGCTAGAAGGTGGGCTCCAGGTACATGGGAGGCATTCTTATACAGTGTTGCATCCACATATCAGAGTTAGAGGTAAAAGTTTATCCTTTATTTCTCATATACTAATTTAAAATGTTTTATGTAGGCAATATATGTAATGTAAGAAGTCATATAACAAAAAATAGGCATAAATGAAATGAGAACTGAATAGCTATAAAAATAAGTTAGAAATCTTGAAAATGAAAACAATAGACTTATGGAAATGGAAATCTTAAGAACTGGGAAAGATTCCAGGATGGAGAGATACTAGTGAACTAGAGGACTGCATTGAAGCATTCACTCATAGAACACAGAGACAGAGATTTAAAAAACATAAAAGAAATGGATTAGAAATTATGAGGCTGCAAAATGTTACCAATAGGTGTTACAGAAGAAAAAGAAGGAGCAGGGAAGCAACGTGTGAAGACATAACTAAGAATATTCTTAAACTGAGGAAAAGCAAGAGTCAGGTTGAATGTACTCTCTGATTGTCAAAGATGTGCAAATAAAAACAGATCTACTCCCGGACATTTTCTAATATAACTGCAGAGCATCGAGCTTAAAAGAAAAATCTTAAAATCAACTAGAGAGAAAAATAGATCACTTAAAAAGAAACAATAATTAGAATGACAGAAGACTTTGGAATACTGCAACAGATGTCAGCAATCATATAATAATAAAAGAAAAAGCACAAAAAGTTATAAAAGTATGACATTACGTTCCTAAAGCATAACTTTCAAATATATAAATCAAAAACTGAAATTAAACACAGATGGTGAGAAATCCACTATTATAGGAAAATATTGATTATAGTACTATTTATGATATTAAAAGTTTAAAAACAAAGAAAATGTACATCATTAAGGTAATGATTTAAAACATGATTATATCCATAGCATGAAATATTATTCAGTCATTGAAAGATTGCATATGCATTTGTATATGATTATGTAAGCATAAAGAAACTTATGGAAAAATACATACCAAATTACTTAAGACTTGGGGGGAGACAGTGATGGGCACAGAAACAGATAGTGAAAGAGATGGGAAAATGTTCAAAATTTTAATAACTACAGAAAAAAATAATTTTGATTAAAGGCATTTATCTACAACTTTTCTATAAGAGCTCTGAAGCAAGAAGGAACACAAACTGGTGAAGGGATCCCAGAGTGGGGCACAAAAAAGAGGATCTTTTTGTTTGTTTGTTTGTCTTTGTTTTTGTTTTTGAGATAGAGTCTCACTCTATTGTCCCAAACTGGAGTGCAGTGGGGCAATCTCGGTTCAGTGCAACCACCGCCTCCTAGGCTCAAGCGATTCTCCGGCCTCACCGTCCAGAGTAGATACAACAGGACTGCAAGTGTGCACCACCATGCCTGGCTAATTTGTTTATTTTTAATAGAGACAGGGTTTTGCCATGTTGGCCAGGCTGGTCTCGAACTCCTGACCTCAACTAATCTGCCCACCTCGGCCTCCGAAAGTGCTGGGATTACAGGCGTGAGCCACCGTGACTGGCTGGATCTTTTGTTATATCCACACTAAGGGGACAGAAGGGACTGTCTAACCCTTAGGCAGACAGATAGACATAATTTACCTAATGCGTTGGATAGCTGCACTTTGCCACACTTTCCTGTGTAGGAGGCTTATGTTTTCATTTCTTTCAGTTATTATGTGTGTGTCCTCATTATGCATTTCTGCTTAAAAGTATTTCTTGCTATACATTGATCAAGAAATTAGGGAAAAGCCACCAAATAATTCCATTTTATGCTATATGGTTTTTGAAAAAATAAAAACCATACATTTTTCCAAATGAAAATTTCATTCATAATTCAAGTTTTCTACAGTAGAATTTTAGGATTTAGGTATAATCTCAATACCTCATAATAAGTCTGAGTGCTTTTCTCTTCTGTGTAAAATGCTTTTAAATACTTTACACATCTTATTTTCATTCATTTAACATGGTAAGCACATTAAAGGAGAAAAAAACATTCCCCTTCTTGGATCACTAATGAACCTTGAGTTTCTGGTCTGTAAACTTTAGAGTGTCACAGGACATTATTATGAAACAGCCTGGATTATTGCCAAGTTAGTTTTGGGCTGGCATCTGTGGCATATTGAAATGGAAGAGTCGGCCCTCTTTTAAAATGTGGAAATTGTTCGCAATAATTGGTGAAAATTCCCTACATATTCTACCTATACATTTGAATGGGAAGGCTATACAGAAAACAATAATATCCAGGGTTTTATAATATTAAAAAGAAGTAAAAGGAAAAGCAAAAACAAAAAAATCTTTGTGTAATATTCATCAGCTTTGTGAAAGATAGCTGTCCATCTTCGTGAAAATGAAAACAGAATGAACTATGATTTGAGTCTTATTGGCTGTGAGTATAAATACGTATAAAGCAGAAACCAAATGCAGGCAAAATTCATTAGAATGAGAGTACCCAAGAAACAATTTTAGCAGTTTCTATCCACTTATCCTAGGTCTAGGGACTTAAAGAAAAACCTACGCTTTTATTTGGATAAACTTCAAAAATACACAAAAGTAGAAATAACTATACAAAGAACCCACATGTATCTAACACCCAGCTATAAGGATCATCAACCCACAGCAATCTTGTTTCATATATGCCCCACTCACTTCATACTTTCCCCCACTGGATTATTTTGAAGCAAATTCAAGCATTATTTTATCTACAAATATTTTAATATCTGTCTCTAAAACATAAGGATTCATTCATTTTGGGAATTTTAATATCTGAATTTGTAGAAGAGACTTTTCCATGTGGTTTCAAGGTAAAGGAAGTACTCTGCAAGGAGAAGGCAATATCTTTGTGTACTACAATGGATGCCAAGCATGGTTGCTATTCTTCTTTTGTAGGGATTAAGTGCAATTCCCTATTTTACAATTACACAAACCTTAGTGTTTCTAGCAGCTCTTTCTAACTTCATCTTCGCTTTCTTTTACCTCCTTGGCCCTATTTTTTCATTTCAATAAACTTTCATTACTAAAAAGTCAGGAAAACCATAAGCTATATTAACAGAAAAGAGTGTGAAGATTTCAGAAAGTGTATTTTCACCATAATTTACCTAATTAGTTGTTTCATTTCTGAGCACCCCATTTAAGTGGTGCTACAAAGAACTAGGTGCTATATGAAAGAAGGAAACCAGGATTGTATGTTGGTTAATTTTACATGTCAACTTGACTGGACTAAGAGATGCCCAGATAGCTGGTAAAACATTATTCCTGGGTGTGTCCATGAGGGTGTTTCTGAAAGTGATTAGCACTTGACTTAGTGGACTGAGTCAAGAAGATCTGCCCTCACCAATGTGGTCAGGGATTATCCAAACCACTGAGACCCTAAAAGAACAAAAAATGACTTGTTTTGCCCAGTTATATGTATACCAGGATCCTAGATTGAATCCTGAGCCAGAAAAAAATGTGGCTTTTGTTGTTATTGTTGTTTTGCAATAAAGAATATTATTATGACGATTGATGAAATTACACAAAGTTTTAGATTAAATAATAGTATTATATCAATGTTAATTGTTTTTGATAATTATACTGATTTTGATCATTATACTGTGATTAGGCAAGAAAATATTCTTGTTAATAGGACACTGAAGTATTTAACATTAAAATAGCATTATTGAGAAGGCAGAGCAAGATAGCCAAATAGAATCCTCTAACGATCACCCTCTCCCCAAAAGGAACACCAAGTTGAGCAACTATCCACACAAGAAAGCACCTCTATAAGAACCAAATATCAGGTGAGCAATCACTGTACCTGGTTTTAATATCTTATCAAGGAAAGAAGCACTGAAGAGCATAGGATAAACAGTCTTGAATTGCCAACACCACCCCTTCCCTATACCCCAGCAGTGGCTGCATGGTGTGGAGAAAGAATCTATGTGCTTGGGAGAGGGAGAATGCTGTGACTGTGGGACTTTGCGTTGGAACTCAGTGCTGCCCCGTAACAGTGGAAAGCAATACAGGCAGAATTCTGCCCACACCCACAAATGTGGCATTTAGACCAGCCATAGCCAGAGGGGAGTTGTCCACCCCAGTGGCCAAAACCTGAGTTCTGGCTAGCCCCATCACTGCAGGCTAAAGTACTCTGGGGTCCTAAATAAATTTGGAAGGCAGTCTAGGCCACAAGAACCACAATTTCTGGGCAAGTCCTAGTGCTGTGCTGGGATAGGAGCCAGTCAACTTGAGGTGAATGCAACCTAGAGACACACCAGCTAGGGGCAGACAAGGGAATGCACTAGCTCCCAGGTGACATTTCTCGACATATCCTGGGCCAGAAGTGAACCCACTGCCTTTAAGGAAAGAACCTAGTACTGGCAGGATTTATTACCTGCTGAGAAAAGAGCCTTTCCACCTTGAATAAACATCAGCAGTAGCTAGGCAATTCACCACAGGCCTTGAGTGACACCCAGCACCCTGCTGGCTTCAGGTATGATCCAGTACATTCTCAGCTGTGGTGGCCACAGGGAGAGACTCCTTCTGCTTTAGGAAAGGAGGGGGAAGGTTAAAAAGGACTTCGTCTTGCCACTTTGGTGTCGCAAATAAAATAAAGCACCAAACAGACTCCTGAAGTCCCCAATCCAGGCCTTAGCTCCTGGATGCATTTCTAGACCCACTCTGGGCCAGAAAGGAACCCACTTCCCTGAAGACAGAGACTCAGGCCTGTAGGATTCACCACAAGCTGACTAAAGGGCCCTTGGGCATTGAATAAGCATCAACGGTAGCCAGGCAGTATTCACCATGGGCCTAGGGCACTGATGGCCATGGGGAGAGACTCCTGCTTGAGAAAAAGAGAGGGAAGAATATGAAAGATTTTATCTTGCAACTTGAGTACCAGTTCAGCCACAGTTCAATAAAGCACCAAGTTGATCCCTAAAGTTCCTGACTCTTGGCCTCAGCTCCCAGACAGCATTCCTGGGCCAGAAGGAAACCCACCAACCTGAAGGGAAAGGTACAAGTCTGATAGGATTCACTACCTGCTGACTTGGGCCTTGGGCCTTGAAAACGTATCAGAGGTAGCCAGGTAATGGTCATCACAGTCTTTGGGAGAGGCACAGTACTGTGCTGGCTTAAGGTCTGACCCATAGCAGTCCCAGTGGTGGTAGCCACAGGGGTGTTTGTGCCACCCCTCCCCCAACTCCAGGAAGCTCAGCATGAAGAAAGAGACTCTGTTTGTTTGGGGTAAAGGAAGGGAAGAGAACAACAGACTGTGCCTGGTAATCCAGGGATTCTCCCAGGACTTACCCAAGACCACTAAGGCAGTAACTTTACCAGTCTGCAAGAGTCACAGTGTTACTGGGCTTTGGGTGCCTCCTAATACAGATACAGCTGCAGTGACCAAACACTTATATCACAGCACTCAATTCCCTTTGAATAATTGGAAAGTCTTCTCAAGAAGGACAGGTTACAAACAAGCCCAGACTGTGAAGATTACAATAAGTACCTAACTCTTCAATGCTCAGTCTTCAATGAACATCCACAAGCATCAAGACCATCCAAGAAAGCACGACTTCACCAAACGAACCAAATAAGGCACCAGTGCCCAACCCCAGAATGACAGAGATATTTGACCTTTCAGACAGGGAAATCAAAATAGCTCTTTCGATGGCACTCGATTAATTCAAGAAAACACAGAGAAGGAATTAAAAATCCTATTGAATATATTTAACAGAAAGATTGAAATAATTTTAAAAAAATCACGAGAAATTCAAGAGTTGAAAAATTCAGTTGGCATACTGAAGAATGTGTCACATCTCTGAACAGCAGAATAATTAAGCAGAAGAAAGAATGAGTGAGCTTGAAGACAGGCTCTTTGAAAATACACAGTCAGAGAAGATAAAAGAAAAAAGAATAAAAAAGAATGAAGCACACCTATAAAGATCTAGAAAATAGCCTCAAAAGGACAAATCTAAGGACAAATCCTTAAGGAGGAGGTAAAGAGCAAGATTGGGATAGAAAGTGTATTCAGAGGGATAATAACAGAGAACTTTCCAAACGTAGAGATATCAATATTCAACTACAAGAATGTTATAGAACACCAAGCAGATGTAACTCAAATAAGACTATCTCAAGACATTTAACAAACTTCCAAAGGTCAAGGATAAAGAAAGAATCCTAAAAGCAGTAGGAGAAAAAAAATAAATAAATAATATACAAAGGAGATCTGATATGTCTGGCAGCAGACTTCTCAGTAGAAACCTTGTAAGCCAGCAGAGAGTGGCATGATACACTTAAAGTGCTGAAGGAAAAAATAAAAATTCTTATACTAGAATAGTATATCCAGTGAAAATATTCTTCAAACATCAAGGAGAAATAGAGACTTTCCCAGAAAAACAAAAGCTGAAGGATTTCATCAACACTAGACTGCCCTATAAGAAATGCTAAAGGGGTTTTTCAATCTGAAAGAAAAAGATAGCAAGGAGAAATAAGAAATCATCTAAAGGCACAAAACAGCAAGTACACAGAAAAGTACAGAATATTATAATACTGTAACTGTGGTGTGTAAACTCATATCTTGAGTAGGAAGACTAAAAATGAACCAATAAAAAATAATAGCTACAACAACTTCTAAAGATGTAGACAGTATAATAAGATATAAATAGAAATAATAAAAAGTTTAAAAGTTGGTTGGGGGAACGAAGTTCAACTGTAGAGTTTATATTAGTTTTCTCTTTGCCTGTGTGTTAGTTGTTCAGTTGTTTTGGGTTTTGTTTGTAATCAGTGTTAAGTTGTCATCAGTTTTAAATAATGGGTTACAACATGTTATTTGCAAGCCTCGTGGTAACCTGAAATCAAAAAACTTACAACAGACTCAAAAAAAGGCAAGAAATTAAAACATACCACTGGAGAAAATCACCTTCACAAAAAGGAAAACAGGAAGGAAAGAAAGAAGAGAAGTCAGAAAACCAATTTTAAAATGGCAAGAGTAAATTCTCATCACCAATAACATTGAATGTAAATGGACTAAACTTTCCAATCAAAAGACATAAAGTGGATAAAAAAATCAAGCTGAATGGATAAAATAGCAAGTCCCAACTATCTTCTCCCTATAAGAAACATGCTTCACATATAAAGACACACATAGGCTGAAAATAAAGTGATGAAAAAAGATAGTCCATGCAAATTGAAACTGAAAAAAAACATAGAAACAAAGAAGGTTATTTCATATTGATAAAGGGGTAGATTTAACAAGGGAATACAACAATTGTAAATATATATGCATCCAACACTGGAGCATTCACATATATAAAGCAAATATTCCTAGAGCTAAAGAGAGAAATAGACCCAATGACATTCTTCACAGAGATTGAAAAAATAATCCTGTAATTTATATGGAACCATGAATGACCCAGAATAGCCAAAGCCATCCTGAGCAAAAAGAACAAAACTGGAAAAATTATTTTACCTGACTTCGACTGATACCAATGAGTGATAGTAACCAAAACAGCATTGTGCTGGCATAAAAATAGACGCAGAAACCAATGGAACAGAATAGACCACCCAGAAATAAGACCATATATCTACAGTTAGCTCATTTTTGACAAAGGTGCCTTCAATAAATGGTCCTGGGAAAACTGGATATCTGTATGCAGAAGAATGAAACTAGACCTCTATCTCGCACCATATACAAAAAATCAAATCTAAAATGGATTAAACACTTAAATTTAAGAACTCAAAACTATGAAAACTACTAAAAGAAAATATTGAAGAAACTCTCCAGGACATTGGTCTGGGCAATGATTTCTTGGTCACTACTCTACAAGCACAGACAAATAAAGCAAAAATGGACAGATGTAATTATAACAAGTTTAAAAGCCTCTGCACAGCAAAGGAAACAATCAACAAAGTGAAGAGATGACCTACAGCATGGGAGAAAATATTTTCAAACTCTTCATCTGACAAGGGATTAATAAACAGAATGTATAAGTAACTCAGACACCCAATAGGAAAACATCTAACAATTTGATCAAAAATCAAACAATCTGATTTTTTAAATTAGCAAAAGTTCTGGAAAGACTTTCCTCAAAGAAGACATACAAAAGGCAATCAGGTGTAAGAAAAGATGCTCAACATCATTGATCATCAGAGAGATGCAATTCAAAACTACAACGAGATAATCATCTCATCCCACTTAAAATGGCTTTTATACAAAAGACAGGCAATAACAAATGTTGGCAAGGTTGTGGAGAAAAGGGAACTCTCATACACTGTTGGTGGGGATGGACATTAGTACAATCACTATAAAGAACAGTATGGAGGTTCTTCAAAAAATCTAAAAACAGAACTTCCATATGACCCAACAATCCCACTGCTAGGTATATACTCAAAAGAAAGGAAATCAGTGTATAAAAGAGATATCTGCACTTCCATGTTTATTGCGGTACTATTCACAATAGCCAAGATTTGTAAGTAACCTAAGTGTCCATCGACAGACAAATAAAGATATGGTACATATACATAATGGAGTACTATTCAGCCACAAAAAAGAATGAGATCCTTTAATTTGCACTAACATGGACGAAACAGGAATATTATGTTGAGTGAAATAAGCCGGACACAGAATGACAAACTTATGTTCTCACTCATTTTGGGGAGCTAAAATTTAAAACATTTGAACTCATGGAGATAGTAGCATGGTGGTTACCAGAGGCTAGGAAGGGTAACAGCAGGTGAGGGAGTGAAGATGATTTGTGGGTACAAAAATATAGTTAGATAGAATGAATAAGATCTAGTATGTGATAACATTACAGGGTGACTACAGTCAACAATAATTTCCTGTGCATTTTAAAATAACTGTAAGAGTATAATTGGAATGTTTGTAATGCAAAAATATGATAAATTCTTAAGAGATGATGGATGCTCCATTTACCCTGATGTGATTATTAAGGACTGTATGCCTGAATCAAAATACCTCATGTACCCCATAAATATATACACATACTATGTACCTATAAAAGTTTAAAATAAATGAAATATAATAGCATCATGGAGAGACAGTAAATATGATAAAATGTCAATGATTGAAGACATGTGAGCTTTTAATACTATTGCAACTCTTCCATAAGTTTGAAATTATTTCCAAATAAAAATATATACCTAAAGACTTTATGTATATTTCATCAATTTTCATAATATGCTTTCATGCAAATAAATCATATACAGATATGCATAGGAAAGAATAAGAGGTGGGAAGGTAGGGTTATTGAGTATAGAGAACTCCTTTTTGGAATTTTGCTGTAAAATAAAGGGGAGAAATGAAACAGTGGCTGAGATGTTGGAATTAAGAAGGTTTGCTGTAATTGCTGTTATTTGAATGAGTGACATTAAAGCAAGTATATAATAGAAAATGAGGAAAATTCAACCGAGGAAGGACAATGGATGAGTCACGAGAAAGAGATAATATTTTCAGAAGCAAAACCCTTCCACAGCCAAGTAGTAATGAGTTCTGGTGCCTACATAGGGCTTGGCCTTATATTACAGCATGGACAGTTCATCTACTGTAAAGGAAGGGACAGCCCGGGTGTGAATGCAGTTAGTTTAGTCTATGCTATTTGATGTTAGAGGGACAAGAAGTACTTTTCTAAGAGCTCCTATTTTCTCAGTACAGTTAGAAGCAAGGTCTCTAGCTACAACTGAAAAGAGGGAGGAATGATGAAAATTTAAGATTACTACAAAGACAAAAGCAGAAGTGCAAGAAAGCAGAGCTCAGAGGAAGAAAGCAACAATAAAGTCAGCAGACAAGTATTTATAAATGAACCATGAAGCTACCTTACTTTTAAGAGGAAATAAAACTATTTAGTCATACAGCACTTAACGATGGGAATACATTCCGAGAAATGTGTTGTTAGGTGACTTTTGTGGTTGTACAAACATCATAGAGTGTACTTACACAAACCTAGATGGTATAGCCTACTACACATCTACCCTATATGGTACAGGCTATTGCTCCCAGGCTACAAACCTGTATAGCATGTTGCTGTACTCAATATGGTAGGCAGTTGTAATACAATGCTGTTTGCATATCCAAACAGATCTAAACATTAGAAAAGGTAAGTAAAAATATGGTTCTATAATCCTATGGAACCACCATTGTATATGTAGTCTGTCACTGATGAAAATGTCATTATAAAGCACATAACTATGTTTATTTTTTATTTTCAGAGGCCCATAAGTGGGTAAATGTTCCTAAGGACAAAGATATCTATAAATCTGCAGAGTGTACATCTGTAAGAATAGAAGACTGATTCCTCGCTCACATCCTCACTGATCTAATAACTACTCTGGCTTCCAAGATGCTTCAAAAACTAAACTCAGCAAAAAGTGCAGACCAAATATGTGGCAGAAGTTGAACTGAGCTCGTTAAGTTTCATATTATGTATATCCTTTAATATAGCCTTTTAATGCCAATAAGTGTGTCATGCATAGATGAAATGCTAAACTGTCTTATGGCTTAGCAGTATTGGCCTTGGTCTTAGATGGGTATTTAAAACTCAGCCTCTCTTAAGACTTTTCTTCTCTGCCAAAACCTGCTTAGTCACCATCTAGGGTAACCCAAGGTTTTCTTGCTGTCCCCATACAAATTCACTTGAGAAGGTATTCACTGTCCTAGGCAAAGAGCTAAGTAACAATTAATCTATTTCTGAGGAAAAGAACACATAAGTTAGTCATATAGTGCCAGCATGTCTGAGGAAAATGCTTTTAATCAAATAATACTGAAATGTATAATAAGAAATATGATGAGAAGAGACTGGGATTCCACTAAGATGCTTCCCACCCATCAAATTATTACTAAAATATGATGATCTACCAAAGTGCTTTATGCTTCAATCACAGAAACCAATTCAAGCTTAGACCCAGACTTAAGGATGGTCCAAAGATTATGCCACTAGCCATATGTAAAGTTAAATAAAAGTACAAATCCTGTTTCTCAGTTGCATGAGCTGTTTCCAATACTCAGTAGTCACATGTGGCTGATAGCTACCATATTAGTGCAGATATAGAACATTCTGTCATCACAGAAAGTTCTACTGGGCAGCACTGGTCCAAACCATGGAAAGCCCCTGTGGTTTACTCCATTTTTTAAATTGTTACTGGTCCCAGGGAAGCATAAAGAAATATGAACTTGTGCTGTAACCTCAGAACTACCTTGGACTTCCAGCTGACCCCAAACTGGATCTGACTCAGGATAGACCCACATCAACCATCAGAGTTTAGGAGGAGGAGGAAGCAATACTTACCTCAAATGACAAAGTGATGCCTGGGAAAGTCCTTTTAAAACTATGAAGTCCTGTGCAAAAATATTCTTTCCATTTTCCTAAGCAATTGCCTTCACTTTGTTGTGGGGCTCTCCCTAGATTATTATATTCATTGCTGGACTCTAGAGCTTGAGATAAATGCAGAAAATTTGGAGGCAGTTCAGAGGAGACACTCAAAGATGATGAAAGGTTTGAGAAATAAAATTTTGTGGCTAAAAAAACAGAAGTCATCCATCCCGGAAGAAAATTGTAAGATTATCTTCAAGCATAAGCATACATATTATATAGAGGATTATGTCCAGCTACTTTGAAAAGCTGCAGACAAAAGAATTAAATTAAATTAAATTAACAGCATAAAAGTAAATTTCCTGATAATGATGGCTGCGCTGAAACAGGCTATCAAAGAAGTTTAAGAAATCTTCTCTGGATGTATTTGAAAGCAGAAAAGTTTCCACGTAAACATTTTCCAGTAACGACTCCTTCTGAGGAAAGCAGTCAGATATAATTCATTATGTACACATTCTCATGTTTTGTAACATGTGCATATCTGGTCCCAGCTGGTAGGCCTAGGGATTGCTTCTGGCTCCTATCATGCCACCTACAGTCAGGCATGTGGCTACTATGAGAGCCCTATTCAACAAAGCTACTGCATTCTCAGAGTAATTATATTAGAAGATAAGGTCATTCTTTCCCCAGAACCCACTTCTCCTTTCCTTATAACATATCTGATTATTTTTCTTGTGGTACCATCCTTCTCCTATCCTATACAGTCCTGGTCTGGTTAATCAGAGCATCCATTCTCCCTGGCCACAGTGATTGGTTCAGAAGTAACAAGTAACCCAAATCAATCCAATACGGCTTGACTCCAGGACTTTTTTGTTGTTGTTGTTCAAACTGTTGGGAGCAGATAATCACTCTCTGTGGCATATTTGGAAATATGAGATTTAAGCCTGGTTCTAGTGGTCTGGGTTGGGTTGCCATTACATGCAGAGTACAACAACAAAGTGATCCTGTAGGAACTTTATTAAATTTATCCAGAGCAAAAGCATTGGCTCTCCTGCCAGGAAGCAAGTAGCTAGAGATGGTGAGCAACCTGCTAAGCCACAGAGCTAGAGAAGAGGAGAGAAGGAAAGAAGGAAAAGAAGGCCACTCTTTGGTACACAGGTTTTCTCAATTCATCACCTTCTTTACAGCACCACACTGTCTCTCCTTCAATGGTCCTTGGCCCTACCACAGTTCTTTGGGACAAATAAGCAATCTTCTCCTCCTAAACAGCTTCCTCTGTCCCTAATTCAGTTATCACTGCTCCATGTTTTCCCTCTGCTAAACATTTACTCAAACTTCTCAACCACTGATGTCCTCTTTCCTGTTTGTCCTTCGAGGATTTTTTGGTTTGTTTTTGTGTTGTTGTTGTTTTGAGACGAGTCTCGCTCTGTCTCCCAGGCTGGAGTGCTGTGGCGCAATCTTGGCTCACCGTAATCTCTGCCTCCCAAATTCAAGCCATTCTCCTGCCTCTGCCTCCCTAGTAGTGGGATTACATGCGTGCACCACCACGGCCAGCTAAT
Source organism: Homo sapiens (assembly GCF_000001405.40). Classification (NCBI taxonomy): domain Eukaryota; kingdom Metazoa; phylum Chordata; class Mammalia; order Primates; family Hominidae; genus Homo; species Homo sapiens. The sequence goes on along the minus strand of NC_000007.14, from coordinate 121,448,534 downwards.
TTTTGTATTTTTAGCAGAGGCGGGGTTTCGCCATGTTGGCCAGGCTAATCTCGAACTCCTGGCCTTAAGAGATCCACCAGCCTCGCCCTCCCAAAGTGCTGGGATTACAGGTGTGAGCCACTGTGCCGGCCCTTCGAGTATTTTTGTTGTTGTTGTTTACCATCATTTTAGAGTGGTTTCAGGAAGGCAATAAATGTTCATGGTCAATCCATCATGTTTAAATGACTTTTATGTTAAGAACAAGCCAATATATCAAGAAGAATTAAAATAGAATGAAGGAGAAAGAAAGAATCAAAGCAGGACATAATGTCTGCTAGCTGTTGTCATGAACATAATTGCAGGAACTAGGATGCACTTACTCAAGCAGCTCGGGAAACCCATTATGCACTCGGAAATCCTTAGAGTAACAATGCTTTAGTGAGTCTGGAGACCAAATCCTGCTGGGTCCAGTCAGACACCCAGTCTGTAGATGTTTGAAACCGAAATTTTCCCCTGGTCCAGTGAGGGTGAGAAGTGCTTTAATTTGGTTGTTTTGTCTTTCTTTTTTTCTACTTTTGGATTGATTTCAGGTCTCTTCTCTTAGGCGTTTTGTTTGTTTAACAAATATTTACTAAGCAACCAATAGGCACACACAGTATTATATTATTTCCTAAAATACAATAAGGAAGACTCAAATCTTGCTTCAAAAAAAAAATCAATTTTTTGGAGAAAGTAACCTTTCTACTAAGTTATTTTGAAAGAGGAGGGCAGAGCAGGGAAGGAGATGGAGATGGGGTGGGTGGGGCAGTGGTTACAGGAACAAGAGGAAATGTTTGGGAGGAGTCAACCCTCTGGTGCCAAATTGGAACACTGATGTTTCCAGATGTCTCTTTAAAATCCCGTCTCACTAGCAGGATTAATATTGAAGAGACTTACCCAGATTTGAGGGTGGAAGAATTGGCCTGGTGAAGGTATTATTACTAAAATACACAATTTCACTCTATTCTTGAGCTATAATCTACAATATTTTGTGACCCTTCACTTCCTCATTTAAAATCTCAAAGGTTGTTTTCAGTTCTAAAATTTTAGTATTTGAACCCAAATTCTGGCTTCTGGGCAATCTTCCCATGGTCTTTCTATTTATATCACATCCTGTCCCCAAGCCATTGAATTTTTTTACTCTAACTGATTTGGAATTCTACATTACTTATTTCAGTCCCCACCCTAAACATATTTTTTCTTCCCAATTTATTCTTAAGGTTGAAATAAAGTTCGAATGAAACCTAGCAACACATAAACCTAGAGAAAAGAAGTAAATAATTTATTTTCTGGTATAGAGGAAACTATTTGTAGCTAGAAATAAACCAAATGTTCTCAAATCTGAGTGGAATTATATTAATTATATTTTTTTTCAAGAATATTCTGAAATGGGATTTTTCTGACCTAAATGAATCATCCAACTGTTATGATAATAGCCCTCCAAAGCTAAGGAAGCCCAGATTTTTGATACTATAATGTACTGCAGAGTCATCTATCATATAATTTGAACAACAATCTCTAATTGTGTTTTCCTTCATAACCAAAAAGAACATCTTAAAATTGGATGAGTTTGTGAAATGGTCAGGAATTCTTCATTTTTGTTCTTTGAGTATTAGAATCATCCAAGATTATACCCAAAGACACTTTAATTATAATGATAACATTCACTGAAAAAAAAAAGAGTGCTATGTAAGCAGGGCGTCCCATGTTTTTTTGCATTATGACACACATGAAAGCTGATTATATTTGCACAGCATGCTGGGATCAACTTAGAGTTGCCTCAGCGAGAAGCAACAAACCTAATGGTGGTAGGCGCCTGCTAGCTGTGAAACTAGTATTTCAGGATTCTGGTTACACATCCAAGGCATTAGAGAAGTTTAGGAGTAGAGCATAGACTTTCCTTAGAGAGTTGCCTGAAACTCCCTTTAATCTTCTTCTTAATCGGGACACCCATCTCTCTACTCCTACCTCACTCCCCGGCAAAACTGCATTTTTGCCCAAGGTGGGCTAAGCATACATAATTTTATTTTTACATTGGTTTAGTACATTTTAAAAATCAAAAGAAAATAACACATGAAAATAGAATGTGGGTATTTTGCATTAGAGTAAGTTGGTTGCATTATACATATGATTTTAGAGATAGAGCTGCTATGAGGAATTGGCAATAAAATTGTTGACCTTCACAGTCTATGTTTAGTGATCACATCAACCATAAGTTCTCAATGTGTTATCATCCATGTGACTTGAGTTGCATATCTAATCAAAAGCCCACTGAGACATTATGAATTCAAGGAAAATGTCTATATTATTACCCAGGAGATTAATAAAATTTCCTAAATTCTCTGTTTATGGCCTCCTACTGACTTAGTTTTATGAAAGATGCTATAAAGATAATTAAATTAGATGCTAGCTAGTGACTGCTATTGTACAGGACTTTCATTTCCATTTTATAGAACGAAACAGTGTTGAAGAAAAGAGTTGTGATAAATGGTATATATTCTGCTTTGTTTTGCAGAAATTAATTTTGTAATATAAAAGAAAAATATAATTATTATGTTATCTTTAGAAAATAAGTAAAGGAAGGCCTATGGTAACTTCCTCAGATGACTTATTCAAAGATCTTTTTCTTTTTTTATTTGAGACGGAGTTTCGTTCTTGTTGCTTAGGCTGGAGTGCAATGGCGAGATCTCGGCTCACCACAACCTTCACCTCCCAGGTTCAAGTGACTCTCCTGCTTCAGCTTCCTGACTAGCTGGGATTACAGGCATGTGCCACCACGCCTGGCTAATTTTTTGTATTTTTAATAGAGACGGGTTTTCTCCATGTTGATCAGGCTGGTCTCGAACTCCCGACCTCAGGTGATCCACCCATCTCGGCCTCCCAAAGTGCTGGGATTACAGGCGTGAACCACTGTGCCCAGCGACTTTTGTCTTATAAAATAAAATATAGATTCAAAATCCTAACAACATATAATGATGGCTAGAATATATCAAGTTCTGGGTGCCAGATTTCATGCCAACAATTTTCCAAAACCTTCCAAACACATTTCATCTTCAGAACAATACTATGAGGTGGGCACATTTATCTCTATCATACAAATAAGAAAGCTGAAACTAAACAAAATTACCTGGCCAGTTTGTGGACATAGACAGAACCAGCAGAGGTTGAGCAAGATTAAGAAGCAGCTTGTCTGATCCAAGTGCCTGCAATCTTGATCACATTGCCTTAGGCCCAACCATTGCAAAAAATCAACCTAACAAACTAGCATATTTTACGATGATATTGACCAAATTTCAGGAGTTGCCAAACTTTGTTCCACATTAGAATCACTTGGGGAAATTGTATGATTCCTATTCTCATCCCCTACCAATTAAATCATCATGTCTGGTAGAGTTAGGGGCAACCAAATATCAGTATTATTACAGATTCCTAAGTGATTCCCTTTGCCCAAAATTTGGGGACCGCTGACCAATGCAGATTTTGGAGGTCTCAGCTTACAGCTGGTCCTACAGTCCTAAATTTCACTTAGGAGAAACCATTGTGCTTCAGGTTCTGGAGCTAGACACTTAACTATAGGCTATGACTAGTCCCTATATGTGTAAATCTTCTTGTCTCCCACCTCCCCCCAACCAAAAAAAATTTCTACAAGTGCACTATTTAATTATTAGGAGATGCACAGGTGGACTGAGCAATGGTAGCATTTTTTTTTTTTTTTTTGATGCACTACAGCAATATTGGCTAAGCATACAGAGAAGGGAGAGAGAGATTTGGCAATTAGCAGTTATTTTGATACTGTTAGGCAGCCAAATAGGAAAATTAGGTCCCCCCAAAATCCACTTTGGAATCTAATTATCCAATTTGACTCTTTACCGTGATCAAGTTAGTCAACAAATTGCCTTTTCACTTGTCCTGTGTTTTCCAGGATATTATAAATGAAAATTTGAAAACTTCCTTTTGCTATTTTTGCAGAAGGTAGAAATTGAAAAGAAACTTACAAGTCATTTGGGCCAAGCCGTCATTTTAGGCTGAGGAAGTGAGGCTACAGATTACTGCCTTATTCTCCCAACAAAGCAACCGCAGCTCTCAGGGTCTCCTGCTACAGCTTACTATCTCAGGAAAAAACCCAGGGGTGACACTGTGCCTAAAGGGGGCTGTTGGGATTCTAGACAGAGGCAGTATCTCTGGGGAGGGACATGTGATTCTGATACCCATGATGTTTGAATCCCTTGGGTCGGTGATGCATTCTATTTATAGAAAAATATAGAAAAACGAAATATAGAATATAGAAATATATTCTGTATTCCGTATACAGAATATAGGAATATAGTTCTGTATTCCGAATACAGAATATAGGAATATAGTTCTGTATTCCGAATACAGACTATAGGAATATAATTCTGTATTCGGAATACAGACTATAGGAATATAATTCTGTATTCGGAATACAGACTATAGGAATATAATTCTGTATTCGGAATACAGACTATAGGAATATAATTCTGTATTCGGAATACAGAATATAGGAATATAAATCTGTATTCGGAATACAGAATATAGGAATATAATTCTGTATTCCGAATATAGAATATAGGAATATATTCTATATTCCGAATATAGAATTGCGTTCTTCTGTATTCCGAATATAGAATTGCGTTCTTCTGTATTCCGAATATAGAATTGCGTTCTTCTGTATTCCGAATATAGAATTGCGTTCTTCTGTATTCCGAATATAGAATTGCGTTCTTCTGTATTCCGAATATAGAATTGCGTTCTTCTGTATTCCGAATATAGAATTGCGTTCTTCTGTATTCCGAATATAGAATTGCGTTCTTCTGTATTCCGAATATAGAATTGCGTTCTTCTGTATTCCGAATATAGAATTGCGTTCTTCTGTATTCCGAATATAGAATTGCGTTCTTCTGTATTCCGAATATAGAATTGCGTTCTTCTGTATTCCGAATATAGAATTGCGTTCTTCTGTATTCCGAATATAGAATTGCGTTCTTCTGTATTCCGAATATAGAATTGCGTTCTTCTGTATTCCGAATATAGAATTGTGTTATTCTATATTCTCAATTGTATTCTATATTCCGAATATAGAATTTTTAATAGAGATGGGGTTTCTCCATGTCTGTATTAAATATATCTCTATTAAATATTAAATTTAATATTTAATATTTAATGTCTCCATGTCTCTATTAAATATTAAAAATTATATATTCAGAATCATATTCTATGTTCTGAATATAGAATATATGAAAATAAATATAGAAAACAATATGGATATAGAAAAACAGAAATAAAACATAATTCGGAGAAAGGTTGTCTATCAGAATTCACTCTCAGTATTGGCTGTGTTACACATACTTGGCCTTTCTATGGTGACTCAGCTACCTTCCTAATCAAGGCCTTTCAGGGGAGGGGCTGAGGAGTAAAAGCCTCTGCTGTCAATGCCCTACAGATCGTGAGGTGTTAAGAGGGTGGTTTCCTTCCTTGGCATCAATGCCTACAATCTAGGGCATCCACCTGCAGGCCTAGATGATTTGTGACCTCAGAATTGTTGTGGTTCCTGGACCTTTGTTGATGTAGTTTACCTTGCATCCCTCAGGCAAAACTAGAGGGGCTGGGCAAGGAAGGGAAGAAGGAGTCAGGCCTGCAGTAGCTTCTTGGGGTTTCTACCTCTGATCCTCCCTGCACAACTGTAATGTAACATGCTGGCTTCCAAAAGTGTAATTACTTATGTTTTTTTAACTACAATTATTCTCTTAAGAGCATCTATATAGAGGGGAAAAAGGAAAATTAACCAACCAAACTTAAGTTTTCCCTTGAATTACAAAAAAAAAAAAAAATTAATGATTATTCACTTTATAGAAGCAAAACTTTACTGTGTCTTAATATGACCAAATAAAAACTTAACCAAAAACAATAAAAATAAAAATAAAAATAAACCAGGGCCGGGCACAGTGGCTCACACCTGTAATCCTAGCACTTTGGGAGGCCAAGGTGGGTGGATCACCTGAGGTCGGGAGTTCCAGACCAGCCTGACCAACATGGAGAAACCCATCTCCACTAAAAATACAAAATTAGCCAGGTGTCGTGGCAGGCACCTGTAATCCCAGCTACTCAGGAGGCTGAAGCAGGAGAGTCACTTGAAACCAGGAAGCGGAGGTTGTGGTGAGCCGAGATCTCACCATTGCACTCCAGCCTAAGCAACAAGAGCGAAATTCCGTCAAAAACAAAACAAAACAAACAAAACAAAAAACAGTTCATTAATGACTGTACTACCAATAGATTCATTACCATGCTAGAAATGCTTCATTTACTCCCCATGGTAAGTGCTGTAGAACAACACTACACTATTAAAGAGACTGAAATTGCATTAATGCGGGCTAAGATACTAGTTAGCTCTTTTGGCAAATCACTGGATTTGTTTGTATTGAACTTACTGTGAACAAAATCCCTGGCTTTTTTCCCACATCTTAGGCCAGTCAACATGGCTCTTTCAAAACATACCTGAATATAATTGGTTTATTTGTGTACACTTTTTTTATTGGCTCCACACAAATGTGCTACCTAGGATGCTAGAAACAGGTGGGTTGTCTTTCCTGTGTCTGTATTTAGGCCTTTATAAATTTCTATATATGTAAACTGTCCTCTCCTTTTAATATCCATCTATCTCTCCCCACAGATGACTAATAGAAACCTTATCCACCTTCAGCTGAAAAGCTCCCTTCTCTCTTTTTCTTTATTTTACGATTTTGTGCAAAAGCCCATTACCCACCCCTTAAAACTCTCTGAAATTTTGATTCTACCCATCCCAAGCTCATCTCTCCCTATGCAAAATCCTTCCCTCTATGACTCTCTTTGGCAACAATGCATTTGTAGGAAGAAGACAAAATTCCTATTAAAAAAGATGACTCAAGCTTGCTTCCATAATATAGGTCAGCCATATCCTGATGATTTTGTTGTTTAGTTTCATTTAGTTAAATGTAGGTAGGCCCTAGAGCTCAGTTAGAATTGGAATGGTTGAGAGAATGAAGAAATAAAATTCTTTGCATAATTAAGAATTGTTAAAAAAAAATGTTCCCTTGGAAGACAAGGGAGACAAAGAATTGGGGATCCTAGGACTGGAAGAGAAGCTTTAGAAGAAAGATTTAAATAGAGGGCAAGAAAGCCCTGAGGGGAAAAAAAGAGAAAGTGAAAGTAAGAATACCCCTCTGATAAGGATATTTAGGGCACTTTAAAAAAAGTAATAGTGCTGAAGAGGTTGTTTATGAGTGCACCAACCAGCCACCTCTGTCCCTTTCCCGGATGATCCCGAAAATGAAGCTTCCTGGCCAGGAAAACAAAACGGCCGTGGTTGTGGGAACCATAACAGATGACGTGTGGGTTCAGGAGGTGCCCAAACTGAAGGTGTGTGCACTGGGCGTGACCAGCCGGGCCCGCAGCCACATCTTCAGGGTGGGGGGCAAGAACCTCACTTTCGACCAGCTGGCCCTGGACTCCCCCAAGGTCTGCGGCACCGTCCTGCTCTCAGGTCCTCGCAAGGGTCGAGAGGTGTACTGGCATTTCGACAAGGCCCTGGGAACCCCACACAGCCACACCAAACCCTACGTCCGCTCCAAGGGCCGGAAGTTCGAGTATGCCAGAGGCCAAGGGGCCAGCCAAGGCTACAAAAACTAACCCTGGATCCTACCTTCTTTTTTCTTTTTTTTTAATTTTTTATTATTATACTTTAAGTTCTAGGGTACATGTGCACAATGTGCAGGTTTGTTACATATGTATACATGTGCCATGTTGGTGTGCTGCACCCATTAATTCGTCATTTACATTAGGTATATCTCCTAATGATATCCCTCCCCCCTCCCCCCATCCCACGACAGGCCCCAGTGTGTGATGTTCCCCTTCCTGTGTCCAAGTGTTCTCATTGTTCCATTCCCACCTATGAGTGAGAACATGCGGTGTTTGGTTTTTTGTCCTTGCGACAGTTTGCTGAGAATGATGGTTTCCAGCTTCATCCATGTCCCTACAAAGGACATGAACTCATCATTTTTTATAGCTACATAGTATTCCATGGTGTGTATGTGCCACATTTTCTTAATCCAGTCTATCACTGATGGACTTTTGGGTTGGTTCCAGGTCTTTGCTATTGTGAATAGTGCCACAATAAACATACGTGTGCATGTGTCTTGATAGCAGCATGAGTTATAATCCTTTGGGTATATACCCAGTAATGGGATTGCTGGGTCAAATGGTATTTCTAGTTCTAGATTCTTGAGGAATCGCCATGCTGTCTTCCACAATGGTTGAACTAGTTTACAGTCCCACCAACAGTGTAAAAGTGTTCCTATTTCTCCACATCCTCTCCAGCACCTGTTTCCTGACTTTTTAATGATCGCCATTCTAATGGTGTGAGACGGTATCTCATTGTGGTTTTGATTTGCATTTCTCTGATGGCCAGTGATGATGAGCATTTTTTCAAGTGTCTGTTGGCTGTGTAAATGTCTTCTTTTGAGAAGTGTCTGTTCATATACTTCACCCACTTTTTGATGGGGTTGTTTTTTTCTTGTAAGTTTGTTTGAGTTCTTTGTAGATTCTGGATATTAGTCCTTTGTCAGATGAGTAGATTGCAAAAATTTTCTCCCATTCTGTAGATCGCCTGTTCACTCTGATGGTAGTTTCTTTTGCTGTGCAGAAGCTCTTTAGTTTAATTAGATCCCACTTGTCAATTTTGGATTTTGTTGCCATTGCTTTTGGTGTTTTAGACATGAAGTTCTTGCCTATGCCTATGTCCTGAATGGTATTGCCTAGGTTTTCTTCTAGGGTTTTTATGGTTTTAGGTCTAACATTTAAGTCTTTAATCCACCTCGAATTAATTTTTGTATAAGGTGTAAGGAAGGGATCCAGTTTCAGCTTTCTACACATGGCTAGCCAGTTTTCCCAGCACCATTTATTAAATAGGGAATCCTTTCCCCATTGCTTGTTTTTTTCAGGTTTGTCAAAGATCAGATGGTTGTAGATGTGTGGTATTATTTCTGAGGGTTCTGTTCTGTTCCATTGGTCTATATCTCTGTTTTGGTACCAGTACCATGCTGTTTTGGTAACTGTAGCCTTGTAGTATAGTTTGAAGTCAGGTAGCGTGATGCCTCCAGCTTTGTTCTTTTGGCTTAGGATTGTCTTCACAATGCGGGCTCTTTTTTGGTTTCATATGAACTTTAAAGTAGTTTTTTCCAATTCTGTGAAGAAAGTCTTTGGTAGCTTGATGGGGATGGCATCGAATCTATAAATTACCTTGGGCAGTATGGCCATTTTCATGCTATTGATTCTTCCTATCCATGAGCAGGGAATGTTCTTCCATTTGCCTGTATCCTCTTTTATTTCGTTGAGCAGTGGTTTGCAGTTCTCCTTGAAGAGTTCCTTCACATCCCTTGTAAGTTGGATTCCTAAGTATTATATTCTCTTTGAAGCAATTGTGAATGGGAGTTCACTCATGATTTGGCTCTCTGTCTGTTATTGGTGTATAAGAATGCTTGTGATTTTTCCACATTGATTGTGTATCCTGAGACTTTGCCTAAGTTGCTTATCAGCTTAAGGAGATTTTGGACTGAAACGATGGGGTTTTCTAAATATACAATCATGTCATCTGCAAACAGGGACAATTTGACTTCCTCTTTTCCTAATTGAATATCTTTATTTCTTTCTCCTGCCTGATTGCCCTGGCCAGAACTTCCAACACTATGTTGAATAGGAGAGGTCAGAGAGGGCATGGGTCCCACACCCACGAAGCCTCGCTCATTGCTAGCACAGCAGACTGAGATGGAACTGCAAGGCGGCAGCGAGGGTGGGGGAGGGGCGCCTGCCATTGCTGAGGCTTGAGCTGGTAAACAAAGCAGCTGGGAAGCTCGAACTGGGTGGAGCCCACCGCAGCTCAAGGAGGCCTGCCTGCCTTAGTAGACTCCACCTCTGGGGGCAGGGCATACCCGAACAAAAGACGCAGAAACCTCTGCAGACTTAAATGTCCCTATGTGACAGCTTTGAAGAGAGTAGTGGTTCTCCCAGCATGGAGTTTGAGATCTGAGAACGGACAGACTGCTTACCTTCTTATTAAAAAGATTTTGGATGCTGACCAAAAGTAATATCTGTGGTCAAGAAGGATTAGGGGAACTATCTTTATCTAGTCAGAGACCAGAGACCCTCTCTTTTATCTGGTCAGAGATCCTCCTTTTCTGCACCATTTTCTAATGGAATGTATAAAATGTGAAGCTACGTATACTTGTACTTGTTACAACAGAGAGAGCAAGTTCATCTCTGTAAATTACTAAGATAAGTAAAGGAAAGAATGTTAACTGAAACTATTAATCATGAGTTGAGAACTGAGAGAGTTCCAGAGAAGAGTTGTCATAGCACTAAGTGAAAGCCATTTATCAATGTGGAAGGCATGAGTGCAAATATGTAGGGAGGCTCTTCATATAAATAAAAAGGAAAGGATCTGCACCCTGGAGGAAGGTTCCAGCTGATATGATAAGGGGGGTGACTTCATATATCAGATCATCCATTTGAGGAGATAAAAATCTGGAATAATGTGCCCCAAGACAGACTCCCTCTTCAGAATTCTGTGAAGGTGCCTTCTTTAGAGCCACTTGGAGTTGTCTTGTTCCCTTTCGGGTTTTTTTTTTTTTTTTTCCTAAGACGAGGTCTCACTGGAGTGCAATGGCACGGTTATAGCTCACTACTGCAGCCTCCAACTCTTGAGTTCAAGCAATCCTCATACCTCAACCTCCTGAGAAGCTAGGACTACAGGTGGACACCACCATGCCTGACTAATTTTTATCATTTTTTTAGTCGAGACGAAGTCTTGCTATGTTGCCCAGGCTGGTCTCAAATACCTGGGCTCAAGCAATCCTCCTGTCTGAGCCTCCCAAAGTGCTGAGATTACAAGCATGAGCCACTGCACCTGGCCTGGCCTGTTGTCTTTAGGAATCCTTATTGTATCACCTTTCTCCCCTTCATTTCGTTCCTCTATCTTTTGTTCTTCAGAGAAACACAGGGGTGTGGGAAATAATAAGCAACCCATTAAGCAGTCATTTAAAGAAGCCAAGTTCTAATTTTTTCTAGATTCTTAAGATCATATTGGCACTATTTGTCTAACAAAGAAAGTTAATTGCAACCTTAATATAGTTTTTAAAATTACTTACTGTCTGTGATCCAAATAAAATGTAAGCAATATGAAGACAAGGATTTTATCCTTATTGTTCAATGCTTTGTGCCCAGCACCTAGAAAAATGTCTAGACGATGTGATAGGAGTTATTAAGAAATTATTTTAGGCAGATAGAGAGGAAAAGGGGTCCTTGGGAAGTTTTCATTTTTTTAAAAAGCATCTCCAGAAAAGTTTCCTGTAAAGCCCCTGCTCTTAGAGCCAGGCTGGCAACCTTTGATATGCAAAAACAGGCCATTAGAAACTGGGTCCACCCAAACATAGTGATTCCCAGGGTCTTCTTGACCTTGCCCCACATGTTCCTGGTAACATGGCCACCCCCACATATCCCCACGTGTGTAGAACATCATGGCGCCCTTCATTTGCATATTAGGGTGGGAGGGCCAGCTTTTTCATGGGTTACATGAATGACATGCCTGGTCAAACCAATCCCCTGAGTCCTATGCAAATCAGACACCGCTTCCTCCAGCCTCTGCATATATCTGGCTGGTATCCATCGCACTTGGGGTTGGTTCCCTCTCTCTACTTTGGAGCACGGCTCCCTCTCTGTACGGGGGAGCTTCTTCCTTCTGCCTTCTTCCTTCTTTCTTGCCTATTAAACTCTCCGCTCCTTAAAACCACTCCATGTCTGTCCATGTCGTTTTATCTAATTCGACTCCAGACGAAGAACCTGTTGTTCCTCCACTCATTGGAGCTGTATCAATGATAGGTGTTAAAAACTATTTACTAAATGGGATGAATGAATTTTCCTATGTCTCTATTATTCTCAAACCTTAGGCAGGTATCTATTACCTGCCTAAGAGCCCAGTGTTAGTGGTGCTTTGCTGAATGCAGGTAGGAGAGCAGTGGCCATGTGCAGGGCAAAGGTGACAGCTGCAGGAATCCAGAGCATAAATAGGAGTTAATAATGAAGAGGAGCAGGAATTATGAGTAACAGGAGAACAGGAAGACATGGAAGTATGGCAGTGGAAAGGGAGTGTGCTTTCTTTCCAATAACACATGGATTATGTCACCAGCTAATTATTTGGATTAAAGGAAAGGGTGAACCTGAAAATCAGGAATTTAGGAACAATTGAACGAATAAATTGTAAAAACATTCTTTCACTGTAGACAGACTCCCTTTCAGTTAAGACCTTTATCTCAACTGAAGATTTATAACAAGAGACCTAAACATCAATTACAACTTATTAGATGAAGGCCCAAGTGCAAATTTCACCTTGTCCCATTGTTAGTTCTTAAAACTAGACCAGCCCACCCACACCATGAATTAATGGAAATGGCTGAAGTTTCACCAAGACTGCTTCCATGAACCCTCCTTTTTCTTTTCTTTTTAATTGACAAATAATAATTGCATATATTATTTTTATGGGGTACAATGTGATGTTTTATATATGTTTACATCATGAAATGATCATTTGTCCTCACTTTTTCCTTAATTGCTCTTCATCGCTGGTCCATGCTCTACCCAATTCTTGGCCCAGCAGTGCTACCGTTGGTCATTTAAATTTGAAATTAGTTATTGATCTTCCCAGCATTTGAATCTTGGTTATACCTTTTGAGAAAAGAGTGCTTGTTTCTGTGATTTTGAATGGGAATCCATGTCCAGGTTGCAAATTCTTGGAAATCTTGACACCAGACATCCTCTGCTGGATTGACCCCAACTTCTCTGTAAAGTAACTTCGGGACAGATTAAGATAATCTATTTTTAAAACCCACAAGATTAAAGCAGATATATGTGAAAGTATTCAGGAAAAGGCAAACAGTAAACATGTGTAATTTGGATTCAACAAAACTTATCTCGAGTGCTTTGTTTATTAAACATTATGGTAGGTGCTGCTATTATGTCCTTTAATGTCTCTTCCCATTCATGTTGGTAAAAACACTTTTTCTCTCTAACAATAACCTGTTGGTCTATTATCTTCCTATACTTGATTTGAAGAGAGATGAGTAGTAATTTTCTTCCTCGTTTTCTTGTTTTATTTATTTATTTATTTATTTATTTATTTATTTATTTATTTTGGTTGCCTGTTGACTCTTTTGTCTCTCATTGTACAGTCTCTGTTGACTGTTCTTTCTTTTATTGTACAATTCTTTATTATCCTCTTTCTCCCTTTGTCTCTGTCTCTCTCACACACACATACATACACACTCTCACACTCACACACACATGCATACACACTGCCTTAAGGACAATGCAATTTTCCCCATATTCTGCAGATCTTATCTCCATATTCATCACACTCACACTTTTAGCTTATAATTTGTTTCTCCATGAGCAATGGCCTCAGCCACTTCAGTGTTCTTATTACTAAACTGCTTTGATGCCATATTTACCGAGTTTGTTGCCTTAACTTCTATGCATTTCTATTTAACACCATCTACACACCAGGATAGTATATACCAGATCTCTCCTCTCTCTCTCTCTCTTTTTTTTTTTTTGAGATGGAGTTTCACTCCTGTTGCCCAGGCTGGAGTGCAATGGTGCAACCTTGGCTCACTGCAACCTCTGCCTCCTGGGTTCAAGTGATTCTCCTTCCTCAGCCTCCTGAGTAGCTGGGATTACAGGCATGCACCACCACACCTGGCAAATTTTGTATTTTCAGTAGAGATGGGGTTTCTTGGTCAAGCTGGTCTCAAACTCCCGACCTCAAGTGATCCGCCTGCCTTGGCCTCCCAAAGTGCTGGGATTACAGGTGTGAGCCACCACACCCAACCCAGATCTCACTTTTAATAGGCATTGCTATTTCTCTGAGATTCAACCATGTGCTCCTTACCTGCTCTATATCAAATTTCTCTCTGATTCACCTGCCCTTTTTCTCACCCTCTGAAACAAGCATTCTAACTTCAGAGAGATCCCCAAGCCTTCCATGTCCTTGAATTCACTTCATCCTATCAGGGCCCTCTTTATGAAACTGGAGTTTGTCCTCAGACTGGGCAGCATGGTCTACAATACTTCCCTCTCCACTAGACCAGATGTCCTGTACCCCGACATTCTGCAGAACTGGACACCATTGTCTTCTATAAAGGGCTGCTACCATGGCTGGCTTTCTCCACTGCTGCTTCCTGGCCACTGAGGATTCTTAGAGGAAGATGCAGAGTGGTTCAGACCTAATTCAGCTTTGTTAATTTTCAACTGGATCCTCATGCTGTTGCTTGATCTTTTCATTGTTTTCTCATTGACTCAGTAAATCCTCTCCTTACAGAAGATATTCCAGTCTCCAATCACAAAATCAAATACAGAATGTTAGGGACTTTAGAAATTGAGACTGGTTTCTTTACACTCTGAGAGAAGAATCTGAAACTTGTAGATTTGCCTGCGGCCAGTAGATATTCTGAGCCAGCTGAAACCCAAACGTCCTGACTCCCACCTGATGTGTTATAGCCAGCCTTCTTATTTTCCTCATGCTGCTCAAGTCCTGATTTCTGCCTGATTGTTTAGTAGATGATCTTGCCTTCTATGTCACATGAAAGATCTGGGCCATCATCTTCAGTATACCCCAGCATTATATATATATATTTTTTTAATCACCTCTGGCCTACAGAAGCATTATCGTTTTCTTTCTTTCTTTCTCTCTGTCTCTCTTCCTTCCTTCCTTCCTTCCTTTCCTTTTGAGACAGAGTCTTGCTCTGTTGCCCAGACAACAGAGTTGCAGTAGTGCAACCTTAGCTCACTGTAATCTTTGCCTCCCAGGTTCAAGCAATTCTTGTGCCTCAGCCTCCCAAGTAGCTGGGATTACAGGCATGCACCACCATGTCTGGCTAAGGTTTTGCATATTTAGTAGAGATGGGGTTTCACCAAGTTGGCCAGACTGGTCTCAAACTCCTGACCTCAGGTGATCCCCCTGCCTCGGCCTCCGAAAGTGTTGGGATTACAAGCGTGAGCCACGGCGCCCGGCCAGCATTATTGTTTTGATAGGCCTTTTAGTCTCTTCCATAAGTTCCAAAGGAAGAGATAAACCTCTTTATTTCTAAACAAGAATCCCTCCACTCTTTCTCCTATATTGCAAAGTCCAATCCTTCTATTTTCCCTGATTTTTGATTGCTTCTTTTTTCTCTTACAGTTTCAATTCCTTCTTCTCTGTAGATACCTTTTTAAAAACAGGCTCTCATCTCTCTGCCCCAATAAACGCATTAAAAAAAAAAAGACAAAAACAAAACCAAAAAATAAAATAAAATAAAAACAAGGTTGATCCCACTATTTATTTTATTTATCAAACCATTTCTCCCACTGTTAAACTCATGAAATGAGTGATGTATGCCTGGTAATTCTCTCCTTCTACTCCTTACTCCAAAATGTACCAGTTTTATAACCTACCAAAACTGCCCTTGCAGATATTATGATCTCCTTTTCTTCTTTTCAAATCCTAAAAAAATTTTTCTATTATCTTCTGATCCAAAAATTCTGCAGAATTTTATTGTGTAGAAGACTCTTTTCCTTGCATGTCTCTCTCCTCTGGAGTTTCATGTTTGTTCTGTTCTTCCTTCTCTGATCACTGCCTTTCTACTTCATCTCTTCCTACATCTAACCTCCAAACAGAAAGTCCTATCAAAATACTTGTTTTTGTTTTTGTTTTGTTTTGACAAGGACTGGCCGCCATGCCTGACTAATTTTTGTATTTTTAGTAGAGACGGGGTTTTACCATGTTGGCCAGGCTTGTCTTGAACTCCTGGCCTCAAATGATCCACCTGAAACGGCCTCCCAAAGTGCTGGGATTACAGGCATGTGCCACCACGCCCAGAACTTTTTTTTTTCTTTTTTCTTTTTTTTTCTTTTCTTTTCTTTTTTTTTTTTTTTTTGTATCTTCAACACTTCTGCAAGTTCTCCCAATCTCAGTCTCAGATAGCAAATCTATTTGGATAACTCTCAATCCAACATCTCTGGTATGTAAATCGTGCCTGTAATCTAGATTATATTTTAAATGCTTAAGAATAGCTATGTTTTGATTATTCAAAAGCCAAGGACTTTGATAAGATTACTCAAATACAGGATGAGAAAAGAAAACTGTCCAGAATCAAATGCTGAAGCACTTAAACAAGTAAAGATTGAGTAGATATGAAGGAGCCATCAAAGGAGACGAAGGAACCAACCATGAGGCAAGACAAAAGCTGAGAAAAAGGAAGTGTCCCAGAAGCCAAGAGAAGCACAAATGAGGGAGAAAGCAGACCTGTTCAATGCAAGAAAAAGTCAATACACTGGGATAGAGAGGGGGCCACTGGAGTTGTAAACACCGAGGTTTCCACAGTAGTGGTGGGCAGGAGAGAAGCCAGACTTGAGTGAGTGGAAGAATTTGTGGGTGGCAAGGAAAGGGAGAGAGCAAGAGAGGCAAACTCTTTAGAGAAGTTTTGCAGGTAAATCAGACTGGGTGAGAGATTTGGGGATGAAGGTAGTTTTTTTGTGTATTTAGTATATGGCAGATACTAGAGAATGTGTGCATGCTGGTTGGAATACCCAGAGAAACAGAGAGAGAGAGAGACACTGGTATTGCAACAAGGTAAGAGATAACTGAAGGATCAAAGTTCTTGAGAAGGAAAAAGAATGAACCCACAGCTCGGTTGACATAGGCCCTTGAAAGCAAGTTGAATACAGTTCTCATTGTAACAGGAAAGATATAGTGAAGACACGTTCAATTACTAATAGAATTATAGATTTTGTGGTGGAGAAACTAATAAAATTTTCTGCTAGTTTCCATTTCTCTTGAGTAAAACAGTGATGTCATTATCCAAAGTGAAGAGAAGTTGAGGAGGGTTGGGGAGATTTGAAGAAAAAGAAATCAGAGTATGGGAAAGAAGACAGAAAAGTAAGACTGTAGGATGGCACTGAGAATCCATGTGAGGTGTGTGGTTATGTTCTTATGATGAAACCAGCTTCTTGGTGTGATTTTGTCCTGCAAAATTCAAGATAAATAGATAGGTAAAGTGTAATAGTGTAAATATCATTGTGTAGGAGTTCAGGGAAGGCCTCTCAGACAATTCTAGCAGACCTATAAGAAGTGAGGCTAGTTTCCAAGGATTCTATATAGAGCATACAATAAGTGCAAATCCCTTAGGTGGGAACATGCTTCCCATTAGTTCCAGAAATATTCAGGAACTCAGTGTAACTGGAACACAGTTTTAGAAGGTGAGTGGTGAGAGACAAGATGGTGTAGAGCAGATTTTCAGAGTCTTAAATTAAAATATATATATATATAAAGAGAGAGAGTTTTACTTATAGTGAAGTGCCCACATATTAATTATACAGCTTAATAAATACTTATCTCTCCATATATATCTACATATACACACACATTTATATATTTTATACATATATTTACACACCCAGATATATTACATATACCCATGTAAACATAACCTAGGTCAAAATATGGGGCATTTCTGGCATTCCAAATGGCTATCTTGTGCAAGGATGAGAATTTTGAATTGTATTTCTGGGTAAGATTTGAAGCTACTAAAGGAAGTGGCACCATCTGACTGATTTTTAAAAGGATTACTCTGAGTGCCACACAAAAAATATACTGATGACATTGCAACATCTGAGCAAGAGATAAAGGTAGCTTGGACCAAGTGAGTGGTGGGGAAGGTTGTAAGAAGTGGTCAGATTCTGATTATGTTTTGAAAATAATGTTCCCATGTTTTATGATGGCCCGAATCTGAGCTGTAAGATAAAGAGAAAAGTAAAGGATGACTAAGAGATTTGTGGCCTGAACAATCAATGGAGCTGCCATTTAGTGAGAGGAAGAACCAGAGGAGGGGAATGTTTGGAACATAACTAGAGGAATCAATAGTTATGTTTTGGTTATATTAGCTTGAAATAGAGACTAGACATTTAATCAGAAATATCTAGTGGAGGCCAGACATGGTGGCTCACGCCTGTAATCCCAACAGTTTGGGAGGCTCAGGCAGGAGAATTGCTTGGGCCCAGGAGTTCGAGACTAGCCTAGGCAACGTAGTGAGATCTTGTCTGTACAAAAATAAATAAATCAAATTAAATTAAAATTATCTGGGCATGGAGGAGGCTGAGGTGGGAAGATTTCCTGAGCCTGAGAGGTAGAGGCTGCAGTGAGCTGTGATGGTTGCACTCCACTCTAGTCTGGGCGACAGACCAAGGCCCAATCTTGAAAAGAGAAGAAGAAGAGGAAGAGGAAGAAGAAAGAAGAAAGAAGAAAGAACAAAGAAGAAAGAAGAAATACAATAATGGTGTGTCCCAGAAGCCAAGTGAAGAGGGTGTCTCAAGAAGGATAAATGATCTATGGCATCAGGTGCTGCTGAGAGCTCAAGAAAGATGAGGAATGAGAACTGGCCATTGGATTTGGCAATGTGTAAATAATTGATTACAACATCACTTACTACTGACATTTCTTACCCTCCAGTAATTTCTCCCTTCATTCATATTGTGTTTGTGTGTGTGGGGGGGGGAGGGGTGTTATTTTTCCTCTTAACTGATACTTGATTAAAGAATGGTAATTTTGCTCTTTAAATGGGTGCTTATCCTACATACCTAACTTCTCATCACTGTTTAAGAATAGGTAATTTTTTGTTTCCCTTTTTCTCACCCTTATAGGTGTAAGTTTGGACAAGTGATTTAAGGAAAATGATGGGTAAAAAAAAAAAAGAAATCTAGGCAAATAGGAATAAGCCTTTCACAAGGCATATCTAAGAAGGTTGAAAGTATTATTTGAAGGAATGTATGCCATCTGAAAAAAAAGTCTAGTAGAGAAACAGCAGGGAATAAGATGGTACAGATGTCAGTTTAAAATTAATACAAAATAAAGCCATTGTCATAATTACCTCAACACAATTTAGGACCCCAGTTTGGAGATTTTTATTCCTATGAAACAGTTATTAGTGTTACTCACATATTTCCAATTCTCTGGTTTGTAGCTATATGCAACAACTGCATTCCCCACCTCTTTTTAAAGTTAGACATGCCCATGCTACTTGTTATGGCCAATGAAATGTGAGTAGAAGTGACCTGTGTCACTTCCATTTGATAATTTTGCAGAGTAATGCATGATTTCCCTGTTTTCTTGCCATACTGATGGCCTTCAGTAGCCTGGATTCCTGAGTAATTATGATAAACAAAGCCATCCATCTGACTTTTAGTGGAGATATAGTATGAATGAAAAATAAACTTGCACATTTTAAAATTCATTATATTTCACTTATTTATTGTCTTTTAGCGACAGGGTCTTGCTCTGTCACGCAGACTGGAATGCAGTGGTGCAATCATGGCTCACTGAAGCATTGCATTCCTGATCACAAGCTATCCTCCTACCTCAGCTTCCAGAGTAGCTATGACTACAGACACACACCACTATGGCAGCTAATTTTTAAATTTTTTTGTAGAGGCAGAGGTCTTCCTATGTTGCCCGGGCTGGTCTTAAACTCCTGGACTCAAGCGATCCTTCCTCCTCAGTGTTCCAAAGTGCTGGGATCACAGGCACTGTGTTCAGCCAATTTTTGCCTTTTTAAGCAGCTAAAATTTTGGGGTTGCTTGCCTCTCTAAAAAGATCTAGCCCATCCTAACACATACTATTAAATTAATCTTTGATTAAGAAGTTTACATGTTTTCATCACCTGGAGAGATTTACAGTAACAGAAAAAGTAAAATCTAAACAAATAACTGTTTACTTGTTGGGTTTTGGGTGTCCATAGAAAATATGTTTGGGGGTAGTAAGATCTTGATATTCTACTCTACAAGCAGTTCCTAATAGGAGAAAGAACAAAATCAAATAAATAATGGTTCTCTCAAGTTTCATCTACCACTTCATCCTTGCCTGGAAAGGAGTAAATACATGTTGCGCTTTATGTTATACGTGACCGACAAAGTGCTAAATATTTTTGGAAGGCTTTATGAGATAAAATTTACATAACATAAAATTATCCATCTTGATTATTTTAAAGTGTCTTATTCAGTGGTCTTTAGCATATTCACTATGTTAGGCAAGCATCTCTGCTGTCTAATTTCAGAACATTTTCATTACCCCAAAATGATAAGCTGTACCCATTAAGCAGTCACTTCCCCTCTTCCTTCCTTCAGCTTCTGGCAACCACTGATCTATTTTCTGTTCTGTGGGTTTGCCTATTCCAGATATTTAATATTAATGAAATTGAACAATATGTGGCCTTTTGTGTCTCACTGCTTTTACTTTGCATAATGTTTTAGAGGTTCATTCATTCCATTTTATGGATATATCACATTTTGTTTATCCATTCAGCAATTGACAGAAATTTGGGTTGTTTACACTTTTTGTCTATTATGAATAGTGCTACAGTGAACCTTTGTGTCTAAGTTTTTGTGTGAATATATGTCTTCATTCTCTTATTTGTTTGGGGAACCACAAAACTCTTTTCCACAGCTGCTGTACTATTACATTTCCACCAGCAATGTATAAAGTTCCAATTTCTCCACTTAAAAAAAAAATTATAGCCATTTAGTAAGTGTGAAGAGGTATCTCATTGCAGTTTGGCTTTGCATTTTCCTAATTGTTAATAATGTTAAGCATCTTTGGCCCAGTGTGGTGGCTCACATTTATAATCCCAGCACTTTGGGAGGCTAAAGCGGGAGGATTGCTTGAGCCCTGGAGTTTGAGACAAGCCTGGGCAACATGACAAGATCCTGTCTCTACAACAAAAAGAAAAAAAAATGTTTAAAAATCTTCCCATGTGCTTATTGGCCATTTCTACATCTTCTTTCTAGAAATAGCTATTCAAACTTTTGCCCATGTCAGCTTCAATTGTTTGCCTTTATGTTGTTGAGTTATGAAAGTTTTTTTAGTATATCTTTTGCATATTAGACTCTAATAAAATGTATAGTTTGCAAATATGCTCTTACATTCTCTGGGTCGTTTTTTTTTTTTTTTTTCCATTTTCTTGGCAGTGTCCCTTGACACACAAAATTATTTAATTTTGATGAAATCAAAATTTTCTCTTTTGATATTTGTGCATTTGGTGTTATATTTAATAAAATATTGCCTAACCCAAGGTTACAAAGTTTTGTCCCTCTGTTTCCTTCTAAGAGGTTTTTACTTAGCTCTTACATGTAAGTATTTGATCCATTTGGGGCTTTTTTTTTTTTTTTTTTGAGACAGAGTCTCACTCTGTCACCCAGGCTGGAGTGCAGTAGTGGTGCGAACTTGGCTCACTGCAACCTCTGCCTCCCAGGTTCAAGCCATCTCCTGCCTCAGTCTCCCGAGTAGCTGGGATTACAGGCGCTTACCACCATGCCTAGCTAATTTTTGTATTTTTAGTAGAGATGGGTTTCACCATGTTGGCCAGGCTTGTCTCGAACTCCTCACCTCAAGTCATCCGCCTGCCTCGGCCTCCCAAAGTGCTGGAATTAATTTGTGTATATGGTATCAATAGGAATCCAAATTCATTATTTCACATGTGGTTATCAATCTGTCCAGCATCATTTGTTAAAAAGACTATTCTTTCTCCATTGAATGGTCTTGGTATATTTGTCAAAAATCTCTTGACCATAGGTAAATGAATGTACCCCTGGACTCAGTTTGATTCCCTTAATTTATGTGTCCATCCACAACCCAGCACCACACTGTTTTGATTATTACAGACTTGTAGTACATTTCGAAATTCACTCCCTAATCGGGTTCTGGGCTGAAAATGGAATGCACAACTATGATGCTCTGTTTTTAAATAGAGTCCCCTCTTCAAGTCAGATTATCATTTAACCCCTTTATATCCATCCACTGCAGTGTGGGCTGGTAATGTGTAATTCATCTCTGCTTTGTGCAGTTCTTTTCTGTACCGGTTGTGTTTTTTAACCTATCTTAGCTTGGGCAACCATAATAAAATACCATAGACTGGCTTAAACAACAGGAATTTATTTTTCACAGTTCTGGAGACTGTGTAATCCAAGATCAATGTGCCAGACAATTTGGCTCCCTAGAAAGGGCTCTATTCCTGTCCTGCAGACAGCGACCTACTTGCTCTGTCCTCACGTGACAAAAAAGAGAGTTCTAGTCTTTCTTCCTCCTCTTATAAAAACATTGTTTAAATGGTAAGTTGAGTAATAGTCACATTTTAAAGAGTTTATTTGAGCAAACAATTCATGAATTGGGAAGCTCCAAATCAGAAGTGGACTGGGAGCTCCACCAAGGGAATGCAAGAGAGAGGCTTTTACAGAAAAAAATACGGAGGTAAAAAAAATAAAATATTTAATTGGTTACAGTTATTCAGTTGCCTTATTAGGTCTATCTTGTTCCTAGTTACATAATTATAGGTTTGTTTTCCGTTTCTGAATGGTTAGTGCTTAAATTCTGTTTTTCTTTAATAGAGGCATTTACAAGAAATAGCTCAAGCTAAGTTTTGCTTATGTTTGAAAATCAAGCAAGGTTGAAGTCACTCATGAGGCCTCACTGGTTAAGTCTGCTCAGAGAATCTTCAGGCCTGGTTTCCATTTAAATTTACTTTAATATCAATAATCCTATCACGGAGGTCCATGCTGACAACCTCATCTATACCTAATCACCTCCTCAAGGCCCCACTTCCAGATATCACATTGATGGCGAAGTCTTCACTACACAAATTTTGGTGGAACAAAAACATTCAGTCTATAACATTACCTATCACTTCAACAGAAGGTGGTAAAATATGAGAGGGATACAATTCTGTAGTTTTATAAATTCAGAGTGATTGTTAAC
Source organism: Homo sapiens (assembly GCF_000001405.40). Taxonomy (NCBI): domain Eukaryota; kingdom Metazoa; phylum Chordata; class Mammalia; order Primates; family Hominidae; genus Homo; species Homo sapiens. The sequence goes on along the minus strand of NC_000007.14, from coordinate 121,425,640 downwards.
AGCTCCTATGGGACAAAAATAAAAAGAGTGTAGGTTGGGAAAAATATAGATCTACCCACAGTTTGGCAAGAATTTTGACTGCTGCTTCTTCCCAAGTGGTGATAATAACCAGCTCAGAATTAATTAGATTTAATAGATTAAAAAATTTGCCTAGCAAAAGAACCCTCTTCTATTAGGAGTTTCTTGTTTCACATTCTAATGGCATACCCTTTTAGTTGTTGATTTAAATTTTGTAAAAACTGGAGAAGTAGTCAAGACCCTTAAAATGTATACTGAGTTTTAATTTCAAGTTATTTGGTTTAATTAATAGAGACAATCTCTCTTTTATTTTATTAAGCTTATTTTATTAAACTATTCAGTGTTCCACATTTTTGACATCGTAAAAAATTAGTAAGGGACAATAAATATTTAAGTTCTCCAATTTTAGAATTGTTTATGTTATAATTTGAATACATAAATACTAGTGATTTTGACATATTTATACATTAAGGTTGATAAATCATTTTATTTTTCTCCTTTTAAAATAATTGTTTACCCAATGAAATCAACCTGAGAAAAAGCATCCAGATCTTTTCTGAAATATCAAACCACACTTATGCTAAGTTTGTTTGTATAGTACTTGTTGATTTTAAAATATTGGAGTTGATGGCTAATTGTCTACCAACATCTATTCTCCTTATTTCATAACAGTAGAGTTATGTCTGTCACAGCCCCATCCTGCTAGAGATGATCAGACTCCCCTGCTGCTGGATATGTCCAAGTGACATAATGTATTCCACTTGCTTAAAGAGAAGGATTTCCCCTCCACTTCTCATGTTCCCCTAACCTGTAATCTGGACCATGCAGATGAGAGAAAGCCTAGAGCAGAGCAGCTGGCTAGAAGGAGCCCAAGACCCTGAATGACAGATCTTATGGACCACAACTGCCCACCTGTCTAAACTACCACCTTCCTTTAATCTGTTGCATGAGAGAAAAATAAGTCATTATACCATTTCACCCTATGTAATATAGACACTATAGAACAAATGCACTCTATTTAATGTTACATGTCTTGATTTTGTGGAAGAAACACAGGAATATGTGGTATTTTTTTCTTCTCTTATTGAGTTTCTAATTCAATGTAAAAAACTAATACAGGAGAGAAAATTTGGACAATGAAATACTTCACCTAATTAGTACAGAACATTAATACTTATAGCGAAATAATTGGATTAGTTAAAGAAGTTTATGGTGATTGAAGAAACATCTTGAAATATGGGTAAAAACATTTTCAAAAGACAAGAACAAGAAGAAGTCCTTTCAAATTTACAGAAGTAAATGTATTGGGGCAGAAATAGTATATTACATGAAGAAAATAAGATGAAATTGGATGATTGGCATGTATGTTTCACCATGTGAGAAAAGAGTGAGTATGTTAGGGCAGCTTATGCAGAAATTTAGGTTCTTAATCAATAAAATGATACAATGGTAAGAAAACCAGATCAGCATGGGAAGAGAATGGAAGCAAGGATGACCCCTTAAGCTATAACCTAAACCCTAGAGTGTGATAAAATAATTTTAAAGAGAAAACAGAGATTACAAAGATTATAAAGAGACAGAACAGAAAACAAGATATACTTGCTCACAGAAGATGCATTTGCAAAAGTCTAAACCTATATGAAAAAGTTTTCACAAAGCATTTTTACTCTGTATCAATAATGCAACTAGCAGTGATAATCAGGATGAAATTACTTAGGACATCATTCTTTTCCATTTACTATCATTGTTACTGACTTTTTTTTTTTTTCTTTTTTTTTTCTGAGACGGAGTCTGGAGTCTGGCTCTGTCGCCCAGGCTGGAGTGCAGTGGCGCGATCTCTGCTCACTGCAAGCTCTGCTTCCCGGGGTTCACGCCATTCTCCTGCCTCAGCCTCCCCAGTAGCTGGGACTACAGGTGCCCGCCGCCACGCCCGGCTAATTTTTTGTATTTTTAGTAGAGACGGGGTTTCACCGGGGTTTCAGGATGATCTTGAGCTCCTGACCTCGTGATCCGCCCGCCTCGGCCTCCCAAAGTGCTGGGATTACAGGCGTGAGCCACCGCGCCCTGCCCTTACTGACATTCTTAGCAACAAACTTTCTGTCATCATGGGAACCTAAGCATGACTTATAGTAGTATTAGCTTAGTTGTTTCATATGATAATATTTTATAATCTTAGTAAACTTGCTTGCAAATAAAATGTGACATAGAAAGGGCTCATATATTTTTCGCTGAACTGAATTAGAAACTGCACAATATTTCTATTGCAAAATTTCCTACATATGTATGGCATACATGGTGATGAAGATGGCCTCTCATGAGATAACAGGCCTTTATAGAGTATTTAAATAATTTAATAATTTAGAATAAAGCCTTCAAGAAGTGACTGTGCCCTCACCTACAATTGTACTTTCTTTGTTGAAATACTTATGCTCCAGGGAAGAGGTTATACTAATCATGGTAGTGCTCCCTTGATTCATTTTTTGAACAAATTGTGTCCGGAATTGGTGGGTTCTTGGTCTCACTGACTTCAAGAAGGAAGTCGAGGACCCTCGCGGTGAGTGTTACAGTTCTTAAAGGTGGCATGTCCGGAGTTCATTCCTTCTGATGCTCGGATGTGTTTGGAGTTTCTTCCTTCTGGTGGGGTTCGTAGTCTCGCGGGCTCAGGAGTGAAGCTGTGGACCTCAGCGGTGAGTGTTACAGCTCTTAAGGCCTCGCATCTGGAGTTGTTCTTTCCTCCCGGTGGGTTTGTGGTCTCGCTGGCTTCAGGAGTGAAGCTGCAGACCTTCATGGTGAGTGTTACAGCTCATAAAGGCAGCGTGGACCCAAAGAGTTAGCAGCAGCAAGATTTATTGCAAAGAGCGAAAGAACAAAGCTTCCACAGTGTGGAAGGGGACCGGAGCAGGTTGCCACTGCTGGCTCGGGCAGCCTGCTTTTATTCTCTTATCTGGCCCCACCCACATCCTGCTGATTGGTCCATTTTACAGAGAGCCGAGTGGTCTGATTGGTGCATTTACAATCCCTGAGCTAGACACAAAGGTTCTCCACCTCCCCACTAGATTAGCTAGATACAGAGTGTAGACACAGAAGTTCTCCAAGTCCCCACCAGAGTAGGTAGATACAGTGTGTCGATTGGTGCATTCACAAACCCTGAGCTAGACACAGGGTGCTGACTGGTGTGTTTACAAACCTTGAGCTAGGTACAGAGTGCCCATTGGTGTATTTACAATCCCTTAGCTAGACATAAAGGTTCTCCAAGTCCCCACCAGAGTAGCTGGATACAGAGTGTCCATTGGTGCATTCACAAACCCTGAGCTAGACACAGGGTGCTGATTGCTGTGTTTACAAACCTTGAGCTAGATACAGAGTGCCGATTGGTGTACTTACAATCCCTTAGCTAGACATAAAGGTTCTCCAAGTCCTCACCAGAGTCAGGAGCCCAGCTGGCTTCACCCAGTGGATCCCGCACTGGGGCCACAGGTGGAGCTGCCTGCCAGTCCCGCGCCATGCACCCACACTCCTCAGCCCTTGGGTGGTCGATGGGACTGGGCACCGTGGAGCAGGGGGCGGTGCTTGTCCGGGAGGCTCAGGCCACACCGGAGCCCACGGAAGCGGGGAGGCTCAGGCATGGCTGGCTGCAGTTCCCAAGCCCTGCCCCATGGGGAGGCAGCTAAGGGCCGGCAAGAAATTGAGCGCAGCGCCGGTGGGCTGGCACTGCTGGGGGACCCAGTACACCCTCCACAGCTGCTGGCCTGGGTGCTAAGCTCCTCATTGCCCTGGCCAGCAGGGCCAGTGGGCCGTTCCAAGTGTGGTGCCCGCCAAGCCCACGCCCACCCGGAACTCCAGCTGGCCCACAAGCAGGGTGTGCAGCCCTAGTTCTTGCTTGCGCCTCTCTGGTTCCCGCTTGCGTATCTTCCTCCACACCTCCCTGCAAGCTGAGTGAGCCAGCTCTGGCCCTGGCCAGCCCAGAAACAGGTTCCCACAGTGCAGTGGTGGGCTGAAGGGCTCCTCAAGTTCTGCGAAAGTGGGAGCCCAGGCAGAGGAGGTGCCCAGAGCAAGCGAGGGCTGCGAGGGCTGCCAGCACACTGTCATCTCTCAAAATGTTCACTAAGTGCTACCGGGTGGTAGGCATTGCTCTAGGTCCTAAGGAAAGAGTATTTGAACAAGCTCCTTGCTCTCATGGAGCTTAAATTCTCATAGCAGAGATAAACAATAAATAAGTAAAAAAAATCAGTGACATGACCTTACTATTTGTACAATGAAGAAAGTAAAGTAAGAGGCTACTGAATATCGAAGTAGGGAGGTCGGGTAAAGCCTTCCTACTGAGAAGTGGTCAGAGAACTGAATGATGAGATAAAGCAGCCATGCAGTATCTGCGGAGAGAAAATTCCAGGTAAAGATAACAACAGGTATAAGTCCATGAGGCAAGAACCAGCCTAGCAGGTTGAAGAACAAGAAGGCAAAATGACTAAGCACAGTAAACAGGGGGGAGGAATAAATGAGGTCAGGGAGATAGGAAAGTGCCTGATTATATTGGGCTATATAAGCCTTGGTCAGGAGTTTGGATAGAACAGAAATTAATTATATGTATATTATAGAAAATAAATATGGTTGTGGTTGGTATCATAATCTGCAGCTCAACTTAGAACAGAAGTACTTAAACGGGACACTACAACTACACTTAAAGCTTCCAGTAAGTTTTTCAATGGTCCCATCTTTGACATAAGCTACACCAAGTGTCACCAGGCACCTGAGGAGAGCACTAGAAGAAAGTCAGAAATCCAAGCAAATACAAACAAAGAAGGGGACAGTGCAAAAGCATGAAAATTGCTATTTTTGTTCTTATTTATTTATTTATTTTTCAACTGGCCAAGTCAATATGTATTAAAAAACACACAAACACATGCACAGTGGTAACAAAATAGAGACAGGGAAAGGAGACTCTACATCTCCTATCTGGGGACAGGCTGACCACATAGCATTTCTACAGGGCACGCCTCACTTTAAGAAAGAAGGTATCTTCAAGACCAGATTGACAAGCTAGATAAATGGATAAATCTTTGTTTTTGTGAGAGAACTATATATATATATATATTTTTTTTTTTTGTCAGAGTCTTGCTCTGTCGCCCAGGCTGGAGTGCAGTGGCATGATCTTGGCTCATTGCAACCTTCGCCTCCTGGGCTCAAGCAATTCTCCTGCCTCATCCTCCCAAGTAATGGGACTACAGGCAAGTGCCACCAAACTCGGCTCATTTTTTTATTTTTAGTAGAAATGGGATTTCACCACGTTGGCCAGGCTGGTCTTGAACTCCTGACCTCAGGTGATCCACCTGCCTTGGCCTCCCAAGTGCTGGGATTGCAGGCTGAGCCACCATGCCCAGCCTGTAAGAGCACTTAAGGCAGCTTCACTACTCTGAGGAATAGGAAGTAGAAGAGATTTATGCAGGAGTATTCACAAACCCCTCCAGTTGTGCTAAGAGGGCTCATGAGTACCTGACATGGTTCTGGAAGCAAGAAAGGAGAGAACAGATTTTCCTTGAGACTGCTTTCCTTTCCCAGAAGAGGAGGAATGTTCTCCAAGGAAGACTGGAGAAAGAGGCTCCTCCCAGGAGCTCAGGGAACCAGCTTCTTGGGAAAGCAGGACCAAAGTGCAGGCCCGTGTTGGTGCCTGCCAGCCTGGCAGGACTTTGGCACAGGAACACAGGTCCAGAGCCTTGCCTAGGGTCACTGGTCCTCCTTTCTATAGAGCTCCATAAGGTCCAGAGACTGTTGCCTCATCAGATAGCTACATCTGTGGCTTGGGTTACACGTGAGATCTTGTAGGACAGCCATATGCTTGTCATGCAGGAAAGGTGGCAACAAAATCAAAGATATACAGGGGAGAGAGAGGAGAGAAAGTTACAGGCCAAAGGCCTATCACTTGGGCAATTCTTTCTGTTTCTCAACTCTGTGCTCATTCCCTGTATGTCTGTGGCCAGCAAGGAGCTTGGGTAGTCATCTGACCCAATCACCTCATCCTCACTCAGGTACAGAGGTGAAGCCCAGAGAGGCCCAGCCGCCAGCCTCGGGTTCCCTAGGTTGGGTCCAGGGCAGGCCAGGCCACCAAGCCTCTGGGTCACCACCCTCGGCCCTTCTCACTCAAGGCAGCTTCAATGCCCACGTGTGGGTTTATATTTACAACTGAGTTGGCTGGACTTTGATTATCCACTCCTGCTATCAGTCCAGTTCTAGTTATAAAGCTTGGAGGCCACCATGATGGAGGTGATTAGGAGGAGCAGGGTAGTGATTAAATAGTGCAAAGTTCTGATAGGGGCCAGCAGATATAGGTGAGCATGCAGAACAGGTGGATCAGAAAAAATGGTACTGATTAAATAGTGCAGAAGTTCTGACAAGGGCCAACAGATACAGGTGAGCAGGCAGAAGAGGTGGATCAGAAAAAATGGTGAGGATCATTATCAAGTTGAAAATGGTGACCACTTCAAAGTAGCTGTAAGTGCTGTAGTCAGTCTACAGAGAGCTCTGAACACAGATGAAGGCAATCAACAGGATGACCTTGTCATTTTCTAGTAGTGGTGAACTCAAGAAGAGGCCCAAGGCAGGGGAAGCTGTTCTCCAATGGAACAGCCTTTGCAATGATTTCCTAAGTCCCTTGAAAGACACAGTCTGCCAAAACTCACAGGAGAAATAGATAATCTGGATAGGCTTAAATTTATTAAATAAACTGAATCAATAATAATCTTCCAAAACAGAGAGCACCAGACCCAGAGGGTTCGCAGGTGAATTTTACTAAACATTTAAGGAAGAAATTCTAACAATTCTCCAAAATCTCTTTTAGAAGATAGAAGCAGAGGGAATACCTGTTAATTCACTCTATGAGACAAGTGTTGCCCTAATACCAAAACTTGACAAAGGCATTATGAGAAAAGAGAACTACAGACCAATAGTTCTCATGAATATTGATGTGAAAATCTTTAGCAAAATATTAGCAATTTAAATCCAACAGTGTATAATATATATGTGTATATACATAATGTGTATATATATACATAATGTGTACATATATACACATTATATATATGTATATTATATATCTATATATAGGTGTTAGATGTCTTAAATAGGTGTCATAAATAGGTGTTAGATTTTCTCAAACGTTTTTTCTTCATCTATTGATAAAGACTGAGCTGCAGATTATGATACCATGTAATTTTTCTTCTTTAGCCTGTTGATGTGACAGATACATTAATTTTTTAATGTTGAACCAGAATTGCATTCTTGGGAAAACCCCTATTTGGCTGTAGTGTGTGTGTGTGTGTTTGTGTATCTATATATCTAGATATAGGTATATCTATATCTATCTATATCTATATCTATCTATATACTTATATCTATCTGTATCTCTATATCTATCTATCTATATATCTATCTACACACACACACACACACACACACACACACACACACACACTACAACCAAATAACACATAACACCTATTTATGATTTAAGAGAAACTTAGCAAACTAGCAATACAGAGGAACTTCGTCAACTCGATTGAAAAAATATAAAAGCCCTACAGTTAACATCATATTCAATGGTGAGAAAACTTGAAGCTTCCTGATAAGATCAGGAACAAGGCAAGGATGCCCCTGTCACCAGTTCTTTTCAGCATTGTACTGGAAGGCCTAACTAATGCGATAAAATTAAATAAATGGTATACAAATGAAATAAAAAGTATACAGATTGGAAGGGAAGAAACACTTTGTTCACAGATAACACAATCATTTGTAGAAAATCTGAAAAAATCACAAAAAAAAAAACGCTCCTGGAACAAATAGACATTTATAGCAAGGTTTCAGGATAAAAGGTTATGTATAAAAGTCAAGTGCTTTCCTATGTACCAGCAATGAACAAGTGGGATTTAAAATTAAAAACTAATTACTATTTACATTAGCACCCTTAAAAATGAAATACTTAGGTATAAAATGAACAAAATGTGTACAAGATGTATGAGAAAAACTATGAAACACTGATGAAATAAATAAAAACTTTAATAAATGTAGAGACGTTCCATGTTTGTGATACAAAGATTCAATATTGTCAAGATACCAGTTTTTTCCCCAGCTTATCTGTAGATTCAATGCAATCTCAATATCAGCAAGTTATCTTGTGGATATTGACAAATGTATTCTAAAGTTTATATGGAGAGGTAAAAGACCCAGAATAGGCAACTCAATCTTAAAGGAGAAGAACTGAGTCAAGGAACTGACAGTTTAAAATTTACCATAAAGTAACAGTATTAAGGCAGTGTGGTATTGGAGAGACAAATAGATCAGTTGAACAGAATGGAGAATCCAGAAATAGACCCACATAAATATAGTCACCTAATCTTTGGAAAAAAAAAAAGCAAAAGCAATACAACAGAGTAAAGATAGGTTTTTGAAAACAGTGATGGAACAACTATATCCATATGCAAAATCAAAATAAAAAATAAAAAGTCAACCTTCTAGACACAAACCTTACATTCTTCACCAAAACAAACTCAAAATGGATCATAGACTTAAATGTAAAACACAAAACTATAAACTCTTAAAAGATAACAGGAGAAAATCTAGATGACCTTGGAGGTGGTGGTGACTTTTTATATACAACACCTAAACAATACATTAAAGAAAGAATTAAAGTTAAAGAATTAAAATTAACTTCTTCATTAAAATGAAGAACTTCTACTCTGTGAAAACACTGACAAGAGAATGAGAAGACAAGTCACAGACAAGGAAAAAAATTTACAAAAGACATATCATATCTGAAAAGAACTATTATCCAAAACAAGCAAAGAGGTCTTAACTCAATAATAAGAAAACCTGATTGAAACATGGCCAAAAGACCTGAAAAGATAGCTCATCCAAGAAGATATTAAAGTGGCAAATAAGCATATGAAAAGATGTTCAACATCAGATGTCATTAGGGAATTTCAAATTAAGATGACAATGAGATACCACTACAAATATATTAGAATGGGCAAAATTCAGCACACTGACATCACGTGCTGGCAAGAATGTAGAGCAAAAGGAACTCTCTTGCATTGTGGATGGGAATGCAAAACTAGTGCAGCCCTTTGGAAGACAGTTTGGCAATGTCTTAAAAAACAATATAATCTTACTGTATGATCTGTAAATTATGCTCCTTAACATTTACCCAAATGAATTGAAAAATTATGCCAACACTGAAGTTTGGACAGTCATTTATGGCAGCCTTATTCACACTTGTGAAAACTTGGAAGGCACCAAGATATCCTTTAGTGGCTAAATGAATAAATTAACTGTGATGTATCCAGACAATAGAATATTATTCAGTGCTAAGAAGAAATGAGATATTAAGCCATGAAAAGACATGGAAGAAATTTAAATATATATTAATAAGTGAAAGAAGTCAATCTGAAAAGGCTATATACTGTATAATTCCAACAATATGCCATTCTGGAAAAGACAAAACTATGGAAATAGTAAAAATGTCAGTGGTTGCCAGGAGTAATGGTGGAGAAGAGAATGAATAGGTGGAGCACAGAGGATTTTTAGAGCAATGGAACTGTTCTGTATGCTGCTATAATGGTGGATACATACTATACTTTTGTCAAAACCCATAGAATGTACAACAACAAGACTGAACCCAAATATTAACTATGTGTTTGGGGTGATGATGTATTATTGTAAATTCATCAATTATAACTGTATTGTGGGATGTTGATAATGAGGGATCTTGTGCATGTGTTGGGGATGGGGATATATGGGGACTCTGTATTTTCCTTTCAGTTTTACTATGAACCTAAAACAACTCTAAAAAACAAAGTCTATTAAAGATTGATTTTATTGTTTGTTTGTTTGTTTTTGTTTTTTGTTTTGTTTTGTTTTGAGATGGAGTCTCGCTCTGTCGCCCAGGCTGGAGTGCAATGGCATGATCTCAGCTCACTACAAGCTCCGTCTCCCGGGTTCACGCCATTCTCCTGCCTCAGCCTCCCGAGTAGCTGGGGCTGCAGGTGCCTGCCACCACGCTGGGCTAATTTTTTGGTATTTTTAGTAGAGACGAGGTTTCACCATGTTAGCCAGGATGGTCTTGATCTCCTGACCTCGTGATCCGCCCACCTCAGCCTCCCAAAGTGCTGGGATTACAGGGGTGAGCCACCGCACCCGGTCTAAAGATTGATTTTAAAAATTGAAAATGATACATTATATGATGTGTTGGTAAGCTAGAGGTTTACATTTCTCTAGGGAAGCTTGGAAATGAAATAGTGATAAATATATAGAAAACTAATCAATTTTTTTAAAAAAACTAGGAGGAAAATTTAAAAAGAAAGAAAATACATTTGGTTCAGATTCAAACATTGCTTACATACTCATAAATACTAAATACTGATTTAATTCCTTTTAGTATTGTGTTTTAATGTTTTACCTTGATAAATTGGGAAGATTGAAACTAAATGAAAAATACCACTGGTATAAGTACATCAGAAAGACATGTGGAAGCGAACTCATGTGTGTGTGTGTGTGTGTGTGTGTGTGTGTGTGTGTGTGTGTTCAGGATGGCTTCTAGTTGATAATACCAGAAGAAAAATTGCTAAAAGCATTGAAAAATCTAATAATTAGTGATCACAATATTTTTTGAGAAAAATGATTATTGTGTTTATTATAATTGAATTATAATAGATTTGTCAAAAAGGTTTTCTAACAAAATGAAAGCAGAAGATTATGGGCTAAGCAGCCTAAATCTAGCTAAAGTGGGCACTATGAACTCAGCTGTAGGTACTGAGAGCAATAGCAAGCAAAGACACTATGGATCTGTATTTTTCAAGAACAGGAATGTTTCTAGAAGGAAAGATTAAAAAAAATTGCAACAGACTGAATATGTCCCCTCAAGTTCCCATATGTTGTAAACCTAACCTGCAGTGAGATAGTATTAGAAGGAGGGACTTGGGAAGTAGTTAGGTCATGAGAATGTAGCTGTTGTAAATGAGATTAGTGCCCTTATAAAAGAGGCCCTAGGGAACGCTCTCATCTTCTTCTCTATATGTGAGGATACAAGGAGAAGTTGGCAGTTTGCAACCCAGAAGAAGACCCTCAACAGAACCTGACACCACTGGTACCTTAATCTCAGACTTCTAGCCTCCAGAGAAATAAACATCTGTTGTGTATAATCCACCCTGTCTATGATACTCTGTTGTAGCAACCTTAGCATACTAACAAATAGTAGCCACAAATTTGAGAAGTCACTGGACTAAAGCCTGAGGTGAGGAAGGCCTAGCTGCTGATAAACTCTATGAAAAGTAGACCTTGACTATAGGTTGGAAGAGTTTTTCTAACATGAAAAGTTTGACATTGAGATACTTGACATAAATATCAGGATTTCTCTATGAAATGAAACTTTAATGGTTATTAAGGTGTGATGGGTTAATGTGATGGGTTCATGATGACTCTTTCAAAGATACATCCACATCGTAATCCCCAGACTCTGTGACTGTTGCCTTATTTCTAAAAAGGGTATTTGCAGATGTAATTAAATTAAGGACTTTGAGATGAGGAGATGATCCTGGATTACCTTGTAAATCCAGTTGTAAATGTCCTTACAAGAAGCACACAGATGAGAAGGCAAACACAGAGAAGAGGCAATGGGAAGACAGAGACAGAGGTTGGAGTGATGTGGCCATAAGCCAAGGGAGCCAAGGAATGCCCCCAGTCACCTGGAGCTGAAAGAAGTAAGGAAACATTCTCTCCTAGAGCCCCAAGAGGGCCCAAGCCTGTCAATACATTGACTTCAGACTTCTGCCCTCCAGAGGGAAGAAACCTTTGTATTCAGCCACTAAGTTCACAGTGCTTTGTTACAGAAGCCACCTGAATCTATTAATAAGGCATTTTATATATATATATATATATATATGTATATATATATATAAAATGTAGGGCAAAAAATAAATATTAGGCATAGGAGGCAATGCACACACACACACACACAAATTAGGATGGGCAGTGGGGATGCAGGCTATGACTATGTCTGTGATATTCCTTCAAACTCTTTAAAATAGATGGTAAGGTAGCTTTTAGTCTTCCTTTGTGACTCCTGCTATACTTTTCCTTTCAGGCAAAAAGAAAAGAGATAGAGATAGAGATAAATATAGATATAGAATGGATATAAATAAATTTATATCAGCATCGATTACATTTACACAGGTTGATTCTTAACTTTTTTGGAGATATCTAATTAAAACACCTCACCACCATACTGCTATTTTCCATCTATTTTGATGTGAATTTGCTCTTTTGTGTATAATATGGTTAAAACAAATCTGACAAATTACTTTAAATGACACTTTAGTGGTGATATTTCTCAGCACATATTTGTATTTTATTAAGGGACTACTGGAAACAATACAAAAAAAAGGTTAATTGCTTATTTTGGAGTTTTTCTTGGATTTCAACTTTAAAGAACAGAAATTCAGGTCAGCAGGGACAGTGCCATCCTCAGGTTTCGATAAAGTGGAGGTCATCATTCCAATTTCCCTGCTGCAGTTTGTGTTTAAAAAAAAGATATGTGTGTGTGTGTGCGTGTGTCTGTGTGTGTCTGTATGTGTTGAAATATTTTATCAGTGAACTGAAATTTATTACTAAAAGGAAACTGTAGGTGTTATTAACCTCTCTTTCCCCCCTTCTTTTTTTATTTCTTCCATATGGAAGCAGAAAACAAAGCTTATAAAAATCATAACTTCAAGCAATTCCAATAAATTAGCATAGTTTATAGCAGAGTAAACCTTCTGATTGGTTATATACTTTAAACTTAATTTCATTTTTCCTCATAAGAAGACACGAGCTATGAGATAACAATTCTTTTTTCTGTTTGTTACTAAAATCTAATGTTTTGTGATATTATAAAATCCCTCTCCATTTTGATTTCTGAGGGTTAAAAAGATATATTGTGTTAGCTTAATCCATTGCCTTTCAAAAAATTATAACTGTGTAAACCAAGAGTAGAATTAGAGTCCAGAAGATGATATAAATTTGTATTTACTCTTCCCTTAATACACGCTTAGGCCAATGACAAGTTCACCTTCCTTCAGGACCCAGAAGACTCTTTCCCTGAGCCACCCTTCCTCCTTCATTTTCAATTAGATCTCTTCCATGTATGGGTCTTGATCTCTATTTCTGAACTTGCAAAGTTTAGCAAAGCCTCCTACCCTGGAACCTACCATTTTGGGACCCACTTTACCCTCAGTTCTTCCCAGTTTTAATGTAAGCTCTTTGAGGACATAGACTTTTCGTATTTCTCTCTAAATCCCCAAATCTCAGAACTGTACCTGGCACACAAGTAGCAATTCAATAAACATTTGTTTGGTGAATAAATTCTCACAGGCATTAGATTGAAGTAACTAAAAGACAGAACTTTCTTCTGCTAATTATCACCATTCTTTGCTTAAAGATTTCAAGGGATTCGAATAAAAAGGACAAAGAAGGTGAAAGAGGACGAAAATTCCATCCTACTAGAATAGTAAACCACTTCTGGGAAGGGAGCCATCAGCCAGCACCTGGGAAATTGGATTACATGCTCAATGCTTATTGAGTGGGGTGCATTGATTGATTACATCTGTACCACTAACCAACTAAGATGAAATTATTTATCTGAAAGTTCAAACTAGAATAGTGGAGAATGCATTGGAGTATGGGCAATTAGGATTTTTTTTTTCAAAAAGGACTTTTATGATGGGCAGAGAGCAAGACAGACATGAGATAAATGAACACTTTATAAGATGGCACAACCATCAAAGCCCATGTGGCTGCCACAGAGATTAGGACAAGATGTTATCCGAGCCCAGTAGTGAAGAAGCCAAGTCACTGAAAGATGAAATCACATTAATGTCCAATGATAACAGTCCTCCGAAATAGGGATTTCCCCCTCTCCATAGGCTCCGAATTAATTGGGCATATAGGAAAATTATTGCAGTAGTGGGAGAGAGAAATCAGGGAGTAAAAGGAGGCAAAACATTAAATATAGGTATAAGAAAGGAAAAAAGGGGGACAAAAATCCCAGGACAGCCTAAAGTCATAGCTTTCTTAACCAAATGGGGCAAAGAGCTCTGAGGAAAGTGAGAGTCACAGTTGGAGACCAGAGCAGAACCAGGTGACAGATAAGAGCATAAACTCAAAAAGAAAAACTAGAAAGCAGTCTCTGGGGGAATGGAGGTTCCCAGTGACCCACCCACCTTATCTAGCTAAAGGGAAAACACACATACCAGAGGTTGGGTGTCCCTGACTTCTTTCCTTGGACATTTGTCCTGAGAACTTTTTCTAGCCAAGTCCCTGTATAGCTTCACCTCGCTCATTTTTAAAAATGCCATTTTGCCATACAATAGCTTCTCCTTCTATCTTTCTGTTACTTTTCTTTATTTCAATTTTGTTTTCTCTTAACCCCTTAATGAATTCATTTTGTCAAATTATAACTTGCTCAGAAGGAACCAAGGTAAAATATTTTTCATCTCTTACCTTGAACAGGAAGTCAAAATAGCCTCAAAGTTGGTTTATGGTGGTGGTGGCAATGAATAAAATCCTCCGAACTTGATGAGTGGGTCCTCATGAGGAAGTAGCAGATAACTGTGGTAAAATGAACTCCAGGAACTAGATCTTAAGAAGGGGCTCAGATTATTGCATCTTTCCCTTTTTACATATAGAACATGGGGAAAAGCAGTAGAAAATAGTAGAATTGCATATTAAATGTCATTCAAATGTCCATTTAAGGTAACTGAAACTCTACAATGAGAAATGACTATGCAACAAGTATAAAAGTTTTATGGGATAAACTTTTAAAGTCCTGAAGTTTTTCTAGATTAAGAAATGAAAACTAAACATTTTAGGTATGCTTAGTAACATTTTATTAGTTCAGGTGCTCAAATGTGTACAAATAACCAAGTTCCTTCAAATGCTAACCCTATAAGATGAAATTCTGAACACAATTATATCCCTTGCATTATATGTGGGAGAGAAGTACTTGAACAATATTATACAAGAAACTGTCTTTCTCCCAGTTCATTAAATTCATTCTATCTTAGGAAAGCCATGTTAGCCTTTAGAAAAAAAATTAATTATTTGGAAGGGACCTGGCCAATGAGGTGCTTTGGTTAGCAGCCATTTGGTAATTGGAAGAGTAGCTCAGGTGAGTATAATCTGATGTCCATTGTTGGGCTTCAGAAAGTTTATATACCTTTTGAAATGATCAGCATTTCAGAATTAAAAATGCTATTTTGAAACATAACTTCCTTCTAAGAAAGTTTAATGTGTTAAGAGAAATGATGAGGTCTCAGGAAATGCTTGGTGCTTCTTGAAGAGTAGATGGCATCTTTGTTGGGATGAGCATCTCAATCTGTTTTCTTCCAAACATGTTCTGGGAAGAGAATCCCATGGTTTCTTCCATGTAATGTACATGGGAGAAAAGGAATAATTGAAAAGAAAATAAACTAATAGGAAAACTTTTTAAAAAGTAATTGTATATTGCATATTTCCAGACTTCCTTTGTATTTTTAAAAATCTTCATGTGCCTCTTTTTTACAAAGACATGTCAATATCTCCAGGAAATTAAGTTTCTTTTTTGGCATTTCCTATTTTCCTTCTTTCTAGTTATTGTACTTTGACATTGCTGCAAAGATCTTTTCAGAGCCAAGATAATCCATCCTTTCCCTGGATTTCCTTTTTAAATCTTAAAGACAAATTCTTTGGCCTTCCTTTGTGAAACTCACTTCACAAATTTCCATTAGATATGGACTAGCAACACACCCAAGGGAATATCGTCTGCCCCTTGAACATCTGTATATGCCTGGGATGTGAGTTCATGGATGGTTTAAACCTGTCCTAAACCAATTTGCTCATTACAACTTTTAGCTTAATTGTGGTAGTTAATGTTAGCTGCCAATAGAGGTGGTGGAGGGTTAACTAACATGTACAAACTTGCTAATGGTTTATAATAAAAATGAGTCTCAAACTAAAATCTGCTACAAACACATGTATTAAACAAATATTTATTAGCAAGTGGGCACAAAACAGCATAAAACCATTCATACAGCTTATTCTGTAAACTCTATGAAATTCCAGTTCTCTGGACCCTGAAGAGATTTGAACACAACTTGCATGAGAGGTTCATTTGATACTGAAACAATATTCTGGCAGGAACATTCCAGAGGCAGTACCTTCAGAGATTACCCTTAAGGATACAACCTTACAAGACTCTTATATCTTGTTCATGCAATGGAGAGAAAGTGTTCTAAAATTTTTTTCTAATATATATGTGTGTGTGTGTGTGTGTGTGTGTGTGTGTGTTTTGAAATATATATCTCAAAATAAAGAATATATATAGAATATATATATTAGACTATATATATAGAACATATATTAGAATATATCCTGTATATGTTCTACATGTATAATCTAATATATATTCTATATATATCAAAAACACTAATTTCACTATAAGACAATATCTAACCTTTATATATACATATCAGGAACACTAATCTCACTAAGAAGGCAATATCTAACCTTTATATGTACATATCAGGAACACTAATTTCACTAAGAAGGCAATATCTAACCTTTATATATACATATCAGGAACACTAATTTCACTAATAAGGCAATATCTAACCTTTGTTACACTAATCAGGAAAGCCTTTGGTGTTGATGGGAGATACAGATATCGAAAGCATTTGTACCATAGCTTCATCTAAGGGGCAACTTTTCTTAAATGTTAACAGACAATACCTAAATTGTGAATTTCTGATTGGGGGAACTGGTTACCCTAGAATTTATCTCAAACTAAAACAAACATATTCTCACACTTTCAAGGCTGAAATGCTTGACAGTAAAATACATATGTCACAACAGCCTCTTAAGCAAGTCTTTCATTCTTGAGACATCTACCCATGACCCCTTCTAAGCTAAATCAGCTTCTTTACACCACATGCAAAGAGCAGCATTTGGGGAGTTGGGAGAGTGGAATGTTTGGTGGAAGGAAGACTGCCCAGAGGTAAGGTGGGAGCCCGGCAGCTTGAAAGCCAAGCATGAGGAACATATATGGGTCCACTCAGCAAGCAGAACCCAAATGTTAGTCCTGGCAGCCTAGGGTTTACACAAGTTCACAATTTAACACACCTCTAACAGGACACATGGCTTAGTCCATTTAGTGTGGTTGTAAAGGAATATCCGAGGCTGAGTAGTTTATAAAGAAAAGAGATTTATTTAGCTCATGGTTCCGCAGGCTGTACAAGAAGCATGGGCCAGGCATGGTGGGTCACACCTGTAATCCTTGTGTTTTGGGAGGCCAAGGTAGGAAGACTGATTGAGGCTAAGAGTTCAAGACCAGCGTGGGCAACATAGTGAGACCCTATCTCTACAAAAATTTTAAAATTTGGCCAGGCATGGTAGTGCATGCTTATAGTCCAAGCTATTTGAGAGGCTGAGGCAGGAGGATCTCTTGAGCCCAGGAGTTTGAGGGTGAGGGTGCAGTGAGCTATGATCTTGCCACTACACTTTGGCAGTCTAGCCTGGGCAACAGAGTAAGACACTGTCTCAAAAAAAAAAAAAAAAAAAAAAAGCATGGTGCAGGGATCTGGTTTGGCTTCTGGCCTGGGCTTTTGTGCTGCATCAAAAAGTGGTGGAGAAGGTCAAAGGGGAAGTAGGCATGTGCAAAGAGAGACCAAACCTGAGATCCTGGAACTAATCCAAGCCCATCAGAACCAATCCTATCTCAGGAGAGTGAAGACTCACTATCATGAGAACAGCACCAAGCCATTCATGAGAGATCTGCCCTCATGATCCAAACACCTCCCACTAGTCCCACCTCCCAACACAGCCACACAGGATCAAACTTCCACCTGTGATTTGGTGAAGACAAACAAATCATATGCAAACCATAGCAAGTTGTCACCTTCCTTGGGGATTAGCTCTCTTTCTGAATGGCAATTTCTGGCAATAGTGCTTTCTACTTTCTCTGTCATCCAGGGTCATAATCTTGATAAATTTTGTCTCTACAATTTTCACATTGAATTATAAATCCTGTCTATTCTTCCTTTATAAGACTTCCTTTAAAAGACTACATAATTTGTGGGGTCTCAGTGCACAATGAAAATGCAAGACCTTTATTCAAAAAGCAGAAAGAAAGATACTGTTAAAGGAATTAAATGGTCTTACCATGGTCTTTCTCTTTCCATCTGTCATGGTGTTTTTTATTTGAGATTTAATGTCCCACTCCCTCAGGCATAAGGTCCTGCAGGCCCTTCCCAAGGTAATTGATGGCTGGGTTGCCCCTCCCACTATCTGCTGGATCACATTCCAGGGCTCAAAGTCCTCTGCCCAACTCCCAGGGAACAGGAACCCACATAATTGCAACTTCCCTGCTAGGATGTGTTCATTACCTGGATTGGGGAAGGACAAGAAGCTCACTCCCATAGAATTGCCCATTGAGCACAACAAGGCCCCACCATCTAGGGCTGGGACAGCTGCCTCCAGGCCCTCCTGTGTGATGCCACAAGACGTGCATGCCCAACTGTGATCCTCCCCATGCTGTACCAAGCCCCACCGTGGTCATAGGGCAGCAATAGACACTAGACTCAAGCAGGGAGGAGGAAGTCAGACAGGGCTTAGAACACCAGGAAATGGTAAGGTTGGAACCAGAGAAACTGTTTTGGGGAGAAGAGATTGTGGGAGGTGAGATTGTGTGTGAGCAGTAGCTCCAAGCCTTCCCCATTGTCCCATTAGGTTTTACTTACAAAGCACAGATTCAAAGAGAAAATTATTAAGAATTTTAAGATAGTGACACAGAGCATTAAAAGTCAAGCCGGGCCCCGCAGAGATTAGGACGCTTCTAAGTTCGCTCATGAAGCCTGCCTCTGGGTATCTCCCATATCCTTCCATTTCTTCAATTCCCATTGTTCCTGGTTAAACTCAGACCTTTATCTCTTCTGACCTGCTCTATGCCAGAGCTCTCTAGCTGATCCCTGCCTTTGGACGGTTCCCTGCCAGAGTTCCACAAATACAATCAATCAGTGACACTGCTGGTTAAGAAACCTCCCATGGTTTTCCATACTCTTTTATTGTTGTTGTTTTGTTTTGTTTTGAGATGAAGTCTCCCTCTTGTGCCCCAGGCTGGAGTGCAATGGCGAAATCTCGGCTCACTGCAACCTCTGCCTCCCGGGTTCAAGTGATTCTCCTGCCTCAGCCTCCTGAGTAGCTGGGATTACAGGCGCTTGCCACTGCGCCCGGCTAATTTTTGTATTTTTAGTAGAGACAGGGTTTCACCATGTTGGCCAGGCTGGTCTTGTACTCCTAACCTCAGGTGATCCGCCCGCCTCGGTCTCCCAAAGTGCTGGGATTACTGAGCCACCGTGCCTGGCCGGTTTTCCATATTCTTAAGCTTCTTTAGATGCCCTTTGGCATCTAGCCTCAATGTAAATGTTCTAGTCGTATAACACAATATTAGGCATTTGTCCTGGCCATTTTAATTTCCTGAATGCTTGCATTTGAACACAGTGGTTATTTCCACCACAGTGCTTTTATTCCTTAAAACCAAAATGCAATCCACCAGCCTTTCAGGTCCATCTCAAGCTACCTTGCTTTTTCATAAGGCCCCTGGAAAATCTACCTAAATCTAGTTTACAATGGATCAGCCTTCTCTCATCTACTGCCTCGACCACTGTCCTCACTTGTACTTATGCATTCTTTCTATCTACTGTCCTTAAGCTTTGGCATATCCCCTCAATGTGACTACAAGCTATTCAGATATCATAGTGTGTGGATTGTCTTTCACAGGATGGTGCCACATTCCTATTAGGGGCTCAAAGAACATTTCTTGAAAGAATAAATGGATGAATTGATTATCATTCATTGTAGTGGGTTGAATGGTGCCCTCCCCACTCCCGCCCCCCACCCACCGCCCCACATACAAAAGATATGTCCATGTCCTCACCCCTGAAACTTTTAAAGTTTGAAAAAAAAAAAAAAAAGGTTATTTGCAGAAGTAATTAAATTAAGGGTCTTGAGATGAGATCATCCTGGATTGCCCAGGTGGACCCTAAATCCAATGACAAGTATTCTTTTTTTTTTTTTTTTTTGAGACAGAGTCTCACTCTGTTGCCAGGCTGGAGTGCTGTGGCATGATCTCGGCTCACTGCAACCTCCGACTCCCTGGTTCAAGCGATTCTCCTGCCTCAGCCTCCTGAGTAGCTGGGATTACACGCACGCACCACCACGCCTGGCTAATTTTTGTATTTTTAGTAGAGACAGAGTTTCACCGTATTGGCCAGGATGGTCTCGATCTCCTGACCTCGTGATCCACCCGCCTTGGCCTCCCGAAGTGCTGGGATTACAGGCATGAGCCACCGCGCCCAGCTGACAAGTATTCTTATAAGACACAGAAAAGGAGAAGACACAGAGAGAAGAGGAGAAGTTCATGTGAAGATGGATGCATTGATTGTCACGATGCATCCACAGGCCTAGAGAGCCTGCGTTGCCACCATGGAATTCCTGGAGCAACCAGAAGCTTTAAGAGGCAGGGAAGCATTCTCCCTAGAGCCTCCAAAGGGAACTCAGCCCAGCCAACATCTTGATTTCAGACTTCTCTTCTCCAGGATAGTGAAAGAGTAAATTTCTGCTGTATAAACCATCTAGTTTGTGGTAATTTGTTACGGCAGTTCTAGGAAACTAATACATATTCTATTCCCTTGGGCTGTTTGTAGAAATTAGTCTCCATGGATAATGGTAGAACCATTTTTATGTTACAGGCTGAAGGGGCAATTGACCCAGGCACTTTGCATAATATGTACTATCTGAAATCTTTAAAATGGCAGGTGCAAAATCCCTTAAGCTCTGTCAAAATCTGACATTCAAATTACACGATTCTTCAAGTATGCTGTCTTACTCTGCTAGTCATAAGTCCCTCTGGTGTGTTCTTAATTAAGCTTTTTATTTTTAGATCATTATAGATTCACATGTAATTCTAAGCAGTAATGGATCTATGTACCCTTTATCCAGTTTCTTCAAATGGTAACATCTTATAAAATTATTGTGCAATGTAACAACCAGGATACCCACAGAGATAAAATCCACTTATCTTATTCAGATGTCCCCAGTTTTAATAGCACTGATTTGTGTGTATGATTTTGGTCTATGTAATTTGATCCCCTGTGTTGGTTGTGTATCCACCACCACAGCTGAGACACAGAGCTATTCTATTGCCGCCAGGATCCCTCATGATGCCCTTTTGAAAACACACCCACTTTCTTCTCTCTTCTCTCCTAGCCTTGAGGATAACAAATGGGTGAATCTTAAGAGAATTATGCTGAATGAAAAAAGCCAATCCCAAAAGACTACATACTGCGTGATAACATTTCTATAACATTCTTAAAATGACAAAACGATAGTGATGGATAACAGGTTAGTGGTTGCCAGGAGGTGTGTATTCTCTTGAAAGTGAGATGTATTTCAAATTTTCAGGGGTCATGTATGATTCCAAATTGTCCTGTATAGCAAATTAATTTATTAATTTAATAGACTTGTGGAGAAATCATCTGTGTACCTGCTTCTATTCAGATGCTGGAAATATTCCATCACTATTTCAGGAAATGCTCAAAGATAACAAGTGAGAAGCATGAAAATGGAATCATATGTTAAGCCCTTGGTGAGATCTACCATGAATGAGAAGCTCCAATTAAAAGTTCTGTCTCCCTCAAGGAACTGTGAAAAACTATGAGAGGATTTGTCATCTGAGTTGAGGATTTGGGAGAGTAAGCAGCTTAGGTTGTTCAGATACAGGTGCAAAGAGTGAAGCATGTGGCCTCTGGAGTCCTGGAAGAAGGCAAATGGACCAGTAATGAGTATGAGCACTCAGTAGGTGTACCACTGGTGATGGAGAGATGACAGTTCTGCTGGGCTGGATGGAAGCAATGGAAATGAGGAGGTGGAAAATGTCAGCTCCTATGAATCAGTGAAGGCTGTGTGTGAAGGGTAGTAGTGTAGAAAAGAACAACAACAACAACAAAAGTAAAAATAAAATAAAATAAAATAAAAAATTCTGCAAAAGGAGTCCCATGTCTTAGTGCTGAAGTAAGACCGTGCAAATGAGTTCTAGGACAACTGGCGGCTTGAGCTGATAAGCAGATACTTCACCAAAGTTTTGCATGCAAATCAGGGGAGGGTGGGTAATGGCATTTAAGAATTATTTGGGACCATAGATCTGATGTGGCAAATGAATTGCACCTCCAATACTAAAAACTATACTAAACATTCTCCAATACCAAAACAAAATGGAACAAACTAACTAAAAATCTGTGAGAGGATTGCTATTGTTCTCATTTACAGGGAAGAACTGGTTTAGACAGACTAAGCACCTGGGCTGAGGTCACTTAGAATCAATTAATAGATGTAACCAAGATCCAAATTATCTGTCTGACTTCAAGTCCAACCCTCTCACTTCAGTCCTTTCAATGAGTTCAACAATGATCGGGGGCAGGGTGGCCTGGAGGTGTAGAAAAGATGAAGAGATGGGGAATTTCAGAAGGTGAGATTATCCTGGAATCTATAGAATCTGAAAGTTAGTTAATTCCCCATGCTTGATTTTTCAAAGTAAAGTGAGCAGTTTTCTTGGTTTTGGCTTCATGAATAGAGATGGAAAATTTGACTATTGGATAAAACGCTATGAAATACCAGATGCTATATTTGAGCAGAGCTTCTCTGAGTAAATAAATTACACTTAAAAATATGTCCAAGCCTCAGCAAGGCCACAACAGTTCTACAGAAAATATTTCAAAATAAAAGTGCAAAAAATGAGCAGCTTAGGGATTCATAAGTAACCTTTCCTATTTAATCAGGAAACAAGTTCAAAATAGTACAGATGTGGTACCTTTTGTGTGGTGGTGAGGGGTGGGAGAGTGACCTAGAATTGGAAATGCAGTTAGTGAAACATATTTGGAAGGTTAGGCTGATTCCAGCTTCCTATCTAGGTCACAGGTACATCAGGGAAAAGCATTGTTGCACATAAAATACTGCCAGCCTGTAAGTTTTGAAGGTCAATGTCATTGTCTAGAATTCCAATGTTTCCATCTAATTCCTTGGAACAAGTATTATTGAAATAAGTCATATTAGGAAAAATAGCCAACAAATTTATGAGACTATATAATACCTGAAAAAGCACACAAAGATTGCAATAACAATATGCAGTGTATATATACATATACATATATATTTATTTTGTGTTTGTTTTTCTATTGTATATTTCTTAGACTTGTTATGACCACATGGGATTTTGGCCTGCTGGAGTGTGTTGCTGAACTATCTGTAGTGACCATGAAATTCACCAGAGAACGGGTCTTTATGCAATACTAACAATTGAATGATGTTTTGCTACTCATATTTCTACTGTTTTGCCTTTCAAAGCAAACAATGCATTCCAATTTAATGTAACTAGAGATCTTAATGTTTAATAAAAATGCCGTCGTCACAGTGAGTCCTTTTGTGCTTAGACTAAAGGGTTCCCATAGTCAGTTCTTAATAAAGAACTGAAGTTACAGACTTAAGCAATTATGTTGTAGGAAAACAGACACTTTTTTCAGTATTTGTTCAGTTGCTTCTTCTCTGAGAGTTTTTTGGTAGACTTTTTAAAAAATGGAATGTGGATAGAAGTGTTTTCAGATGACTTAATATGAAGCTTACTCATTGTACTTACTTAGATTTATATGAACGTTAGGGGTGTAGTCACATTTTCCCATTTATTCTGTGGCAGTGAAAAACATAAAGCATTTTTCTCCAGAAGTCTGATAAATATAAATTTCTAAACACCTTATACACTATGTGTGTATTGTGTATATGCAAGGTGTGTATGTGTCTGTGTGTGTGTGTGTGTGTGTGTGTGTGTGTGTGTGTGTGCGTGTGATATATTTAGGCAAATCCACGGTTACTGCATCATTGTTTGGCATTACCAACAGTTAACACTGCCATATAAGACTTCAAAAAAAGTATTTTGTAGAATATGATGCTGAGTCAGAAATTTTTCTAGAAGGTAATATTTTATGACAGAATTATAAATTAGTCTTCAGAGGAAGCCACTAGTAACCTTAATAGTTGCTTATAATTCACATTTGTGAACAATTTCAAGGAAAGGGAAGTTATTTTGCAGTCATGATTCCAATACATTTTTTAGATATGGGTTACCATATACAGTATATCATTTAACATGATTCATAAGCAAGACAAAAATGCTAAATTTTCCGACACTGAAAGACCTATTAAAACATCAAATCCAAACTAGAATCCCCTATGCAGTGAAATCAAAAGTCAAATTTATTTGAATATTTATTTTTTATTCAATTCATTTAAAAATTCAAATTTTTATGGTATCTAGAATTTTCTTGTATGTTACTAGAAAAGTAATAGATTAAAAACTTAGAGTCTTTTTTGTGCAAAGATACATTTGCTGTAATGCCATTCTACTGTATCCTCCATGTTTCATAGTAAATTAAACCACATTTTATAGGCTGTGTTGCTAATGTATCAAATACAGTGCCATGAAATCTGTGCGCACTCCAGCTTTTTGAACTGTACTATTTTGCCCTTACAGGCAAGGATGAAGTTTAAGGGTTTTAAATTCACATTTTTATAAAAACTCTGAATAATAATTTTCAAATGACACTTAGATGTGGTATTTTAACCTGTATAGGTATAAAATTTGACACGTTTACTTTCAGTTTTATTATTTTACCTCTCTTTTTCTCTCTCTTCTGCTATATTCTTTAGAAGCTAGGCAAGTTTCTGGCCATCTTGCCACAGGTTTGAGTTTATAATCCAATATAAACATGCTTGAATATTTTAAAGTAATCCTACCCCCAGAGTTGGTCAACTCTTTTCCCCCTACAAATGTTTTCTTCCCTGATTCAGTTATTTATTGCTGTGTAAC
This sequence comes from Homo sapiens, assembly GCF_000001405.40. NCBI lineage: Eukaryota > Metazoa > Chordata > Mammalia > Primates > Hominidae > Homo > Homo sapiens. The sequence goes on along the minus strand of NC_000007.14, from coordinate 121,400,655 downwards.
AAACTACCACAATACTTAGTAAATTTTTTTAAGTATGTTATTTCTCAAGTTTCTGTGGGTTTGTTGGTCTAAGCTGGGCAGTTATGCTCCATGTGGTACTGTCTGGAGTTACTCATGTGATATACTCAGGTAGGAGCTTAGCTGGAGCTAGAACATGCAACACGACTTTACTCATATAGCTGGTGCCTTGGGGAAGTGGTTGGGATGGTGTGGATGGAGAGAGAGAGCTAGGCCTCTCTCTGCATGTAGTTTCTCATTATTCAGTAGTTGTCTGAGTTTCCTATATGGTGACTAGATCCTGAAGCTAGTGAAAATGGAAGCTGCAAGGTCTCTTAGGGTCTAAGCCCATAAGTCACATAAGATCTCCTCCATGCATTCTATGGGTCAGAATAAGTCCCGGGGCCAGCCTAGGTTCAAGAGAAGAGGACATAGATTGACCTCTTGATGGTAAAAAACAAAGTGGCATGAACTTACAGGAATGGGGGAATTGTTGGTAGCCATATTTGCCTATAATTTACTACTCCATATACAGAAAAATGATACCAAGTGGACTCTTCTTCTTGAGGGTGGGTGCAATTAAAATTCTGAGGCTTTTTGGAAATTTTGTATTTAACAATATTATCTAATTCTTATATATACATTTTTTATATATTCTTATATAGTTACAGTAATATAAAGCAGGTTATAGTTTTATATAAAATATGGCACCTATTGAGAGAATGAACATTCCTTTCTTTTAATCATGATTTGTGGTTTTGTTTTTAAGCCTTATGATCACATATAATTTTAAAATTTGTGTATATCTCCTCTACTTTAATCATTTTAAGTTGGCAAAAGCACCATTCCCAATCACAAATACACAGCAGTTCTACGATTTTCTGTTTCTGAATGGCTTTTTTTTTTTTTTTTTTGAGACAGAGTCTCACTCTGTGGCCCAGGCTGGAGTGCAGTGGTGCGATCTCAGCTCACTGCAAGCTCTGCCTCCCGGGTTCACGTCATTCTCCTGCCTCAGCCTCCCCAGTAGCTGGGACTACAGGTGCCCGCCACTACGCCCGGCTAATTTTTTGTATTTTTAGTAGAGACGAGTTTCACCGTGTTAGCCAGGATGGTCTCAATCTCCTGACCTCATGATCTACCACGCCCAGCCTCTGAATGGCTGTTTAAAGACAATCCTAAATTATAACTTAGTTTGACTTAGATTGTAAATAATTCAAGAGTGAAGTTTAACTTGCTACTATTTTAAAAGCATATTATCTTACAGATCATCTATAAAATGTGAGAAGTGTTAAATAATCTTTATTTGATATTACACATACACCACACTAAAATGCCTTTCAATAAGTAAAAGGAACTATTTTAAATACAGGGAATTCTAATTAGATTGACATAGTTAAGGCCAAAAATATAAAGTAGACATTGCTACCTTATCTTCAACCCTTGCCTTTAAGAGGCAAATGAACACAAAACACAGGTGAATCTTGCTTGGTTCTGAGATAGTGAAGGAATTTCTCCAGTATTTAAATATATTCACATAACCAGTTATATAAATCCAAATATAAAACCAATCTCCAATATGTTTTAAGATGGCATTCACCATCTTTGTGAAAAGCTGAACATTACTAACAAAGTCTAATCAAATCATGTCTTTAGAAAGGGTAAACAGTGATAGCATTTACTGAATTGGATTACTATTAAAATTCAAAAAAACTGAACATATTCATTTAACTGCAAGCCAGTCTTAGTTTTACATCAGGACTGCCCAACAAAATATTCTGTCAGTTATTCATGATCTGAATTCTGGTGTGTGAGGTCTATTAAATTATGGTACACATAAAAAAGTCATAAGACATTTCTGTTTTGTAATAAATAAGGCAGTGGCCAATTATTATTCATTAGTAGCTTTTTTGAGATAAGCTATCAAGTCTGCTCTTTCTGCCTTCTTCTTAATGCTGGCAAAGATCACTTTGTTCCAGAGATGTGCTTCTTGGGATTCTCCAAATACTCCATCAGTGTATCCTCTCCCCAGGTGATGCCTTTGTTCTTAATGGCATCTGTGTAAAATAATCCAACGGCTTGACCTGTCTTCCATCCGAAGAGACCATGGAGATTAGGCCCAGTCCTGTGCTTGCCTGCCTTTTCCACAGTGTGGCACTGGGCACACTTCTGAATACAAATCTTCTTGCCTTTCTCAACATCATCCATATTTAATCCTCTCTTTTGTTGCTTGTGCTATGAAGGATGACACTCAGAAGCTGGATGTCACACTCTCTGTATATTCTTTTCGAGTCAACAAAAAAGTTGGGCTTTGAAGTTGAGCACGTGAGTTTGAATCTTAGCTCTGTCTGGTCATAGCAGAAGGACCTTGAGCAAGTTTCACTTTTCTCCGCTGTATTTATAGGATTATTGTGAGAATTAAATAAGTCTATATATATAAAGTGCTTAGAAAAGTGCCTGGTGCACAATAAGCACACAATAAATATCAGCTTTAGAAATATACATTATCAGTAGCTATTATTATATAATATAAATTATCGGTAGTTATTGTAATAGCCAACACCTTTGGCTTATACCTCCTGGAGCTGTAAAGCTCTGTGGTTTTATTAAGCTTAATCATTAATCCTGAATACTTCTCCTGGCTCCCCTACCTCCTGCCAAGTAAAAGTAGGAAGTTATCCTTACTCGTTTATAGGTGTAAGAACTGGCTGATTAACAGGAGTCCTAAAGAAGTGATTTACCAATGTTAAAAAAATTGAAACCCATATTAAGAAATATAATTTCTACTGTATCCAGGACATAGACACACAGACACTCACCCACACATGATGCTGTACAAATGTTTCATGAAGAATACTTATCCTGAATTTATGCTTTGAACTGTTTTTTTTTTCTATTTTTCAGTGAATCAACAGCAACAAAATGTTGGTTGTGACCCATTGTTATTAATTTCATTACCTACCAAAGGGTTCTAAGCTATATCTTATGGTCAGTGGAGAATAGGCTACTAACACATTAAACTTTATGCACAGGAATTGTTTCAGGTGTGGTGCTATAAGAATATGTCACATGTAATTTCCAATCTGGTTGGCTCGGTTACAGAGCAGATTGCTCTTTCAGAAATACACCGTGACCTCCCTACTCAAGAGGCTTCATAAACTCTTTCAGTGAGACATAGCAGTCTAGGAGAGGCATGTGTACAGTAAGTGTTATGATTTTTTGGTACTATAATAAGCAAAGTGCCTTTTTGTTTATTTGGAGCTACATGAAGCTAGGCCGGAATTCCAGCTTCATAACTTACTATCTTGTATTTTTGAGCAAGATATTTAAACTCAGTTTTGGAGTCTTAGTTTTTTGATTTAAGTAATACACAAATAGCATAATATTGGCACATGGAAGACAATGAGAATTCATTTCATGCTTTCTCCCCTGATCACGGATCACAAACTCCAGAATTCATAGTTACTATTAGTTTGTGTGTTTTATATTTTTGGAGGAAAGCTAAAATTTGGTAGATTATTAATTCTATATTAACACACTATAGTCAAACCCTATTTTTAAATGCAATTTAATTTCTGCAACCACTGATGATCCCAATATTCTGTCAAATACTAGGTAACAGTTATTCATTATTTTAGAATATGGATCTGAATTATGAAATAATTTTGCATTCTAAGGTCTTATGTAGTAAGATTTGGATTAACTTCCCAATTATCAACACAATTGTAGGAAATCTCCTGAGAAAAAATATTTCTAACGATTGTGTATCTTATAATTTAAAAAATAAACGTGACTTGGAAAATGCAAGGACTACTGTTCTTCTTGGGTGGTGCATTAAAGGTGATCAGAATTCTAATGACGCTGGACAGTAGGATTTTCAGAATCAGTTTCCTAGGGTTCAAGAAGTCAAACGGCAAATAACCCAAGGTCCTTGGTTGATCTGACCATCTCAGCTATCTCAAGATATATAAGATGACCTAACTGGCGCATCTCTAGGATGGGTGGGTCATTTAAAATGTTCTGCCCTTGAGGCTGGGATTTTGTGCGTGTAAACGGTGGGGAGACGGCGGTGACACATTTTTCTCCCTCCCGTAGTGCCACCCGGCGCAGGGCCGCTGCGGCGGCGGCAGCTCCCACGTGGCAAGTTCAGATTGTGCAGCGCCTGGCCGGGGGCGGTGGGCGGGACCGCAGACCCCTCCCTCCGCTCTCCGGCCCTTCCCTCTGGCCGGCCCGGGCGCCCGCTTGGTCCTCCACCGCCAGGGGGCGGGCGCGGCTTCCCGGCGGCGGGGGCCCATTGGTCGCGGCCGGGAAGCGTGGGAGGAGGCCCAGCGGCGAGCTGGCTTTCTCCTGGCCACTTGCCGGGGTGAGGGGCAGCCGGAGGAGTCCGAGAGGAAGCGGAGGCGCGAGCTGGAGGCGGCGGCTCCCGTCGGCCTCCGGCAGGACTGAGCGCTGGGAGGCCGGAAGGCGGGCGCGCGCGGCGGAGAGGCGGGCGGGAGGCCGGTGAGACGGCTGGGAGGCGGACGGAGCCGGGGCTCAGGTTCGGGGAGGGATGGAGGAGGCCGGGGAAGCCAGACGCCCACCTACGACTTCAGCCTCCGCGCACTGCGGTCACCGGCCGGGGGCGGGCCCCGGGCCCGGCCGCGTTGTCACGGCGTGTCCGGACGTTGGAGAGGGCGCAGGCGGGACTGGGGTCCCGGAGAGCCGCTGGCCGGGGTTCCCGGCCGCCGCCCCGGCGTGGGCATCCCCGGGCTCCGCGGAGACGGGGCGGCGTCTGCACCTGGCGCTGGCACTCGGCGCCCCGGCCTGGGGCGGGCACCTGGGTCGCATCTTCCCCAGGTTGGCTGTGGCTCGCGCCCCTGCAGCGTGTAGGCTGAGAGCTCCGAGAGGTGGGGACGGAGTTGGGTGTTGCATTCCAACTCCATAGGGGGCCGTTTTGACTCACTTGTAAAGTTTTAGTGTCGCCTATACTAGAGGTACTTTTGGTTTTTTACAAGCTATCCAGCCCTTTGATGTTTGGTGTCTCTTCTTTTTCTTCCTATTTGTTTGCTACTGCTCTCACAGCTCGGGACCACGGATGATGATTAGTGGCCCTAGATCTGAATATGTGAGTGACGGATTGGCAATTTGAGATTGAGAGCTCCAGCTGTTTTACTTGTGGGAGGAGCGGTTTCCATCATCCTCTACCTTTTTTTTTTTTAAGAAAAAATATTATTGCCTGTAATATAGAACTGCTATCTAATTGATAGGACTTTTCCTTTGTTTCTTTTTGGCCAACATGGTGAAACCTCGTCTCTACTAAAAAATAAAAAAATTAGCCAGGTGTATGTATCCATATATATATATGTATGTATGTATCCATATATATGTATGTATCCATATATATGTATGTATCCATATATATGTATGTATCCATATATATGTATGTATGTATCCATATATATGTATGTATCCGTATATATGTATGTATCCATGTATCCATATATATGTATGTATCCATATATATATGGATACAATGACATAAATAATATTAGATTGCTTACTGTGTACTAGGCACTGCCAAATGGTTTCGTGTGCTCATTTATTCTCACAACAGCTCAGTGAATAAGTCCCTTTATCTTTTCTAGTTTTACAGATGGAAATATGAACTCCCGAGAGTAAAGGTCAATGCTGATAGCAGAGGCCCCGACCCCTTGGACTTGTGGCCAATTTGCAGTTACGTTTTCTTAAGTCTTGGGAACCGTTACTATTAGTCATACAGTATCTTACAGAGTACCAGCAGATCTCTATTGAATTTAGAAAATAAAAGTTAATCACTTACTGAAAGCCATTTAACAAGAAATTGGCAGAATCAGCAAATCAGCATCCGGTTTTGGTCACTTCATCGACCTGTACCTCTTTCTAGAGGCTACTAGTAGTCTCTTGTGTTTCTTGGCTGTTTACCAATAAAGTCACAAGGTTTTCAGTTTTATACAGGTATTAGAAGCTTTGTTTCACAGATTCTTGTAATGTTTTCTCAACTCAATAAAGACTAGCATTTCTTCATAGGAAGAAATAAGAAGAGTTGGAGCCAATAAAAGGAGTTCAGTCCAGCAGTTCTCAACCTGAGGACCTCTCTGAATTACCAATGGGAACTTTGTAAGAGGGACACAGGACAGGTTCCTCAAAATCCTCATTGTAAGGGGCTTCTGTTTCAAAAGGGAGTAAAAATAAGACACTACTGGCTTAAAGTGACTTTAAAAATAAACTTAATGGATGTTTTATTACAATTACAGATTTTTAATGTGGATTGCTGCCTTAAGCATTGTCAACTAATCTTTCATAATTTATGAAGATACATTAAAAAGGAAAAGGAAATTGGAAAAGACAGCCAAAAGGCTAAGAGGCTATGGAATGGCAAAAAGTAATGTTCCCTGAGGGGGTATCAGAAGACTCATATATTTTCCACCATATATTTTAGGTTTTGAACGATTCATTTTTCAAAAATTTTTATACTCTTAAAAATACTGGAGTGCCTACCATGTACCAGTAATTGTAGATATCATGGATACTATGAATAAGACAGCCTGGGCACTCACAAAGCTACTTTATTTTCTCTAAAGCAGGGAATCTTTTTTATTTTTATTTTTATGCCCATTTCTTAAAGCTGAAAGGTGCAAGACCCAAATAGCAAAAGATTTTTATGTTAGCGCTGAGCTAGATAGATTTTTGTGCGACCTTGGTATAATAGCAAAAGTTTGTCTTGAATTTAGTCCAGAAGCGTCTCTGTTCTTGGGATCAGATGATCAGGATTTGAAGCATTGATTCTGTATTTAGTTATTTCAAGAGTGGCATTGACTAAATTACTTAATATCATGCAGTCCTTTTTAATCTGATTGAGTAGACTGAACCAGGTAATTTCCCAAAATCTTTGAACTTTTAAAAGGTTTTGTACTTTCTTTTAATGCAATTCTTTGAGACACAATCGGCTGACTTCCTCTCAGAGGAGGAAATTAAGTGTTGTAATACCCCTAAGTCTTTCCAGTGTACCCATTAATATTCTTTTTCTTCTTCATTGGCCTGCTCCATTTGATTGAAGCTATTCTTATATTTCCCTTATTTTTAATCTAATTTTGAAAATCCGCTATTCATGATTTTTCTAACTTCAGTGAGTTTTTTCTTCCAATTTTCTTTTTTAAATTAAATTCCTGTAACAGAATTTTTCATTTTATTTTTAAATTATTTACAAAGACAGGGTACCCCACTGTTCTGCAGACTGGAGTGCAGTGGTGTGATCATAACTCACTGTAGCCTTGAACTCCACCTTAGCCTGTGGAGTAGCTAGGTTTACAGGCATGTGCCACCACACACGACTAATTTTATAATTTTTTTTCTTAAAAGACGGGATCTTACTATTTTGCACAGGCTGGCCAAATCTGCCCTCAGGTGATCCTTCGACCTCAGCCTCCCAAAGCTCTGGGATTACAGACATGAGCCCCTATGCCTAGCCAGATTTTCCATTTTAAAGTGTGGCATTTAGCACGTTCATGATGTTATGAACCGTCACGTTTCTAAAACATTTTCATCACCCCAAAAGGAAACCCCATATTCATTAAGCAGTTGTTCATTCCCTTCTCCCTGCCAATCCTCGGCAACCACTGATCTGCTTTCTGCCCCCATAAATTTATCTATTCTGGATTTTCCTAAAAATTGAATAATTCAATATGTGTTCTTTTGTGTCTGGCTTCTTTCACTTAGCATGTTTTAGAGGTTCGTCCTCTAAATCAGCAGGTATCAGTACTTCATTCCTTTTTAAGGGTGAGTAATATTCCATTCTATATTCCATTCATATACACCACATTACATATATATCATTTCGTTGATACGTACTGCATTTTGTTTATTCATTTGTTAAATTTTTGTGTGCTATTCAGAAAGTTATATGAACATCTCTAAATTGATTTTCGTCATAATCTCTACAAGGCTTGCTAAGGTAGTGTTATGGTGTCAGGTGTGCTACCTAACATATCATTCATTACTTGCAGTTAAGTGATTGTTAAATGAGTTTTGAAAGACGCAAGGTCAACAAAAATGGATTTTTAAGTTGGTTCAGTTGATACGTGGTGTGGTTTGGTTCTGCGTCCCCACTCAAATCTCATCTCAAATTGTAATCCCTGTGTGTCGAGGGAGGGAAGTGATTGCATCATGAGGGCGGCTTCCCCCATGTTGTTCTCGTGACAGTGAGTTCTTACAAGATCTGATGGTTTTACAAATGGAAGTTTTTCCTGCACTCTCTCTCTTCTCTCTCCTGCTGCCTTGTGAAAAAGGTGTCTGTTTCCCCTTAGCCTTCCTCCATGATTGTAAGTTTCCTGACACCTCCCCAGCCATGTGGGACTGTGAGTCAGTTAAACTTCTTTCCTTTATAGGTTACCCAGTCTTGGGTATTTCTTTATAACAGTGCAAAAACGGACTAATACAATACGTTTTCACAAAATTTTACAATAGAAGCATCTTTAGAGTTTATTTGAACAAACAATTCATGAATTGAGCAGCTCCAAACCAGATCTGGGAGCTCCACCAGGGGAATCCAGGAGGGAGGCTTTTATAGGAGGGTCACAGATGTAAAGCAAAGAAAATATTTGATTGGCTGCAGTTATACAGTTGTTTTATTTGGTCTGTCGTGTTGGAAGGTCCCCTAGATATGTAATTAGAAGTTTGTTGGATGTTTCTGATTGATTAAGCTTAAGTTCTCTTTTTCTTTAGCATAGGCATTTATAAGAAGTAACTTCATATTTTGCTTATGTTTGCAAATCAAGTGAGGTTGATGTCACTTATGAGGCCTAATTGGTTTTGTCTGCTCGGGGATTCTTCAGGCATGGTTTCCATTTTAATTTACTTCAGCAGTGCTAATTCTCATTCAGTTTTTGTGGTACAAATGGTGTGCCAATACTGCATTTCATCCAGGACCCTTGGGCGATGGAACCATTCTGTTTCTCCATGTCTTCATTTGGAGGGTGTGACTGATGGAATTATGTCTACCCTGGTGCACTTAAATTCTGCAGACTACTTCAAAACAGCATAAGTAGAGTGGATACCTAAGGGAATTCTTAAACACGTAGAACAGGAACCTATAACTTCTCATCTAGTACAATGTGAGATAGTTACATGAGATGAAGATAGCAGTTCTACTGTATGTAAATGTGTACCTTTCTCTAATCTCATTTTAGCAGTTTATGAGTGGGACACTTCATTACCCCATTTATGTTCAACCTCTAACAGTTAATATATTTCATTTTATTGTTGTCATTGTTTCTAAGAATAGCTATTTCTTTCTGTCCATCCATTCATTCATCTATCCATCTCTCCCTGGATGGTGTACTATAGGATTAAGGTAGCTTAGATCACAAGTGTTTAAACAATTGTAGAACTCATAGCAGGCAAAACTGAATGTCATTTTGTAGAGTTCTGTCTTGTTTTCTGTTTTGGGTATGTTTGTGGTCTTGGTTGCAGAAATCCAGTCACCATTTCATTTCGTTAAGTGGATTATAACTTTTTAAGCAAAATTCTGCTTTGGTAGATAATAAAAACTGCAAGAAAACATTTGAGTAATATTAAATCTAGTACTCTGGTTTAACCCCTGCAAACAGGAGTTCTTGATTATTTATTCCTCACCACATTTTCTCTGGATTTATCTGTTGCCCACCAAAACTGAAGACCCATTCTGGTGGCAGGTTGACTGTTCCAGAAAGAATGAAAAATCTTGTCATGTGAATTTTACTTTTGAACTTTTTTGGTTTAGATCTGCCTTACCTTCCCCCCCCCCCCCCCCCCCGCCCCACACAGCCTTTCCTGTGTGTGTGGATTGGTGTGCTGTAGATCTGAAGCTCTCAGATCTGAGCACGAATGACAGTCATCTGGGGAGCTTATTAAACATGCAAGAGCTTTAATCCCACTCCTAGGGATTCTGATTCTCCAGGTATGCAGTTGGCTCAGGAGTTTGCATTTTAAAAAACACACTAGTAATTCTGGTGTGCATGCTATAGGTAACCCTGTAGTAAGAGGTTCAAAGAACATATGATGTTTCATTGAATCTATGACGCCACAGATGGTAAGGGTCAGAATCTGGTAGCTTTCAGCTGCATGACTCCTAAGCCCTAATTTCCAATCTTGTGGCTAATTTGTTAGTCCTACAAAGGCAGTCTAGTCCCCAGGCAAGAAGGAGGTTTGTTTTGGGAAAGGGCTGTTACCATCTTTGTTTTAAACTATAAACTAAGTTCCTCCCAAAGTTATGGCCTATGCCCAGGAATGAACAAGGACAACCTGGAGGTTAGAAGCAAGATGGAGTTGGTTAGGTCAGATCTTTTTCACCATTTCAGTTATAATTTTGCAATGGTGGTTTCACTACTAAGAAATAAAAATGTGGTTGTAAGCCTTATCCTGAGTTTAGTTAAAATGAGGGAAGCAAGATGCAAAATGAGTTTAGTTAAAATAAATAGGGTATTAAGTGCCTGGCAACCAGAGGTTCCTCTTATTATCTTAACAGGTTATTATGAAGCATAGCAGATATGAGATTTTAAAAAATTACAAAGCAACAGTTCTTCAGATCTTTTACCATATAAATTATTTGATTGCAATGAGGAGTTTATATAAGGTGTCCTTAGTTGACATCTATTTGTAATGAAAATTGTACTGATGACTTTGTTTTAAAATGCAACTTAGGTGTATATGGGGGTGTAATAGACTCCAGTTTGGCCCCATATTAATTTCATCCTACTCATTTCCAGTCATTTAGATGTTGCTGGCTCAGTTCAGAAGTCTGATTTCTATCCTCCTTGTACTTCAGTGATTCCTGTTTTGTAATTATAGTCCACTGAAATAGTAAGGTGTGGCATAATCATTTGATGTCTACCTTTTTTTTTTTTTGCCACTTTCCTGTTAGAGAGTCCACAGCCCTCATTAATGCCAGCTAGGTGATTATACACATATATACCAGCCGCATAGCATCTTGTACTGAGTAGTGGTAGGATGTAATGGCAATATTTGGGGTAAACACCAAATCTGTGTCAGTGTAAACCTGAACTCTGGCTGCCAACTCAGAAATGCTGTAGTGGCATATTGGGTACTGAATGAGGGCTTATCTGTAGGTTAGAACAAATCTTTCCCCATTAATGAGAATTCAGTGAAGAGCAACCCCACCTGCTTAAGGTGCTTCCTTCAGTAGTAGTAGCTTGGAAAACAAAATATCTTTTTTAGGAAAAAGTTGCCTAGCCATGTTATATTTGGGTATAGAGGAGCAGAAGAGCTCAGATCCATTTAGTTTTTAGCTCCTTGAAGTGTTTTTGGAAGACATGGTTAAATACTTGTTGATCCACTAAATACCAGATTTCTGAAAAGAATAACTGTAGGTCTCTTTAGCTAATTCACATTGATTTAAGGGGGTTGTACTATGAAATTCTTAACATTGAGATGAATCATGTTGGAATACTTATGTTCTCAGAATGTAGTGTGTATGGCCTGTCAGGCTTGGCTGCCTCTCCCTACACTAAGTCTTTGGGTAAAAGTTGGCCTAGATGGGGCACTTTCATGATTTAGCTGAGCACTTTTGCTAACCTGTTTTTAAGTGGAGGGAGAAGCAGGTATTATATTTTACCAATTTCATTCTTAGAAGAATGGAGTTTTATCTAAATTGCTGTAGATAGAAGTTTTCCGAAGTGTTTTTCTCCATTCACTGTCAGGAGCGCCAAATGAAAAACAAGGTAGAGCAGTTTATGGTGGATTGTGGAGGAAAGCTGAACTTGCCTAGTATAATCCCAATTTGCTTCATATCTGGCATTGGTTAACATTCTAGGGGAAATTTAAAAACACTTTCTGGCTCATTTGTGCTTTTCCATAGTATACTTCTAATTCTATTTCTGTTTCTTAGCCACATTTAGATGTTCTCTTTTAAATGTAATTTCAATATGATGCTACTTAAGAAAATAAGAAAAGCCAGATGATGTTGATTCAGAAAACTGTCAAAAATCTAGGCATAGATCATCTGTATTCTTTTCCCAAGATTTTCAATAGAACATTAAACATTTATTTTAAAACTCTTATTGGTTCACTTGACCCATTGTTTATAAGTTTTTGGTCTGTTGCTTTTTGGGGGACACTTTGCAGAAGGAGTGGATACATTTACATCATAATCATTGGTGATCTTTTGAAAAATTTGTCATTCCTAGTATTATAGAATTCATATGGATCACCTCTCCCCACACCCCCAATTTTGTTTTTGTTCCTTTTTTTCCCTTTTCAAAATGTGAGTTTAGCTTGATTCTTTAAAAATCTGGGATACTTTTCTAGTTGCTGGTAGTCATGTAAAAATCTCCCTTTATTTGTGATCAAGTCATACCCACCTCTGAAGCTGTACAACAGGAGTGTGTGAGTGTGTGTGTGTGTGTGTGTGTGTGTTAAAATGGTGGTTTCTTTTAAAAGAGTGTACCTTCTAGGATTCGGTATCCTGCTAGTATTAAATACTTTCTCAAGTTAGTAACTAGATTTTTCTTTCAAGCCTTTAGTGTTAAAAACACCAAATTTTGTTAAATTTACAATATTTCTAACACAATGATAGCAGCTCAGATATCCTACTGAGTTTTTAAATGTTAATATTTTTTCAAATGAATGCAGTCATCTTATTCCTTTCCATTTTGTTATTTCAAAAATGTAGCCAGCTTTGCAAAGATGTGTGTATAGTTGCATTCAGGGGAGACAGGGTACTTGACAGCCGTCTGCATGTGCAATAGTAATAACTTGTTATTAAAGACAAGGTTTTTTAAAGCTAAATATTTGGAATTTTAGAAGTTTGTTAAGCATTAGATGCACATTTACTTCACTCTTTTTTTAAACCTATCATAAAAATAATCCCATATAAACACCCACATAAAGGAAATAGTAATGTAAGTTTTTTCCCAAGAACATAATTTTTATAGTTACTGAAGTGTAATATAGTGAGATTAATTTTTATTGGTTTCTTTACATTTCCTGGGATTGGTTTGGAAACATAACAGCATCTAGATTTGTTTCCACCTTTGCTATAGATGGATAGCTTCATCTACAGGATGGGAAGGACTTTTTTCTTCCTTTTGAAGAGGATCCATTCTGTTGTTTCTCATGGAATTATGCTTCTTTCTGTGGAGAGCAGATTATGAAAATGTTTGATGAACACGTGTGGAGCACAGAAATTAGGATTGTTTCATCTGTCCTACATCTGTAGTAGTACTTCTAAGAGGACCTGTCAAAGCCATGTGGAAGTTGTATGTCCTACACGTAGCCCAGCAAAAAAAGTTGGACTGTTAGAGCCTGGTTGGGAAAGATGTTTATTCCTTTATTTTTAAATTTTATATTTTTATTTCTTTTTATTAGGGGTTGACAAAGTACAACCCCTAGGCCTGTATGGCCCACAAGCCAAAACTGGTTTTCACATTTTTAAGTGGGTTGAAAAAAAATCAAAAGAATAATTTTGTGACACATGAACATTTTATGAAATTTAAATTTCAGTGTCTATAAAGAAAGCTTTATTAGAATATAATTAGACTCATTCGTTCACATGTTGGCTATGGTTGCTTTCTAGCTACAACTGCAGAGTGGCGTAATTGCAGTAGAGATTGTATGGTCCATAAAGCCTAAAAATATTTACCATCTGGCCCTTTTATAGAAAGAGTTTGCCAACAGTTGCCCTGTTTTACTCACATAAAAGTAGTTATTTATAGCAAACACAGTATTTTTTAAAAAATACCATGCTTTTGTTTGTAAATGCAACATCGGAGTAACCTACCCTAGTGACTCTTTGAGTTGTAGCATTCTTTTGATTTTAGTATTATCTCATTTTTCTCTTTTACTTTAAATGCTCTGGGGATAAAAATTTAATTTTTTACATTCTGTTCTTGAGGGGGTCTGTATTAGTCTGAGTTCTATAGAAAAACAGAACCAATTACATATATATATATATATATATGTGTGCGTGTGTGTGTGTATGTATAGATATAGCTCTAGATATATAGACATATATTCCTTATAATACATGTGGAGATAGCTTCATTTATATACAGGTATATGATTTGTATGTGCGTGTTTGTGTGTGTGTGTGTATATGTTTATTATAAGGGATTGGCTCATGAGATTATGAATGCTGAGAAGTCCAAGATCTGACAAGTTGGCAAGCTCTGACAGTCCAGGAGAATGAATGGTATAGTCTGGTCTGAGTCTGAAGGCATTGTCTCAGTTTAAAGATAGGCAAAGAAGGCGAATTCTCCCTTACTTATTAGAATCCCTTATTATTAGAATCATGGGAACTTTCTAAGTTGGTTGGGTTAAAATTGTCATTTGTCCAGCACTGAGTTGAAGTAGGATTGAATTGAATGATAGTTTCTCTATTTGTAGAGGATAACTTGTGGTATTTTCCTGTGGTTTAATTAAGTGCTGTTTGTTAATATTAAGTAGGTACATCAAAGGGTGTATTTGTACGTTTAATTTTCTTGTATCATTTCCATTTCAAGGAGGGGTTCCAATACCCAAGCTTAGTCATTTTGCCATACTGTTGAATTGCTGGAGTGGGTAGTTTGTAGCAATTCCCAAAGCAGTTTGCAAAAGCCAAGTTGATTGGCATGACATTTTGTCAACAAGCCTCTTATATTAGAGTGTGTCAGTGAACAGCTGGAGTGAAAAGGAAGTGGATTTGTTTGTAGCGTGAGCTTCTTACTTACCCTTCATGTGACCCTAGAGAAATCCCCTGATCTCATATATGCTGCTGTTTTAATGCCCCCAGCAACTAGAGGCTGGTGGGAAGATTACATAAAATAAGGGTGTGTGTGAATTGCACTGACATAAGTATGTATTCATACTTGGTTTATGTTAACTGGCAAGAAATCCCCCTCCTGGTAAATAATTTTTTATGACAATTTTGTCAATATAGAGTGATGTTTCTGTGGTTTATGTGATTTAGTCCACTTCCCAAGGAAATAATGGAAGTATCACTTGACCTTTGATTTTACTCTGTTGTTCCTGAAGTTAATTTATTCTAGAACAATGACTCCTTATTCACATAGTAGCTTGATTTCTACCTGAGTAATAAAACTTCACTAAATTAGATCAGAGTAGATAGTGGGGCCAAAGGAATGTTTAAATTGTCAACCATGTAAAGAAGTTTAGTACGTCCATCTGAGGCCCTAGTTCAGGCGCTCTTTCCAGCTGCAGTGTTTCATTGTCCAGCGACATTGTGGTGGCTGTCCTTGCTGTTGAATCTCAGGTGATTATGAACCTTACATATTAGCAACTGGATTTGGTTCAGTGACATATATTTATCAAAAACACTAAAACAAATTTTGGCCTATGTAACACTTTTTGGAGCAAATGTATAAATGTACTAAGTTGAGTTTTGGGGTTTTTTTTCCATCCTAAAAATATCCTTCTGTGACTCATTTTCTGGTTTTGGTAAGTGGCTCTAATATCTATATTTCTACCTTTTAATGAACATACTTATATATAAGCCCTTTCGCCTGTTGCCTCTAGATTTAGAGTTCTGAATTTCTAGCAAAGGCCTTTTTCTCCCTTTACTATTGTGCTCCTTTTCTCTGGACCTGTTCAATCCTTGTTTAATTATTGATGGTTTTCAGCCTGAAGTTTCCATTAAGTTTTTGCTTCCCTCACCCATACAAGATAATTGTATGTAAATATTTTCTTTGCTTTTACATGCCCCCTCTAAGAAGACAAATAGGAATGATTTAGAATTAGCACATTATCATCATACATAGATGCTCCTTGATTTGCTCTCAAATATATTCAATACTCCTATCCTGATGTAGATTCTTGAATCATTAATTTGCTTCTTAAGGAAATTAATTGAGGCATGTTATGGCTGAGATTTAATTTGATGAGATTTTAATTTAGAAATTTTACTAAATGTGAATTCTCTGAGACATTTTAATGGAAAACAGTTGTATTCAGCTAGACAATCATCATTGCTTATATTGTGGTCTTAGGGATGAGTTTAGAAACAGGTTTGTTGGGAGATACAAATGGGTGGCAGGTACATGCAGCATCCACTGCAAGGTGTGGCCTGAGCAGGCCATGGAAACAGTGAAATAGAACATCAAGTACCTGGTGCGTAACTGCTTATCACACTTTCAAAGAAATTTTCCTAGGTCACACTCAGATAAGAGTGAAGTTATTTTGGAAAATTAGCTGGCAGGAAAAGCATGTATATGTTATGAAAGCTGAGTTCAGTTTTGCCAGAAGCCAACAGAGGATTTATAACCAGTTGGGGTTTTCATTTAAAAAGCGGAGGTTTTTTTCTGCTTTTATGTGATGGTTTGTGGATACTTCAGTATCTTGTTTCCTTTTAGTATTTTCCTAGCCTGTGGCTAGGTAGTTGAAATAGATATATAACATTGACTTTTTCTATTACGTGGAAGCTGTTCAGATAATTAACAAAGGAAATCAATGACACACAACTCAGTTTAAGTGTTGTTTTTTCTTTAGGGTATGTTGTGCAGAAGAAAGAGAGCTAGCCTAAGAGCATTGGACTTTTGGGAGCTGTCCAGACTCCCCCGCCCCCCAGAACCCTGCTGAAGCCCACCTGCCTAGTCCAGTGAATAAAAAAAGTGCATGTCTCACTTCTTTTCAGTGTCCTTCAGAGATGTGCCATTATTACTATTTTCTTGACACATTCTGTGAATTACTAGATCAGGCAACAATATTGAAACATAAATATCAAAATACAATCTAAAATAGATATGTACTGCTGGCAAATGGGATTCATCCATCAAAATTTCCTTTTGAATTCCATTCCTTTACAATAGGTTGAGTTGACTGTGGAAGCTCTCCAGCTAAACTTGAATGTGGCTTTCTTATTAAACTTACTTATTTTTTCATTTTCTTTTCAAAATGTCACCTATTTTGAGTTATTTCTTAGGAGGAAAACACCCATGCACATACAGATTTTTTTCCAGCATCTGTTTCCTGTTGATCTTACAGTAATATCAAAGAACAGTTGATCCATTTGATGTATTAACATTACTCTGTCAATCATGATAATTGCTGGGATATTTAAAATTGCAGTTCTGTACTTCTTAACATATTATTTTACAAACTTAAATCGAAAAACATGAAGAGGTCCCTGGTATTGAAATCGGAAGCCCTTGCTGTAAATGCTTATGGTAGTGGCACTTGAATTATGTCATATCAAAAATGAAGTGGCATCATGTACTGGAGTGAGCCAGCTGACCTCAATTCCAGCCCCATGTCTACAAATAATTTGTTCCACAACTAGATAAGCAGCTTAACCTCTTTGGACATCATCTGCAAACTGAAGGTTTGGAGCTAAATATCAAAAGTTTCTTATAGATGCATAATCCATGAGAATAAGAAGGCATTCTCTTCTATTCACAAGCTTGATAACACACTTTTACTCTTTGGTCATTCAGTTAGCTGAAGACACAGCAGGGTAAGACAGACCCTCCTTGAGGTCTTATGGTCCAGTGGAAGACAGGCCCATTTTTTTTTTTTTTAATGCCAATGTTGGCATAATACTTAGAAATGTCATAAAATTTACTAGTTTATATGCCCCATTTCAAACTCAATCTAAGGAGGAATGTTTGCTCTAGAGCTAATGATATTTGCTTTTTGTTTTGATTTTTTAGGAGCATATTAATGAAAAGTGCCATAAACTGAAAAACCAAACATGAGGGTAGCAGGTAAGATATTTAATTTAGTAGAAGTAATTGTACTTTTTGTGTAACCTGTTTGTTAAAGAATAACTAAAGGAGAGGTTAAATAATCTTTATATTGAGAAGGTTAAACTGAAATAAACTAAATCATTCAGCCCTTTGTTTTTAGGTAGTTGGCAAATCACAAATTGGACATTTAGTCAGTATCACATAAATTTTTTTTTTTGTTCAAGTCTTTTGTTGAAATTACACATTGAGCTTCTTAAATCTGAAGATCTGAAATGCTCCAAAATCTAAAACTTTATGAGCAGCAACACATGATGCTCAAAGGAAATGCTCATTTGAGTATTTAGGTTTCAGATTTTCAGATTTGGGAAGTTCAGCTGGTAAGTATGATGCAAATATTCTAAAATCTGAAAAAAAAAAAAAAAAAACCTAAAGACTGTATATAATGCCCATATAAAGAATGGTTTGACAACCTAGGGAGGCTGATTTTTGTTTTTGCTATGTTCTAGCGTCTTGAGAAAAATGAGTTATAAAGTTTTAAAGTTTAAATGTCTCATATGTATGTACTTAAATTAAGATGTGTGTGAAGGATTCGATAAAATATGTGTTTTTGCTCAGTATTTGTTCAAGTTTAATCTGCATAGGTGAGTTTATGTGTAAGAACTTTAATCTGTTTATTAAGCAGCATATTGAGAAAATTGAAAAACACCATTAGATGTTCATAATATTAAGGTAGTTATATTTAAATATTCTAAAAAGACACGTTTATAAATAACTGGAGGGGCTGATGACCTCTTCCTGTGTAGTAAAAATAAGTCTGTTTTTCCCCACCCTTCCCATCAACCAAAGCCCTAGAAGAAATGCATACTTTACATGGAAATTTCTACTAAGCGTGTGCCCAACATAGGTAACTTGTAATTTCTCAAAATCAAGATAATTAGTCTTTTTCTTAATTGTCATCTCAGCAGCAAACCAATTATTTTCCTAAGGGAGCATCTCTTAGAAATGCCTAAAGTCAAGCTGGGTGAACAAACCAGTCTTCATACTGTGGTCATAATTGTGTAGAATCAGGCGCAATTGATTAAACATCATGATTATTAAACAAAGATAACTGAGGGCTGTTACAAATGCTTTTGTAGAAACTTGAAAAACTGAATCTCTTGTGAAATTATAAAGCAATTTTAAAAAAAGTAACGGTACAATTGTTCAAGAAAAATATTCTCAGAAACGAAGAACTTGTTTGTGGTCTAAATAAATGTGTTGCAATGTCTTTTTATGTTGCATGCGTGTGTGTGTGTGTGTGTGTGTGTGTGTGTGTGTGGATGTTCTTTGAGTACAGCAGGACTTACTATTTATGATGTCATGTCTCCAGATGATTTTTAAAGTACATTATTTAAGCATGGCAATTTGAAATAAAGTAAGTTTCTCTTTCTCACATAATTTTAAATTCATGTTATTTGAAATTAACTTTGTCATTTAGTCCATTTCTCTGGTTCTGACAATTCCCAGGTTAATTGATGAGTAATTATTCACTGAGTGCTTATTTTGTGTTTGGCACTGTTCCTAGTATAGGTCTTGAGGGAACTGCCTTGAATGAATGAATAAGGACAATTAGCTATTAATTTATTGCTTTTAACTAATTAATCTCTTCTAATTTTTTTAAAAAAATCTGATTGCTTTGAAATATCCTCATAGCCATTCTTCTTACAGTGAGGCATGAATGTCTGAAGTTTGTACTTCTTGGCTTGTGAAAAACTGGAGCACACTGATATTAGTGCAGTCTGTGACTAGGAGGAAGAGGGAATCTTATGGAAAGCTAAGAATGGGAATTGTGGTTGGTATGTTAGGCCCCATCAAGTCCAGAATGGGATGCTGGTCCTGGAGTCAGGCCAGCTTTGGGGGCGATCTCTGTAACAGAAGTTCCAGAACTCTAACCCCATGGAGACTGCTAGTTTCTCCACCTCTAACTTTTGTCTGCCTTAGAGCTTTTCTTTCCTCCTAGTTCCTCTGATGGTTCAGTGTAAGTGAACAGGTCTTGGTTTAAGACTCAATGTTGCCGCTGACTAGTTATGTGACCTTAGGCAAATGATGTAAAATTTTAGCCCTGTTTTCCTTATTTGTAAAAGGAAAATAATGCCTTGCAAAGTTATGCAAATGAGATTATACTTATAAAGCATTTAGTTCTACAGAAGACACTAAGTAAACGGTATATGTGAGTGTCATATATATATATATATATATATAAAATGTTTGTATATAGCTTTTTTAAAACTTTTAGGCTCAAGGGTACATGTACAGGTTCGTTATCTAGGTAAAATAAATTGAGTGTCACAGGGGCTTGGTGTACAGATTATTTCATCATCCAGGTAGTAAGCATAGTACCTGATAGGTAGTTTTTTGATCCTCATTCTCTTCCCACCCTCCACCCTCAAGTAGGCCCCAGAGTCTGTTTTTCCCTTCTTTATGTTTATATGTTCCCTTCTCAGTGTTTAGCTTTTGCTTATGAATGAGAACATGCACTATTTGGTTTTCTGTTCCTGTGTTAGTTTGCTTAGTGTAATGGCCTCCAGCTTCATCCATGCTGCTGTATATAGCTTTTTTTAATGTAGGCTTACATTTAGCTTGGTATAGAATTTAGAATGTTTGTGTTATCGTCTTGATATTTTAATTTTTCAGTTTTGAACAATGAAGTTTTCATATGACTGTTTTACAGGACAGGGAAAAGTTATCTCTGGTTGCATGTGCCTATGATTGCTAGAAAATAAGATGGTAAGACCATCATGTGACATGTAATTTTTGAGCTCTTGGTCTTAGTCTTAAATGATCAAGAAGGACTATGCCACCTGTTACCATTTATCTACTTAGCAAACAGTTGTTGATAGTATCAGTGTATACAGTGCACTTTGCTAGATCCTGGGGAGAAGAGTTCAAAGCCTAACAGAATTTTGCTCTCTTATGCACTAAAAATGTAGGCAACTTGTAAGTTGCTCTTGAAAATAGGAAGCAGATTTTGGAGGGGACAAGGTAGGAAATGGAAAAGGGAGGCAGGGATTGATTAGTATTATAGTTAGACTTCCTCATTGCTCTTTCATTTCTACATTAATAGTGTTTCTTTCGGATTTTTTAAGACTTTATTATTTTAAAGCAGTTTTAGGTTCACAGCTAATTTGAGAGGAAGATGCAGAGATTTTCTACATACTCCCTGTCCCGCTCCCCATGTAGTTATCAGTAGAGTGTTTCTATACAGAAATGAGTAGGCTGTGAGAAGCAGTAGCTCTCTGAGCATCATCAGTTCATTGAAGAGTCTGCGCACTTGGAGCTTTCCATGTAACTGTGTTATGAAGCATATGTGATAGGTACCAAATTATATCCTGCAGGAATGGAGAAGGCCTGTCTTAAGGTACTAAGGTATTAAGTATGAAGAGGAAGGCTTTGTTGATCGCCACACCAGGAGGGCTTATGTAGCTCCAGGAGATGTGTTGGTTAGTGATAGGACAATAAATCTGTAACATGTCACTTGAGAATTCCTCGCTTAGTGGACATTGTGGCCTTAGCATCCCCAGAAGTTCCACTGTTTTTGAAAAATCCTATCTAGTATTGCTCCTTATATTTATGAAGGATAAGGAATCTGCCATTCAACAAACTTGGTGGTGGTGTTCCATTAGTCATGACACTTTTTTGTTGTCAGCAACTAATAGGTAATTTTTTTGCATATAAAACTAGGCAGATGGTTCAAGCAGTCCTTTGGATAGCTAGATAATCTGAGAATTCTTTGATCAGGAAAATTCTTTATCTTGATGAATTGTTTGTATAATTTTTATGTATCTCATGTAAAATTAAGATCTAATAGATACAAAGTAGAAATGTATTGATCTTAAAAAATTTATAAACATTTTTCATAGAAATGCAAAATAAAAGTTCTGTGGGCTTACAAAGTTATGCTGAAATACTTCTGCCTTTTAGGTGCTGCAAAGTTGGTGGTAGCTGTGGCAGTGTTTTTACTGACATTTTATGTTATTTCTCAAGTATTTGAAATAAAAATGGATGCAAGTTTAGGAAATCTATTTGGTAAGTTTTATTTTTTTCCTTTCTTAAATCTTATTTTTGATGTGGCCTAAAGTTTTATCAGTTATCAGCACTGAGTCACTCAGTGCTAGAAAACGAAATGTGATTATTATATATCCATAAATATGATTTGTTAGAATATTTTACAGTATATAATTAGATATTTTGGAATTAATTTAGTATAAAACATGAATCTTCTATTCAACATTTTGAACATATGTAATGAGTCTATTTTATACATTTTTAGGGGCATTAATCATGGCATTCTAAGTGCACATTCTAAAACATAAAATACCTCCAGGCTTAAATTGTTTTCCTGTTTAAGTTGGCTGCTAGAAAACTTGAAGCCAAATCTAGCCCTCAGTTAGCCATATGATTAGGAGTCACGGTAATGCATTTTAGATACCAGCCATAGAAATCCGTCTTGCAGCTGGCTGTGGTGGCTTGCACCTGTAATTCCAGCTACTCAGGAGGCCGAGGTGGGAGGATCACTGGAGCCCAGGAGTTCCAGGCTGTGGTGAGCTGTGATCATGCCATACTGCACTCCAGCCTGGGTGACAGTAAAACCTCATCTCTTAAAAAAAAAGAAAGAAATCCATGGTGCTTTCTTATCCTTATTTTCCCTCTGTGGCATTTTTTTTTTCTAACCCACTCATTTAATGTTGCCATACTGTAAATGTACCATTATAAGGTACCTTAACCCAGTTTTTTAACAGAATCCTTACGTTCATAAAATAACATTTGAAATGTTTTCATATGAACCAGTTATACATAGTGCTATTGTAGATGATTGTATATGAATATCTTATTGAATCTCAAATAATTGTGAAGTATGCATTTCTTTTCTATAAATATACCGCTATAAGACTGAATAATAGAATTTAATTTTGACACATTAAAGTGGAAAACAATTATTTAACCAAGGCGCTATATAAGATCACAGTCATGTGTCACCTAATGATGGGGATACATTCTGAAAAATGCATCATTCGGTGATTTTTGTCATTGTGAGAACATCATAGAGTGTACTTACACAAATCTAGATGGTATAGCCTACCACACACCTCGGCTACATTGTATAGCCTGTTCCTCCTAGGCTACAAACCTGTATAGCATGTTACTGTACTGAATTCTGTAAGCAGTTGAACACAATGATAAGTATTTATGTATCTAAACTTGGAAAAGGTACAGTAAAAACATAGTACTATAATCTGATGGCACTACCACTCTATATATGGTCTGTTGTTGACTGAAATGTCATTAGGCAGCACCTGACTATAATTCTGAATCTCTTCGGGAAACTATTTTTGTACACTTTTATTATTGAAGCTAGAGAAATGATGAGATTCTTCATAGATCCTTGTACTTACATCGAGTAAACTATGACTAAATTGTTGTTTATAATATTAAATAAGCATAAAAAGTGATACTATAAACCCTAGAAACCATATTTTGGTCTAGTGGGCAGAAGTCAAATGAAAGAACTGAGATTGCTGGACTACTGAGTTTTGCTTTCCATAAATTCATGTTTGAAAGGAAAAATCCCCAAGGCTTAATTCAGTTTCCATATTAGGTTCTCATGCTGCTGTGAAGAAATTTGCCAGACTGGGTAATTTATAAAAGAAAGAGGTTTAATTGTCTGACAGTTCTGCAGGGCTGGGGAGGCCTCAGGAAACTTACAATCATGGCAGAAGGGTAGCAAACATGTTATTCTTGGTGGCAGAAAGGAGAAGTGCAGAGTGAAGCGAGGGGAAAGTCCCTTATAAAACCATCAGATCTTGTGAGAACTCACTATCATGAGAACAGCATGGAGGTAATTGCCCCCAGGATTCAATTACTTCCCACTAGGTCCCTCCCATGACACATAGGGATTATGGGACTACATTTCAAGATGAGATTTGGTGGGGACACAGCCAAACCATATCACTCCGTTTCACATTTAATCTCAAGACTGTTATTCCAGTGTTTCTCAAACTTTAATGCCGAAAGAATCTCCAGAGAATCTTAGTAAACGTAGATTTCTGAGTTAGTGTCTGGAGTGGGGCCTGAGATTCTGCATTTCTGACAGCTCCAAGGTGAGGCTGAGATCCCTGTCCATGGACTGCATACTGGGTATCAAGGCTTTGGACAATTCTGATATGTAGACTTCAGTTTTGGCATAAACCTTTTCAGGTGACTTTTCTTACAGTGACTACATAAAAGTACTTTCTTGTACAGGTTGAACATCCCTAATCAGAAAATTCAAAATCTGAAATGCTCCAAAATCTGAAACTTTTTGAACATCGACATGATGCTCAAAAGAAAATGCTCTTTGGAGCATTTTAGATTTCAGATTTTCGGATTAGAGATGCTCAGCTGGTAAGTGTAATACAAATATTCTAAAATCTGAAAAAATCCCACATCCAAAATACTTCTGGTCCTAAGCATTTTGGATAAGGGATACTTAAACCTGTACTGCACTGAATTCTGCCTTTTGTACTCCCAAGTAATTTCAGTTCACTGATCTTGTTTCTGCCTGCTAGAGCCCCCTTCTTCATCAGTGATTCCTCAGTTAAATTGTAGTCGTTGTCCGTCAGACCTTCCTTTACAAGTTTTCATCTTTTCCAGTAACAGAATCCTCCCTTTCAGCCATTTCTCTTGATAAACTGGTTATTTTCCTCCTAAACTTGTTTGTTTTTCAGCACACATCCTAAAATGAAGTATCCAGGTTCCAGCATAAAAGTAGTTACTGCAAAGTATAGTGAGATTTTACTTTACTTGTTCTGGTCTGTGTACTTCTATTACTACCTGATAGCCAGCCTGGTGGCCTTTCAGAACACAGCTGGTTTCAGTTGAATGATGGGGTGGAAACCATATTGAAGGCATAGAGGACTCGTTCCATGTTGCTCTGGAAGCAATGTGCATAGCTAATTCTTCTAAGACACGTTGATGGTAGGAGAAGCAGCTTATGAGATGGTAACTTGACTCAAAAGCAAGTTGCACATATTTTTCTTTTTTAAAGTAATAGGCTTTCACTTGTCTATAGGCCTTGGATGAAAGTTCAGTGAAGGACAAATGAATGCGAAGAGACTGAACCAGCAAGGAAAGGAGGATGTTTGGGAGAAGGGAGGCAGTGGGACCATTGGAACAAATAGAAGTTACATGGGAAAAGACCCACTGTTTTTAGAAAGAAGATTGAAGAGAAGGCTGGGTGAAGCTACAGTGTGGTATAGTCACTGTGCACATGCAGCTGATGGTTCCTCTCCAGTGATACCAGTCATGTCTGTCCTCACCCTTTGTCCCCCATCTTTGCCCTAGTTTGGATCTTCATCTCTAATCTGTACTGTTTTTATGAACATCATAGTGATGTTCCTTTCTCTTCTCATCTCTGATATCTGCCTATCTCACCACTTTCAGAGCCATTTTCTTAAAACTCAACAATCTTTAGTATTTCCAGTTACTAGAGGATAAAGTCCAAACTCCTTACTTAGGGTGGCACCCAAATCCCCCAGCCTGCCTTTCTCAGCTGGTCTTCACCCCTCCTTCCTGCATGGGTCACACTCTTGTGCCAGTCTGCACACAGTCTGCAGCTTCAAATCCCCTCCTGTCCTTTCAACCCTGACCTTTGCTCGTCCTGGTTCCTCACCCTGCACATCTTTCTCATTTTTTAGAACTTTGCATAAATTCCCCTTCTTTGGAAGAAATTGTGTTTGAACCTCCCTCTTTAAGAATGTATTGCTCCTTTTTCTGAACATTTGTTCTGATTGCATAGTACTTATATTTCAATTTGGCACTGATTTTAATCTGCCTTGCATTATATAATTTTTTTTCTTTTTTTCCTCTTTTTCCTGTGTCTGTCCCCCTTCACCCAAGAGTGAGTCTTAAAGGCGCTATTTTGGTGCTTCACCCAGCATCTAGCACTGGGTGCTGCAATCAGTAAATGCTGATTGAGTGAAAACAAATGTAGGTAACAGAGAATTAGGATTTCTACATGGAAAGGAAGAGTATTTCCAAAGTGGGATTCACATAAAGCTGTATTAGTTGGAATATCACTGGTAGTCAGCTATGAACAAACGTTGAGTTACTTTATTCTCCTACTTTTTATTTCTTGATTTTTCCTGATGTTAAGAACCTGCAAAGTGTTTTTGTGTGCATTTTAGCTATTTGATTTAGACATTATGAGGGCAGATGGTTATTTTGATGTCAAAACTGAAGTGTAGTACTTTGTAACCTTACTGGTTGCCAATCTGTTGAATTGGCCAAAATTTAATTGTGTGGTTTTATTTTAATTCTCATTTCAGACTATCTTAACGAAGATGGATATATGGTTATCTTCGTCATTTGTTTAACATCTTAGTATATGAAAGGTTAACATATTTAATCCAGTAGGAGGATTCTTGCTATAATCACTATCTTAAGGACCCATAAGATTAAATAGTTCTTTTGGTGATTCGTTTTCCATTTTTTAAACTTACTTGACAATTTCTATAAATTATGTAGCTTTATATTTATTATATGGTATTATTTTAGAAAAATAAAACACATTTCTAGAAAGGAAGAATGAAAATTTTGCCTACAATTAGTAGTTGAAATTACCAATGTCGATTATGAATTTTTAAAAACAATTTTTTATAAAACTTTATTTTGAGATAATTGTATTGTTTTTTACAAATCCATTTGAATATACAGAGAGATGGTGCATACTGTTTACTCAGTTTCTCCCATTGGTAATATCTTGCAAAACTATAATACACTATCACAATCAGGACATCAACATGGATACAATTCACCAATCTTATTCAGCATTGTGGTGTAATGTAGTGTTGTTTTCAGTTTGAATACTTAGCTAGTAAGTGAACTGAACACAGTCCAAATTATTTTTGTCTATATTGCTGCAATAAGTACTTAATGTTCTTTTTTTTTTTCTTTTTTTTTTTTGAGACGGAGTCTTGCTCTGTCGCCCAGGCTGGAGAGCAGTGGCACAATCTCGGCTCACCACAAGCTCCACCTCGCGGGTTCACGCCATTCTCCCTGCCCACCACCACGCCCGGCTAATTTTTTTTTTTTGTATTTGTAGTAGAGATGGGGTTTCACCGTGTTAGCCAGGATGGTCTCGATCTCCTGACCTCATGATCCACCCGCCTCAGCCTCTCAAAGTGCTGGGATTACAGGCGTGAGCCACTGCACCCGGCCATAAATACTTAATGTTCTATTGAATTTATTTATTTTTACCTTTTCAGATTTAAACCATTGGTATATAGTATATACATAAATTACTTGAGACATTATTAACAACTAAAGTGCAAAATAGTTCTGATTCATTAGCCCGACTTACTGAAGGACATTCATTGATGAAATGCAATAACAAATGTTTATTATTGTTCCATGAAATGAAGTGTATATGCAGAAAGAAATTAAGCATTGAAGCTATCAGTGTAGTTTGAGGGGAAAATAGTTGTAGGAGAGGAGGGATTTTGGTGTTTGTATGTTGTACCTGTATTCTATACTTGGACAGCTGTTTATGAAAACTAATGTACCTGTTTGGCCACCAGGTGCTAATGTTTTCAGAATTGCAGACTTAGTACAGGGCTTTTGATTTTGATGTGTATTGGATAAAAATGAGCTTTCTTCTGGAAAGAAAAGTCTTTCACAGGAGTTTCTTCACCTTAAAGTATCTACTCCCCTTACTGTTACACAAATTAAATGGAGGTGATGTTATTTACTTAAAATCCTGATTTTAAGTAGTTAAAATCCTGACTTTAAGTACTTAAAATACTTAAAAAACTGATTTTCCCAAAATTATATCCCAGTAAAGTGTAGATAAGGTTTCTTTTCTGCTTTGTTCTGGGCATTAAGCTTTTTCAATGTTATTATATTACCTTTATGGCTTTAATGGTGCATAATATTCTACTGAGTGTTCTATTGAGTTAATGAGCTTTTATTTACTTGGTCATTTTCCTCTTTTTAAACATTTCAATACAATCTTTTAACTTTCAGCTTACTAGTTGGAGTATTGGACCTACAGGAAGTTCACAATTATCTAAAATAGTACAGAACTAAAAACTGTGTGACTATTTATAGCAAGACAGCTGGTTAACATTTATCACACTGCATACTTATTAGTCAAATCAGGAAATGGCTGTCCACAATACTCTGATGATCTGAGTTATAATCTCCTGGGCTGGGATCAGATGTTAGTGCTTTTAAAAAGCCCTACTATAATTATGATAGATGGTCAGGTTGAGAACTACTACATTCAAATTAAGATTTGACCTCATGGATTCCTTGAACTGATAAATTGTAAATCTTTTAGTAATGATCTTCCTCATCCCCCTCCCTGGCCCTCGCAATCTCCTAACCTCACCACTAAGATAGATTCATGTATATTCTCTGGGGCTTTCTTTGCGTATCTGTACAACACCATACAGCAGCAACAACTTTTAAACACCATCATATTCACCAAATTTATATTTATAAACATTGAAAGGTAAGTTTGTAGAGTAACTTCCTGATTGAAATTTAAATATATAGTAACTAAAATTCAAAACAAAATGGTAAGGGAAAAATAAAATGTTTTATCAGTAGTAAAATACTATCCTCCATAATTATTTAATAGTTTATAATGAATGTACAGTGTGAAGTTACTTTCTCACTTTTTCTTAAGTGATATTCATGTTTTATTGTATACTGAATCATTATTTGAACACTTATTTTTGTGGACCTAAATATATTTTAAAAGTGGATACTTGCCAATAGACTCATTCCTTCTAACAAAAGTAATTTTTTTTTTTCAGCAAGATCAGCATTGGACACAGCTGCACGTTGTAAGTATTTCATCTCAATATTTTATGTATGATTTATTCTGCCTTAGGCATATGAGAGCTTATATTCAAAGTGTCAGTAGTTCAGTATGAGGAAAAACTGCTTTAGAAATTGCTTTTTAAAGTTATGAGGATGCTATTTGATTGGACAGCCCAAATATTTTTGGCAATTATTCATGATGGATATTTTGTGTTTTTTAGCTCCGTTATTATAAGTACAGAAATTGGTGTGAGAAGGAGTTAAGAGTGTACATGGGCAAGGTAGTCAATGGAACATTAGGCCTTTTTTAATTATCCTGGAGGTGACGATTTTTTGTGCATATATGGACTAGAAGTGCAAAGTAACATTCAGAACCCCCCACATCCTAAAATTTAAAAATAAACTCATAGTTAGATAAAATATATTTGCCCTAATGCAGATCATATTACTTGACTCATTTGCATCCATTATTAGTTTGTTTCCTAGGAAGATCTGGTGTCTGTTGTGGGTTTCTTTGTTGCTGTTTTTTTTTAAAAAAATTTTTTGAGGTTCTTTGAAACCCTCAGGGGAACAAATTAGCTTGTATTTTAAGATACGTGTATCTTGATGTTTTTCTTAATGCTCTTTGTGGTTTGAGATTTGAAGTAAAGTGAGGTAAAGTCTGTTAACTTGTTTTCTAAAAAAAGACATCATGTTTTCTCCCCCAAAGCTACAAAGCCTCCCAGATATAAGTGTGGGATCTCAAAAGCTTGCCCTGAGAAGCATTTTGCTTTTAAAATGGCAAGTGGAGCAGCCAACGTGGTGGGACCCAAAATCTGCCTGGAAGATAATGTGTAAGTCTTTGTTGACTTGAGACGATAAGGTGTGCTATTAAATTGCAGCCAATTGAACCTGAGTTTAATGGATATTTTGAAAATGTGTTCGGTATACTTTATTAATGGAAAGTGATTTCCATTTTTGTTATGTAGTTTTTTTCTCATGAATTCAAGGGACCTTAAAGTTCTTAAATTTTATATTAGAGAGTGACTAAGAACGTAACACTTATTCGGCTTTATAGAGATAAGAGATTTCCTCTGAGTAAATTCTCTAGATCTGCACTGTCCCATTTGCTAGCAACAGAACACATGTGGCTATTTAATTTTGATCCTTAAATATTAGGAAGAAAGTTAATTCACTTAAATTAACTAAAAAGTTCAGTTCCTTGGTATCTGTCACCGCAGTTCAGGTGTTCAGTGGCCACATGTGGTTCATGGTCACCAAATGGAACAGCAGAGAGAGCATTTTCATCGTGGCAGAAATCCTATTTGCAACATTGCCCTGGACAATGAATGTGTTCTCTTTATTTTAAATGAAATCCAACGTCTTTCATTTAAAATATTTGAGTGCTACTTGTTGAAGTGTGAAATGATCCAGTGATAACCTCAGTTCCATTGCAGCACAAACTGCTTGCCTCTAAGCTGAATGGTTTCCTATGTTGAGATGCTTTCTAAAGGATGGTTTTTAGGATTTTTGATATCCTACCTCAGTGTCAACTGTTGCTCGCAAGTTCCTGCTGCTGAAATTGCAAATCCTACTTTTAGTTGGTTGCTTTTAATATGCTATTGCCTAGAAAACTAGACATGGGGGCTTATTTAAATTTAATATAAAATAATAAATTTGTCACGAATTATATAGAATAAAGAGATAATTTTATAGCAAAGAGGAGACCTAGGCAGCTTTTCCTAGCTGTTTATGTGCCTCTTCTTTTTAATATTGAAGCTCTTAAATTTTTATCCTAGCCTCTTTTGCAGGCAGTTAGCTGTAAGAAGTTTATTGAGCTTCATGGGACAACACTTTTCTTGTAAAATTAAGGGCTTGAGCTAGATGATCATTAAGGTCTGTACTGATTTCCTTTATTTTCCCGTATTCTAATGATGATTTATTGTTAATCCATTTGTCTTCTGATTTCTCATTAGAATAGTCCTGTTTTACTGATGCATAATAAGGCACTTGCATTTTAGAAGTTTGTAGGTTTTTGAAAACATTCTCATTTCCACTCTTTATCTTGTTTGGTTAAATAGACCCCAAATTTGATTCTAAATCACAGGAACAAAGTTCTTTTAGAATACCTAACCCATGGATGATTTTGGACATCTATTCTGCCCCCTTGATGCATGTGAATTTTAGTTCAGAGAAGAAGAGATCAGACTGTTTACTAGCAGGTTTTTTATTCACAGATTAAAACCGTAAACAACAAAACACACTCAGAAAAAAAGCTCAACTGTTTACCCACATCCTGACCCTTATTCACTTCTCTCCAGATCTTCCTGATCTTGGGGCCTTAGAGTATACTCTTCTGTCTAGGATGGTCTTTCCTCACTCTTCACTTGGCTGTCTTCCTTCTTGACCTTTGGTTCTCAGAGTACACATCACTGTCTTAGAAGCTGTTCTCTATCCCTCAGCCTAATGTTGAACAGCTAAAGATCTAAGGTCAGAAAGCGAACAGTGCATAGACAGTGGAGCTTGGTAAAATACATACTGGGCTTAGAGCCAGAGAATTTGCTTCTAGCATGGTGGGCGTGTCATGTAGCATTTGTGTTTCAGTTTCTTTAACCATTAAATGAGGCAGGCCACCTATCCATCCTTATTTCAGGAACCATTCTGCCATTACCATGAGAGATTAAATACTTGGTGGGATTTTATACCCAAGCCTCAGGTTAAAGTCCAAAGAAAGAGTCTTAAGTTTTCTGAGAGTCATTTATTCACCTGTTCAGCAAGTATTTTTGAGCATAATCCCTCCTGTCATGGAACTTACAGTTTAGTAGGGGTGACAGATGCTTAAAAAAAATACGTACTTATAAATTGTGACACCAGGCTGGGCGTGGTGGCTCATGCCTGTAATCCCAGCACTTTGGGAGGTCGAAGCGGGTGGATCACCTGAGGTCAGGAGTCTGAGACCAGCCTGGCCAACATGGTGAAACCCCGTCTTTACTAAAATACAAAAGTTAGCCGGGCGTGGTGGCACATGGGCCTGTAATCCTAGCTACTTGGGAGGCTGAGGCACGAGAATCTCTTGAACCCAGGAGATGGAGGTTGCAGTGGGCCAAGATCGCACCACTGCACTGCAGCCTGGGTGGGCGGCAGAGCGAGACTTTGTCTCAAAAAAAAAAAAAAAAAAAAACAACAACAACAACAAAAAATGAACAAACAAATTGTGATACCAGCCCTGCAGGGCAGCAGGGTGTGATGAGTACTGGCGAGAGTGGATGGAAAGAGGTGTCTAACTTTTAGATTGAGGGTTATGGAACAGTTTCTAAGACAGTGATGTGTATTCTGAGATCTGAGGGATAGAAAGGAAGACCATCCTTGGTCTTCGAGCAGGAGGAAGAAGCCTGCTCGAAGGCCCTAAGATTGGATAGCTCTGGAGAGAAGTGAATTAGGGCCAGGCTGCATAGGAACTTGTAGGCCACGCAGGTAAAGGGTTGAGACTTTTTTCTGAGTGTATTGAGAACTTGTGGAAGGATTTCAAATTCTGGCATGTCGTGATTTTATTTATATTGAAAAAAGTTATCTGGTTGCTGTGTAAAATAATTAAGGAAGTGGAATAGAGAGGACAATTGGAAGGCCATTGCCAGTTACTGCCACAGCACTTTCATACTGCCTCCCTGTTGGTAACAGACTTTATTGCTTATACATTCACTAAAATCTATAAGTAGATAATAAAAATAACACAAGCAGAGAATTTAGTCTTTTCACAGCACCTGCTCTGAGTACATGTAACTCACTTTGGAGACTACTAATCTTGGATCAGTGTGTCTCAATGGGGGCAGTTTTGCTTTCCAGGGAACATTGTAATTTTGGGTTGTCATAGCTTTGGAGGTACTCCTTGTAGAGGCCAGAGATGCTGTTAAACATCTTTCAGTGCATAGGTCAGCTCATCCACAAGAATTATCAGGCTCTTAAAATGAGAGGCTGGGTTTGAGAAACTCTGATACAGACAGGTGATAATTACAATTAGGATGGTGGTCATAAGTAGTTGAAGTCAAAATACATTATGCTGATAAAGATGTGTTTTAAATGTCTCATTAGTTAGAAAATCGCAGGTATGAACCTCAGGTCTCAGGAAAAACAGTAATTGCAGCTTTTTTTTTTCCTTTACTTTTTCTTTTTTCTTTTCTTTTTTACCTAGAGACAGGGTCTCATTCTGTTGCCCAGGCTGGAGTACAGTGACGCAATTTTAGGTCACTGCAACTTTGAATGCCTGGACTCAAGCGATCTTCCCACCTCCACCTCCTGAGTAGCTGGGACTACAGGCGCATACCACCACATGCAGCTAATTTTTCTATTTTTGTGGAAATGGGGTCCCATTGTGTTGCCCAAGGTGGTCTTGAAGTCTTGGGTTCAAGCAGTCTTCCCACCTCAGCCTCCCAAAGTGCTGGGATTACAGGTTTTTTCTTTCTCGTTAGAGCACCCATAGAACTAACTTATGTTCCAATTATAATTTTCATCTAAGGCATATATTCATTTGATTTCAATTTGTATGAATTTGATATTAGGAATAATTCATTACTTTTGATTTTAATGGTAATGTTTGCTGCAAGAATATGAGATTATTTTGAGGGATTTTTTTTTAACAAGGGATCAATGTTTTTGGCTATGAGGGCAAAGAGGTAAAATCAAGGTTATTATGTATGTACTTACATAATCATTTAAAATGTAACCATTTAAAAATGTAAAAACTATTCTAAGCTCATGAGTAGTAAAACAAATCAAAAAACCAGTTGGCAGGATTTGGCTCGTGAGCTATAGTTTGCCAAGCCCTGCTTTAAACTAACCATCTTAAGAGATAATAACTAATAACTAGGACATGAAGTAGCTATTTGAAACAAATCTATATTTGGATATATTGAGTATTTCTACAGATGATATAATCATTTCCTTTAGAATTTTGCCTAGAGATGTGGGAAGGGGTACCTTATATTCATGAAGGATAAAAGAAAATATTTCAACTTGTGTTAGTAAGGGTTACTAACCTTTATACATTTTAAATCTCAGTGGATTTTTTATTTGTTAGAGATTTTCTGTTTGAATTTCAGTTTTTAAAAATTGATAAGCTGCTGCCCTCTTGTGGGAAGCCTATGTCATTGTGCTTCTTTGTTACCTTTATTTCTTTGCTTTATGATAGATTTCAGTCTGTAAAATGCCACATCATACTCCTTGATGATCTTTACTTGGAAAAGTCACTCTGGCACTTAACCCGTTAATCACAGCAGTTACTTCTTAATGATGGAGTTTACTTATTGAATGTATTTCTGAAAGAAACAGAACAGTACATTTTGAAACTTCCTTCTCTTTGATGCAGCTGAGCCAATGGTTAAGTAGTAAAGCATAGAACCTTTTAAATGTATATGCTCCAAGCTAGTACTTTTAAACAGCTTTGAGATATAATTCACATGCCGTCCATTTTGCTCATTTATATTATACAGTCAGTGGTTTATTATATTCACAGATATATGCAATCTCTGCCACAGTCAATTTTAGAAAATTTTTATACCTCAAAAAGAAACCCTGTACCCCTTAGCTAATATCCTTCTATGCCTTTCTTGTCCTGCCCCACTTCCCCACCCCCAAACCCTAAGTTAACCATTAGTTTCCTTTCTGTCTTTATAGATTTGCCTATTTTGGACAGTTCATATAAGTGGTATATAATATTTGGTCTTTTGTGATTGGCTTCTTACCATAATGTTTTCAGGCTTCCTCCATGTTATATCATGTATCAGAACTTCATTCCTTTTATGTCTGAACGATATTCCATTGTATGGATATACCACATTTTGTTTACTCATTCATTAGTTGGTAGACATTTGAGTTGTTTCCACTTTTTAACTATAATGAGTAACATTTACAGAAACATTTATGTACACATTTTATGTGGACATATGTTTTGATTTCTTTATACTCCCAGGGAGTGGATTTTGTTTTAGGTGGTAACTCTGTTTAATTATTTGAGGAACTGCCAGATAGTTTTCCAAAGTGGCTGCATCTGTTTGCATTTCCGCCAGCAGTGTATGAAGGTTCCAATTTCTCCACATCCTTGCCAACACTTGTTATTATCTGACTTACTGATTATAGCCAGCCTAGTAGATGTGAAGTGAAATCTCATTTGCATTTCCCTGATGATTAGTGGTGTCTAGCATGTTTTTGTGTGCTTATTGGCCATTTGTATATCTTCTGTGGAGAAATGTCTGTTGAAACCCTTTGCCCATTGATAAATTGGGTTGTTTCTTTATAATTGAATTGTAATTTCTCTTTTGATTAATGTTTGCATGATATGTCTCTTTCTACCCTTTTACTTTCCACTGCCTATATAATTATATTTAAAGTGAGTTTCTTGTAGACAGTGTGTAGTTGGTTCCTGTTTTAATTCACTTTGCCAATTTCTGTCTTTATTTGGTATGTTGAAACTATTTTCATTTATTATAATTATTAATATATGAGGGTTTAAGTCTATTTTATTATTTGTTTTCATTTTCTCATTTTCCTGCCTTCCTATGAGTTACATAAACATTTTAAAAAAGTGTTTCTTTTGATTTATTTATAGTGTTTTTGAATGTATCTCCCTATAGCTTCTTTAGTGCTTTCTCTCTTTACACAAAAAGTTTGCAGACTCAAGTTCTAGACTTGAGGTGAGGGAGAAAATATTACACAGATTAAATTGAAAAATATGTCCTATCTATATCTATTATATGGTGGATAGCACCAAAAATGTAGGAAGTAGTCTTCCAATATTTAAAACTTATTATCTGATTCAGTCATCATTGACAGGCAAGTGGAATTTGAACATGAATCTCCATTATTTGTTTTTCTTTATTTTATCTTATTAACATAGATCCAACGTTTGTTAGAACTGAGCTCATTCATCAATTGCAACCATAGTTCAGCTGCAGATGTGAATTGTTTGAAAAATCAACTAAAATACTCTGTGAGAATCGACTGAGATTTATAATAAAGTACATCGTAGATTTTATTTATGAAATTGTGTGCTATACATCTTTTAGTAGTTTATAATAAATTGTGTACCTATGTGTATATATAATTCTGTCTATATAAGGACAAGTGTGTGCACGTGTAGTCACATATGTGCATATTGCCTCTCTCTCCTAAACACAGAGCAGTTGTTAAATAGTTAACAGCACACCACTGGGAGTATTACTATTACCTTGAAGTTTTGAGTTAAAAGAACTCACAATTTTAGTTTAATAATTCTAATTTGAGCAATTGAACAAACTGAACTGATAACCAGCAAATTTGTCACTGGTACCTTCCATTTTACAGTGTCATTGTCTTTATATAGTGGTCTGTGAGCTGCCCATGGAAGTCGATTATTTCAGGTAGTCACCACGTAAGTGACTGTCATTCAATGCAGTGATTTCATGAGTGCAATATTTCTTAGTGTAGACGAACTTTACAGTGATAATCACTAGGAGAATGTTCACAATTAGGTAAAACATTCATGAAAGAGTGCTCCCCCACTCTGTTTGCTTTTAGATTTAAATGATGGGGGTAGTATCTCGCTTCTGTTTCATGTCACGCTGGTATTGAAGAGAGCAGAAAAGAGATTATCTTTTGTTTGATACCTTAAGAATGATGCAGAACATATGCTTAATGTCCATGTTTTAAGAATAATCTGAAGCAGTGTAGCACAAAAATGGTCTATTATTTCAGGCCTAATATTTTTTAATATGTATTTCTATTTGTGAAATATTATTTAAGGACATTGCTTTAAAATTATTCAGTATTAGACTGTCTTCTCTGACTTAGTAGAGATCTTTTTAATTTCCTCCGCAGCACTGAACAATTGAAAATATGTATAATATTCCTAACTTTTTTTGCAAGACTTTATTTTTCTGATATGTTATTGTACAATATTTAATTCTAAATTTATTTCAATTTCTCCCCCTTCAGTTTAATGAGTGGTGTTAAGAATAATGTTGGAAGAGGGATCAATGTTGCCTTGGCAAATGGTAAGAACAATTATTTTAGCTTATGGATGTAATCATTGGGTATTTTTCTGTCCCAAAGTAAAATGCACTATCAGAGGATCAGGTTAGAAAGTACTGCTCTTGATGATAAAGCCCTCTGTCCCATCCCTGCCCTGCAAAAAATCTATGGGTGGAGACTTGGTGTCTAAGAATTTATAGCGTGTTTCTTGAAAGTATCCTAACTTGCTATGCAAGAGCTTCCATGAGATTGTCAGAAACCAAGCAGTCTAACATCACATTGATAAAATCTTGCTTCAAATTTTGGAATCCTAACATAATAGGAAGATAGGTTGACAGGATTAAAGGCGTATGAAATGACAAAGGATGGTGTAGGGGGAGGAACAAAGAATAAGAATGTATTGTAATTTTTCATTATCAGCCACATTCTTCTGATAGCTTAATTAGTATGAATAAGTTGATTGAATCCTGAACATCTCAAATTTTCCTTCAAAATCAAATCTGAAAACATAAAACCATAAAGTGAGGCCTAACTGCATATTGATCCTCTCTGTTCTGGTACAATAAGTATTCCATAAAGCTATGTAGGATGGTTATAAGATATATAGGATGGTTAGAAACCACTGTAGTTTCATAGTGTAGAAAAATATATTTTACTACTTTCACAGCAAGAGGTAAATTTTTGTTCTTCTGCTTTCTTCATTTCCTTAGGTAAAAGGTTCAACATCTGTCTATTTCATTAATAGCAAAAAATACATTTTATAGGGCAAGTTAATGTAAGTTTTATTGTAAAAACTGATTTAATGTAGAAAATGGCATCTGATTCAAGGAGATACTTCTTTTTTGTAAAAGGTTTACTTTTGAGTAATTTTAAAATAAGAGAATATGGAAACAACGATGAAATATATCTAACCGAATTGGAATGGTCTACAGTCAGTAATGAACTTCTATTTATCCTTCGGCTTAAAAGATTAATGAGAAAGTTCTATTAAGAAATTACCCTTTAAAAATATATTTCAGGTGCATATGATTCAGATTTTAAGTTCTCAAAGTAATTCTTTGAGATGAATTCACATCTCTCTAATGCTAATGAATTCACATCTTCTCTGCTAATGAATTCACATCAATCATTGGATGAGATTATTGGTCTTACAGTGTATGATATATTTCAGATGCATAATTTGATATGAATTTAATCTCTTTTAGGAAAAACAGGAGAAGTATTAGACACTAAATATTTTGACATGTGGGGAGGAGGTAAGCATAAATAACATGACTGTGTTCTTTTGCTGGCACTGACTTAATCACCTCAATACAATGTAGCCCATTAATGAGAGAATGATGATGCTATTTGCGTTAGTTCATTTTGTTTCCCTTACTTTCTGTTCACTAAATGTCCAGCTGTATTTAAGTTATCATTCATGTTTTATATACTTTCTTCTTCTTAGAAAAAAATTTTTGTGGTGTATAATTGAAGATAGTAATATCAAAATTGAGATTTTTTTAAAAAAAGTCATCTTGTTTTCTACAGGACAACCAATTCAAAAGTTTTGGGCTCCTTTAAGTGTGTCTAAAATTTAAAAAAAAAAAGTAATTTGAAGACCAGAATAACCAATGTAAGCATTCCTAAGTGATAGGAATTGATTTTTTTTTAAATGTGATTTTTTAGTCTCAAAAATAAATCATTAGGAGCATTAGGAGCATTAGAAAGACAAGATAAACTATCAGTTTTAGAACAGCAGTCCTATTATTCATCACAGTTCTACCCTCTGACTTGCAGCTAATTTTTTAGGTAGATGAATATTTGAGGGAAGAAATAGAATTTTCTTTCTTGTAAAGCAATCCACAGATATTTTCCCCTTCCATATTTGGAAGTCCCACAAGGAGTGGGAAGAAGTTACCAGCACGCAGAGGCAAGGGACTGGCACCCCAAAGAAGAACGCTGCCCGGAAGAATGGGTTTTTTTCCTCCAGTTTGAAGGGAGGCCAACACTGGTTTATCTTTTGATTCTTTAATTTGGGAGATTGATCAGTATGAGGATCTCCCCTGCACCTCCCCATTCCATTTATATATTCCCTAGAAGCCAACAGCTATTAGGCTTCCTGAAATTCATGTTAAGAGTTCTCAGATAATTTAGCTTTTCCAACATATCTTCAGCTTGTAATAAGATGGTATGTAGCCGGACGTGGTGGCTCACGCCTGTAATCCCAGCACTTCGGGAGGCCGAGGCAGGCAGATCACGACGTCAGGAGATGGAGACCATCCTGGCTAACACAGCGAAACCCCGTCTCTACTAAAAATACAAAAATTAGCCGGGCATGGTGGCATGCACCTTTAGTTCCAGCTACTCCTTGGGAGGCCGAAGCAGGAGAATCCCTTGAACCGGGGAGGCAGAAGTTGCGGTGAGCCGAGATCTTGCCACTGCACTCCAGCCTGGGCGACAGAGCCAGACTCCGTCTCAAAAAAACAAAAGATGCCGTGTATTATTTTGTTATTAAATAATGTTAGGACAACATTGCATAGCTGTCAAAGCTGTATAAACTTAAAATGGGACCATCAATTTTAGATTCTAAAGGCATAAATTGGTCCTGCCAAAATTTATTGATAGAAAGAGTCTTACAAAGCTGTTGTTGAAATCAGTCATGTGACCAGGAGCTCTGGTATTCCTTACTTCTCTTGTCACAGGTAGATTAATTACCGCTAGCAGCATTCTTCTAGTTAGGAAATTGTTGCAGTTTATTGCCACTTTTGCATTTAAATGGAAGTAGTTTGTTAGCTGCCTTGTTATATCTTTTTGAATTGAAAATGCTATTATTATGAAATATAATCAGTTATCGAAAATCTTTGGCATCTTTGCTGTGGAAAGAAACTGAGTACATTTGAAGTAACCCAGTTTTGGAGTAGAATTAGACTTCAGAGCTATAAGGAACCCAGACATTGTAAAGAGTTCAAGATGTCAAGTGGTTTTTAGAATCTGACCTATGTATCTGGCATCAACAGTTTATAGTCATTGAAGTGGTTTATTTTGAAGTCCTTGTGGATTTTGATTTGGTAGATCAAATGAGTAATGACTGTAATATTTGCTACAATTAGTTTGGCTTTTAGTGATCACCTAACATATTCCTTCTCCCAGTTTATAGCAAATGATATACCTAAAATAGCCTTTAAATCTGTGTGTATATGTATTTTTAGATTTTCTAAAAATTACAGATATCTTTGAGAATCGGAGAAAAGCTGTGTATCCTCTTTCTAGTAAAGTACCCATACAAACATTGTTATGCTTTTTTTCGTTTCGTTTTTGTTTTTTTGTTTTGTTTTTGAGACAGGGTCTTGCTGTGTCAACCAGGCTAGAGTGCAGTGGTGTGATCTCAGCTCACCGCAACCTCCACCTCCTGGCCTCAAAGCAGTTCTCCTGCCTCAACTTCCTGAGTAGCTAGGACTACAGGCATGTGCCACCAAGCTCGGCTAATTTTTAAATTTTTTTGTTGAGATGAGGTCTCACTATATTGCCCAGGCTGGTTTCAAGCTCCTGGGCTCAAGCCATCCCCCAGCCCTGACCTCCCAAGGTGCTGGGATTACAGATGTGAGTCACTGTGCTCAGCCCATACAATTTTACATACACTTAAGGAGTCCACACACCTCCCATGCCTCCTTAAGCTTATGCATGGACCCCAGAATAAGGTTTTCAGGATCCCAATTATTCAAATCTGAGAGATCTCTGAATTTCTTACTTCGTAAGTCATGCTTTACTTTGCTATGATTTTTTTCACTTAGCCCCAGGAATATCAATACGAAAGACACAGGATAAATCAGGAATGGGAAATTGTAAGTTGATAGTGGGATTATGTTAAGGGACAAATTTAACAGTTTTTAAACTCTTTATGAGATTTGTCTGTCTTTTGGATTACTTTACATTGGAAATTATTGCTTTACAGATACTTCATGTTTTATAATACTACTTTCAGAGATTATCGTGATGCTTATTCAGTCATTTTTTAAAACCCTAAACCCTTTCTTTTTCTTCAGATGTGGCACCATTTATTGAGTTTCTGAAGGCCATACAAGATGGAACAATAGTTTTAATGGGAACATACGATGATGGAGCAACCAAGTATGTAAACTTTACAGAACTTTTTGGAACTATAATTTGTAATTATAAAAGCAATACATTTTCATTAAAAAAAAATCTGTAACATAGAGCAAAGTAATCAAACTACCAGGTAAACACAACTAACAATTTTTGTTTTTACTTTGCCTCCTTCCTGGTTTTATATGTAAATGTTTATCACACATATATTGTCATGAAATTAGAATCACATCATATGTAACATTTTTTATACTTTTATGTTTTGTTTTTTAACATTCTGAAATTGTTTTTCCTAGCATTAATATTCTTCAATAGCATTTTTATGGTTCATCAGCAGTTATGGGCTCACCTTTAAAGTTTCCCTATTATTATGTCATTAGGGTAAATTTCAAGAAATGGAGTTAATTGTCAAAGATACAGGTGTGCTATATTTTAAATAATTTTAATATATAGTAGTTTTATAACTTTTTCTTAAAATAGTATATGTTGTAAAAATTTGGAAAATTATAGAAAAGCGCAAAGAGACCAAGTTCCAGTCCATCTCACTACCCAGTGTAAACATTGATGATATTTTAGTTTCTATTCCAGATGACTTAAGACACATTTTTTGGCATTAAATATTTAGAATGCTAGTATTTATAGCATATCTCTTCACTTACGTGGTGAATATTTCCCCTTATTATTAAATATTCTTTATAAAAAATTGTTTATGCCTGCCTAGTCTGGTTTTTAAAATGTCATGATTTATAACCTGTTTAATGGGTTGCCTATTGCTGGACCCAGACTAGTTCCAATTTGCATACTTAGCACAATAGACTATCTTAGAAATGTTTGAACAGTCCATGTCTATGTCTTTAAGATAGACTTCTTTTTTTTAAAGTGGAAATGATTAATTAAAGGATGTGCATGTTTTTAAAAATGGATTTTAAAAATTTTTTTACCAATTTTATATTTTTCTCAGAAGTTCCATGGCACCAATTGTTAATTTTTTTAAGTTTCAATTTTAAGAGTTTGAAAAGGTATCTTATTTTAATATGCCTTTATTATTGAGATTGGATTTTTTTCACAAGTGGTTTTTTTTTCTTTTGCCTTTTTATGTAAATTGTCTTTTGACCATTCGAGTTGGCCTATCTTGACTTGTAAGACCCCTTCACGTTTTAAGGATATTAACCATTTCTAATGTAAAAAGAAATGTATTTATTGTACATTATTTGCTTTTAATTTTGTTAGTGTAGGGTGCTTTTTGAATTTTAGAATTTTAGACTAATGCCTATATAGTCTATGTATTTTTCTATCACTCTCCTTGTATACTTGAGAAGTATTTTTCCACCTCCAGGTTAGATATTTAGTAGATTTTCTCTTCCAGTGATTTCACTGTTGTCATGTATTTTTAAAAACCCATTTGTAATTTCCCCATGACACACAATGCCTATGTTCTTATGTAGATTTGGCTTTATCTCTGGAATTTCTGTTCTGTTCCATTCACTTGACCTGTTTATCTCTGTTCCAAAAAGACACTATTTCAATTATTTTAAAATTGTTTTATAAAAGTAATTGTACTTCATGCCTCTCTGGTTGAGATTAAATCCCCTTTAATGTTCTTCTTTCTAGAAAAAAATAATTTTTTCTCTGACTTTTCTTCAGATGACTTATCAAGGATAAAAAACATCCTTTATAGATTTTAATTGACAGAGCTTTAATACTACAAGATTTATAGATTTTATAGATTTTAATTGACAGAGCCTTAATACTACAAGATTTATACAGAAATTTGTATTTTTATGTATTGATTTTTATAAATGTATTATTTTATAGCTACATTATCACAGATTTACATGAAAACAGTGATACTTTATAAATGGTTGTAAGCTGAAGTAATTTCATTGACATTGTGCGTTTTATCTGGTTCAACTAAGAATATATTAAATCCATAAATTGAAGGTTAACATAAAACTCGCCTATTCAAGCATTTTCATCTACCTAAATAGAATGAAACAGGATGTAATTAGGCTCTCATCAAAAAACAGGTAACTTGCTATTTGCTTTTGCTGAGAGAATAGGCTATTACGTGTAAAATTTGAAGTTTTAACATTAAAAAGAAAAGGCCCCACTTTTCTGACTTGACAAACATGACCTCCGTTTTTCACCAGATTATTTTGTTATACCTGATGGGAATCAAAATTGCTCCCCTTAACCTGCTAATATGCTAATAATAAATTATAGCCACAACTAAGAACTAGGGGAGGAATGATGTTTACTCTTCAACTGCTATTTTTTGGTGCCCATTAAATGCACCAAAAGCAGCTTTGGAAGAGAGTTCAACCTCTAGGGCAAAAGGAAAAATCTAAACTTTAATTTCTTTACGTTTGGTCACTTGGTCAATATATGATTCATCTGTGAATTTAAATGAATTGAGTTGTATTAGTTTGGGGCACACGAATTTATATTTCAAATATTTCCTTTTCCTAAATACCAGTAAAAGAAATTGTAAGCATCATATCTTTTATACTGAAATGGACAACATCCTTAAGAAAGGCAATCTACATCTAATATATATATAACCCTTTTATCTTGGCAGGTGTCTAATTGTGGCACATTTGCAGTGATTTACCAGTTGTGTTATATACCCTCTCTTATATATGAATAGAAATTCTGCTTACTGCTGCTGATGTATTATGGCTTTTCCTTATTTAAGGCCATTGAATTTTACCTCGTTTTCTTCCACTTATACTCAAGAAAGTTAAGTGCGTACACTGAATGTCCCTGCTCTTTCCAAGAGAGAAAGTTGGGTGGCATGTTAACCAGAGAAAGCAGGACCCAGCTGACTCACTCACTCTCTCTCTCTCGTCGTCTCTGATCCTAGTTTCTCTTAATCATGATGAGCCTGCTTTGCAGTGCTATGAACTTCAGCAGATTGACTAGGACTGATCTCCATCACATTATTTCCCAGAGTGTGTTTGGTAGAACCCCTGTCCTTTACAAGTACATATAATGGTCAAAGAAGTTTGAGGATGGTACCTTATATTTTGCCCCTTTTCGGGATTCACAATGAAAGGCTCTGAAGTTCTGCCCTAAAGAAACATCTTTTCCTTTGTTAATCATGGTGTTTCTTGATTCTGTGAAGCCCATTTAAAAAACAAGATAGAGAAAAACTTACATCTAAGAAAACTTAACACTTCAGGGAGTACAGTTATCTAATGATACCTACTTTCCACCCCGACCCTCACTAAAATAAGTTGTTCTTTGGTTATAAAGGAGATAATGGTTTGAATGAGCAAGCTAAACTTGCCAATTGTATTCTTCCTTTTGGAGAGAATACTCTATGACATGTTATGCCTACGTGAAGGGCTTCAATATGAATGTCTTGGAGTAAGAAGGGATCTTAAAGGTCACCTAAAGCAGCATTGGAGCCTGGGCAAGATTCTCTTGTTCTCTATGAATACCTCTACTTAACACCCTACCTACTTAATGTGCCAGTACCCTTTCATTTCTCCATTTGAAATAGATTGAAACAAAATATTCACAGTACAGTGTTACATTCTCAGAGTGGTCTCCCTCTAAATTCTGCCTGATGTTCTTTAATTTGGATAGATGGAACAACAAAACAGTAAGTGTATTCCCCAAATCATTTGATACTTCAGGTATTTGAAGCTAATTGGTATTTTTCTTTTAGTTTTCTCTTTTTCCGGCTTAATACACAGGCTCTTTTAACTTTTTGTCATGTATAGCTTCTAATTTGTTTCATCTTCCTGGCTATATTTCTTAGGCATTCTCTAGTTGATTATTGTCTCTCTTAAAATGAATGCATCAAATCAAACACAGGGTTCCAGATGTGGTCTGGCCAGTACAAGGTACAATGCAGATGCTAGCTACCATGTTTCAGAGATTACATTTCTTTGAATATTCATGCAGACTAGAATTGTATTAGTTTTCTTTAAACAGTCACATTACATTTTTGGCTCGTGAGTTTTTGGTCAAGTTAAATTCTCAGATCTTTTTATTTGATCTCAGGCCTTTTTTTTTTTTTCTAAACCACTGTCAAATCAGGTCTTTCTCTTCATTCAGAACTTGATTTTGTTTAACCTAAATGAAGGCCTTTATTTTCATTTATCCTTGTTA
The DNA here is from genome assembly GCF_000001405.40 of Homo sapiens. NCBI lineage: Eukaryota > Metazoa > Chordata > Mammalia > Primates > Hominidae > Homo > Homo sapiens. The sequence goes on along the minus strand of NC_000007.14, from coordinate 121,355,947 downwards.
AATTTAATTTTGCTGATGTAGGCCCACTTGGTCTTGATTCTGACATTCGTCCTATGAAGTTTCCATGATCCAGGCTTTGTACTCTCTTCAAAGTCATGCTTATGTCTAAATATAAGTCATTGATAAAAATGTTTACCAAGGGCGGTGTGCCACCCTGCTAGAGGCTTCCTCCAAGGGATGCATCTGTTAATCAGCTGCAGAAACTACTTTTCAAACAGTTGCCAGTGTACCCTACCAGGAATACCATCCAGCTGCTATTTCATTATTTTATTCATAGAGGTTATTTTCTGAGACTATCATATGCTCACTTGAAATTCATGGACTGTGCTAATTGCAGTACCCTGATCTACTGCCTGAAAACCTCTTCAAAAGCTGAAATAGTTGTGATGACGTTAACTTGGCTTTACTTATTTCCCTCTCCTTCCCACTAGTTCCCCTTTATTTCCCTTTCTTTCCTTATTGCTTTTTAATGCTCACAGGATCTTCTTGTCATCCCTTCAAGGATTTTGGTAGGAATTCACATTAGTTTTATTGGACCATTATTTCTAAAATTTTGTTGCCTTTTTTGAAAACAGGGATAATGTCTTAGCATCTCCCATTTTCCATGAGGCTTCTAAAATAACTGACACTACCTTGATGATTATTTCAACAAGTTCCTTTACAATCTAAAAGTGTGAAGTGGGGGAGGGGGTTTACAGGACTGGAGGCTTAAATTTACTTTAGAGCACTTACATGGACTTCTTGAGCTACTATTCCCTTTTTATGTTGATCAAAGAATGTTTGCCTCCCTGTAAAAGATAGTCATGCTTTGGTTGGATGATATATCATTCTCATGAAACAGTGAGTCCCTTTGTTATTCACACTTAGTAGCAAAAGCTGTTTCTGTGGCTTTTAATAATTTTATGAGTTTCATCTCATTCTGAGCACTACAGGTCTTCCTGGTTAGTAGTATTAAAAATTTTGTCATTAGTAATGTGGTTTGCTTTGTATTTTTGCACACTTCCTTTCTTAAGTTTGAGTCCATCATAAAACATCCCTATGATAGCACTAATTTAGAAACTATGCTCCATTTTTTTCTGGAAGTGTTAGCAATTATATAGTGAAAATTATAGAGTTTTTCTGTTTGTTTGTAAAGAGTCGTATTCCCTCATAAAAATTTCTAATCCGAACTTTGTATAATATGTTCTCTTTAAAGTCTAGGCTGGGTCGTCATTTATGCCTTATATAGTTAGCATTTCTTACTCTTCAACGCCCTGAGGTAATATGGCGATTTTCTTCCAGACTTTCTCCTTCCCAGCTTGTTCTTCCCTATTAATCAGAATTGAGCCATTAATATTGTCCGTCTTGCTTTCTGTGCTTCCAGAAAGGCAGCATTGGCTTGGTTTGATGGTGCAACTGTAGGACTATCCGATGTGCCTCCTTTCCCAGCAAGGATTGAGGCAGAACCCACAGATTCCTGTGTCCAGTTCCCACTTCCTCCCTTTCTAGTTTAGATTGCCTCTGGGCAGCATTAGATTGTCTTCTAGCAAAACCTGATACCGTTCTCTGTCTATCCTGGTTTATCACAGGATAATTTTCTGTTCATTTTGAAGAAAATTATTCACTAAAATAATATATTTGACATAAATTTTTAACTCAGCTAGTTAAGACCATTAGTAAGGATTAAAATATATGTAACAAACTCAGAGTGCCCTATGTGGAATAAAAAGCTTGTATCTCCAACCTTTATGCTATATAAAAATATATTTGCTGCCCTGGCTTTTTTAAAAAAGGGGCATTTTGACATTTCCTGTATATTCAATTAAATACTGGCTATGTTACATGATTTTAAACTTTTGAAATATAAAGATTTTTTTTACTTAGTTACACAGAAGATATCTAAAAATAATAATAAAATAATCAACCAAATTCTACATAGGCAGATCAGAAAGTGTTAGAAGTCATTGACAAAGTCATCTTGTTATAAAACTGTAGTTAGATATACACAGGGCTATGTGTTAGACGTCCCCCAAACCACTCCCAGTTTTGACAGTTCTCCAGTAGGTCTCATGGTTGTGATTTGTTAAAGCAAAAATACACAAAGCAAAATGAGCAAAGGGAAAAGGTTCATGGGACAAAGTCTGGAGGGACAAAGGAGTCTTCTCCCAAGTGGAGTCAAACAGGACATGCTTAATTCTTCCAGCAACCAGTTAGGACAACACATGGGAAATGTTGTCTGCAAGGAAGCTTATTAGGGACTCAATGCCCAGAGATTTTATTAGGGGCTGGTCATGTAGGCACCCTCTGCCTAACCTGTTGCAAAATACCAGACTCCCAGAGAGAAAACAAGTGTTCAGCATAAATTGCATTGTTTTTGCCCACAGTTTAGACACAATGAACCATTCTTATCAGTTTTGAAAATGATAGGAGCCCTCCGCAAATCCAAGTGGCCAGATAGCCAAGGGTCAGTCTTGCTAGTAGGCCTTTCTAAGCTCAGGCCTGCTATGTTAATGCATATCTGCACAGGATCTCAGTATCTTCTAATGGAAAAGCAAGGAATAAGATTAATGGAGTTAAAACATAAAGCTCAATCTTTAAGTTTCTCCTTGATCTCTGGCTTGATTGTAAATCAGCTTGGTTTATTCATACAGATCATAATGGTCACTTCTGAAATTCAGGAGTACAAAAATAAGAATGCCTGACTGCCCTTCAACATATTTCTTAGTTGGTGCAAAATTCTTGGATAAGATTTTACTTTTGGCAGGGAGCTGGACCTGCGTTTGGATAACCTTCTATTTTGCAGGGAATTTTTCCTGTGTAAAGCAATCTCTTAACATTTGTGAACTTCACATTCATCATTTCAGCTGTTTATGAGCCACCCTAAAGGCCTGTGAGGTATCAATTCATAATTTTTTTGAGATGTAAATGTGAATGGAACCCCAAAGCCTCTCTGCAGGAGGCAGTCCATTTAGCTGACCACTGAGCCTACTGCCTGTGCTCTAGACATTTCAATACTATTTATTCTTGTTACAGCAGCAAAACTCATCGCTAGTGCTGATGATGCAAGTGTAGACTTCCATAAGGTAGTTAGAAAATAGAACATTTGGATAAACTACGCAAGTGGAATTTGACAGCCTTTTAGATCCATGGCATCCCAATAACATTTGGAAACAAGAAAACAAGGTTCAGGTGATAATTTTGGGGCATTTCCCTCTAGCACCAAAGTTGGTTATCAAGTGAGCAAACAAGTGGAAAGTGATGGATAATTCATGTAAGGATGGGCACAGGAAACGAAGCTGCAGAGGAACTGTGGAGGGAAAGCCAGTGCATATGCACAGATTTCATGTGAAGGCCTCACAATCTTCACAGAGGCTGAGATTGGTTCTTCTGCACAGTCATTTCACTTCTTTTTAGTTCACTTGGCTATAAATGTACCACTTAATATAGGAGGCGAATCTGAAAGGCTAAATGCTCCACAGGCTATGGCTTATTTTCTTGCTGATTCTAGTGAACTTCCTCCAGGTGGACAGCAGTGCCCAGGCTGTGGCCAAAACAGCTCCACAGCCCCCACGGATGTGGTGGGCATCAATCATGAAAGTTTAATGATATATGTAGTTCTTTCCTGTTTTATGAAGCTTTTTTAAAAAAACCATAAGAGTATCCCTTTTTCTTTAGTTAAATGAGAACTGTTCTATGTAGTGTTTCTTTCACTAAGATATTAAAGGAGCTACTTGATACTAGCATGAGAGGTTTGAAAGAACACTGTAGAATGAATAAGTACCTTCCTCACTGACTTTCCTGCTGTTTGGAAATATAAACTTGCCTTGCCTCAGGTTTTAGCAGAACAAACCTCTCTAAGTGACCTGTTAGAGCTGTCTTTTGCGCAGTATATAGGACTCAATGCCAAATATGTGTACAAGTAGCCCTTAATTTTTTCTTCTTCTTCTTTTTTTAAGCTCTATAGCTACCATTTATGTTCTGAGTTTCTTTTCTCCTTAGAGATAAAGGAGAGAAAATCATTGACCATTAGGATGATCACTTACACAAAATTTTTTAGGGACATCTTTCAATTAGTAGTTTCCCTGGTGGTTGACTTCTGTCACTGCTCCACCTCCTGCTAGTAGGCATTTAGCTGCTGTGTGGTTAATATTTTCATTTTTATTAAGTAACCACTTGGCAGTTATCACTGAAGTACAATTTATATATCTGTTCTCAAAATTCATTTTCTTTTAAATAAAACATAGTGTTAGAAACATACAGATTTTTGTCAGCATTTACCTTTATTCTGGTCAAATGTAATTTACAGAGGGTTTAGTGGAGATTCAAAAAGATTAATTTTATAAAAATATTGATTGCTTAAGACCTTGGATAGCCTGGATAGGCATCTACTAACTGTGGTATCCCTTATTTATTTGATGAGTGTAATTTAAAAAGTTAAATGAAGGTGAATTGTTGTGAAATAAAAACCTAACAGGTCCTTTTAATAGAATAAACTTAAAATTAATTGTTGGAGTTCATGTCTTTTGTCACTAAAGAATTCAACCAGTAGAAATGTAACTCTGAAAAAAAATTATTTTCCAAAATGTTCTGTTATTTAAAGTCTCATTTTGTCTCATGTTTTGTGTTAATATCCCAGTGAACCAGTATTAGCATACAGTTCCCTCTGTTTATTGTTGTATTCTTTCTCTCCCTCTTCAAGACTCAATGATGAGGCACGGCGGCTCATTGCTGATTTGGGGAGCACATCTATTACTAATCTTGGTTTTAGAGACAACTGGGTCTTCTGTGGTGGGAAGGGCATTAAGACAAAAAGCCCTTTTGAACAGGTTAGTGTCATAGACTCTCAGAATTAACAAAAACAAATTCTGTGAAACCTTACGGTACATTTTCCCATCCCAGCTATTTGAAAATTAGATAAAGCGGATAGTAAATATGATCATATATTTGTCATAAATTCTTGGTAATCAGTTATTTGAAATAACTATCGTACTTTTAAATTTCAAAACTTGAAAATTCTGCATGGGAATATTTTTTCCTACAGGACAATGCATTGGAATAGGATTACCTATCTTAAGCCTTTTCGGAAGCTTTAGTTATTAAGGATTTTAATTGAGCTTTGGATTTTAGAATCAGTGAAGTTTGGAAATATTTTAGAACTTAGTAGAATGTAAATGTTAGTTTTTGAGTAGCAAATAATCCTTTAAAAGCACGTGCAATGTATTCTTTCAGCTGTTATTTGAAGGTCTGCCATGTATGTGATACAGCCTGAGGGTCACTCATTTAATATCTTGACCAGTAATTTAAATGAACTTATTGTTGACATGAGTATTACTGAAATGAGAAGTGTGTAAAATGTTACGGCAAATCAGCAGTTTACAACGGTTTTTTAAACTGTATATTATTACTGTGTTCCAATAGCACATAAAGAACAATAAGGATACAAACAAATATGAAGGATGGCCTGAAGTTGTAGAAATGGAAGGATGCATCCCCCAGAAGCAAGACTAATGGAAATGTGGAGAGAATTGAAGAAAGCGCACTTTCACTCTTAATGGGAGAGCTATAAATGGCAGAGCTATGTGTAAATATTTTAAGAGCATGCAGCCATCTTGGTGTGTGCATGAGTATTGTCTCTTTTGATATCAGGATTATTTATTGCTAACGTAAATAGATAGCATTGTAAATAATCATCACAATGATCAAATCACTGAACCATGTCTCCGCACATTTCCCTAAAAGTACAATGTTTAGACTGCTATGGTAATACATATTTTAAATTCTAAAAGCATACACAATGTGTAACTGAATGGTTTGTGAAAAATATATTGATATATATACTAGTTGCTATGAAAATATCATGGAATAATAGGGATTTTAGGGTGGATACTTTATTTTCTTTTATGTTTCTATATGTTGCGTTGTGATGACATTATCTTTTAAATTAAAAAGAGATTTGGCTAGTTGTGTGTGTAATGTTACTTTACAGTCCGACTCTCCTGATGTACCTCTTTTCATGATCTTTTTCTTTCCTTCCCAAGAAACTGAGGAATGTTTAATATGAAAACATACATCGGATATGTGAAAAGCACAACAAAATTCTTAATGTACACAGTAAAAAAGTAAATATATAAATGTAGATGGCATTTAGGACCACAGCTTGCTGGATTTGTGTTAGCTATGGGAATAACTTGATTTTGTATAAGCTATTTAGAGTGAGGCTGGAGGTGGCAGCTTCACAGAACTGGAGAACCAGGCCAAGTCCCCTCCCCAACCTAATTAGGTCATTCAGGACAGCTAAGTCAGTATATTTAGAGCAATACTAGCATACGTTTTTCTTAATTGTTATCAGCATTGACCAAGTGGTTTGGAAGGAGGCATGCTTTAATATCACAATAATTTTGATTTGTAAACCAAGAAATTAATCCTGTGTTTATCTAACTTCATAATAGCAATTATTGCCCGAAGCTATAGTGGCATATTTACAAAAGTTCTTATTACTGGGCGGACTGATAACATTTAAAAAATAATTGTGTTTGACCCCAAATGACTTTATACCCAATTCTACATAAAAATATAGAAGATCTATCTTTTTTTGTTACCTTCAGATGTTCACTAAATAACTCAGTTTTTAAGCAGAAGTTTTCAGGGCATTAAATATATGTTGTGTATGAAGTATCTCAAACTGGAACATAAATTTAGTGATCAAACTGCCATTCACAGTGTAAGGCAGCACTTAAATTTCGAACCTAAAGTTTAGATGCATTGTATAAAAAAACCTAAAAGCAGTATCTGTTATTTAGCTGTAAACCAAGTTGGAAGCTATTCGGATAATTTCTTAAATATTGATGAACTTTGGAGTACTGTTTCTTCCTTCAAACTGAATGTAATTAATTCATGAATAAATGCACCTTATATGTTTAAACAATCTTTGTATACTTTTGGGATTTTTGGTGCTTATATGCTAAATCACATTCAGCATGTGTATTTTGACATTTAAAATACTTCCCTCAATTCTGTAAATTAAAAGAATAGTTATTTTACAGTTCCAGGGATTGTGAAATAAATGTTGCAGTTTTTTAAAATAATGAAAATAAATACTCTTGGTTTTGCTTTGTGAATTTTTTTTTTTTTTTGTATTATCTGGCAAAGTAATATACCTACAGAACTTCACAAAAACTCACACAAGGTTTTTCAAGCATTTATTATACTGCCTAACTTGGAAAAAAAATTGTTGCTGTGGTTAAAAATAGTAATATCCTAGATGTGTCTTAACATGTAAGAAGCTAAGTATCTAGATGGCGGAAAAAGCCCTTTTATTAAGACTGTAAAAGGATAGCTTTTCCAGATATATAAAATGTTAAAAGAAGACAAAGATTGGTTATGTTAACTGGTGTGGTTTCCTTTTGTCTCAGTTCAATCTTGTATAGATTGTGCCAACTTAACTTTGAAAGCAATAACTTTATACTACATTTTCAGATACCTCTTTAAAATCGGTTTTAGACATGAAACAGTGCTCATTTAATATTAAGAATGTTCTTTATTAAAATCAAATTAACATTGACATAGTATTTGAAATGGTGCTTATGGGCTTATCGATGCATATTTTTTATTTGTAATCCGATGCTGTCCCAGAATAAGTGTATTGTAATGTGAATGTTAAAATTGAACAAGAGAAAGCAGGAAAATAAGTGGTATTTGGGAAATTAAAGGAAGATTGAACCAGAGTCTTTATATTCCTGAATTTAATTGGATTAATGGGAAATTTATCATTGTTCTTTCTATATTGGACTTGTTTTTAAGTGAATCAGCTATGTTATAATTTTATGACAGATCAAAGCTGAGTTCATTTAGCCTGTTGCACTTTATACTTTAAAAATTTACATAAATTTTAAATAACTTGACCAAAAAAGTTATAATTTCATTCAGTTTGGTCAACAAACTCTCCCTTAATTGAATGCAAAATGTGCCATGTTCAGTTAGTAGAGCAATTAAAAGTGGAAATTCATTTAGAATACTTTGTTTCAAAGGAATATGAGAGAGATAAATTACTTGTGTTGATTAGGGAGATTTGTCACTTAAACCTCTTCAATTATTTCAACCTCTTGTACAGCAATAAATCCATGTAAATTTAGAGCTATAGAATAAAATAACAGATTGCACCTTTGCATTCCTCAAAAGGATTTTCTGTCTCTTTTCAGAATGATTTTTCTACCACATACTTGATTTTTGATTATCACATGCTGTAACTAGTTAATTTCTATTTCCATCCAAACTCGCTCAATTTAAGCCTTTTTTCTCTGCTTGCTCCTTATTGTGATTTTTTTTTTTTTTTTTTGAGTTTCCAGGCAAATCAAAGGCTAGATGGAGTGAAAAGTAAGCAGGCTTCGCGAGGGAATGTCATTCATTTGTTGCTAGACAGCATGAAGAGAGCATCAAAGGATGTTTCAGGCAGCATGGGAAAAGCCCTCCAGGGAATCTAAGAGACTCTTCTGCCATCAGAACCTTCCTCCAGGCCAGTGAGGGGGCAAACACCTTGAGGGAAGCTATACTGGGGAAACACTTCAAATAGTTAGATGTCTCTTCTATGAGCGGTCAGAAAGGAAAAGGGACTGGGAAGTTCTCAGGTTAAAGACAGAAGAGATGTTTCTCTTGGGCTTGTCCCATGGCAATTTGTAAGCAAAGTTAGCATGGGGAAGACAATCTTCTCAGTACAACTAGTTCACAGGTACAACTTGTTGCCATCACTAACTTCACTGTTCAGCTCTGCATCAGTTATGACAACCACTGGGGTGCATTTAATATTGAAAGAACAAGCTGAGGCTAAATTGATAAAAGATACTCCCTTTGGTCAGGGAAAATTGACTTATAACCTGCAAGCTCGTAATGTTCCGTATAGTCAGCCCATATTTCCTTCACTTGATAGCCAAAGAGAAAAGGGTCTGAAAAACCTTTAAAGAGGAGAGAATTCTGTAGTGGGGAGACAGTGTGGCATAGTGGTTAAGAGTGCAGACTTGCCTGAAAATTCATCTCTGTTCCACTGTGAACTACTTGAGGACTTTGAGGAAGTCAATGTCCACCTGTAAAACAGGGATAATACCAGCATGTTTGTGGTGCCTATCAAAGTGCCTGGCACAAAGTACTCATTCAGTGCAACTGCTAGTATTGCTGTTATCAACCGTGTGTCTTACAGGCATTTTAGCCCAAGAGAAGCTGCAACAAGTCAGCCTCTCTAGCTTTCCAATCCCATCATACCCAGCCAGAAGGGAGCCATTAGATGACTTGAGCAGTAAGATCATGGGAGAGGTTTCATTCATTTCTTCACCTGAGGTTCTCCTTGACCTCCAAACCTCTTTCATATTCTGCCTACCTTTTCACTTATTACACATTGACACCAACTCCCCTTCATAGGTAGAATTCAGGCTTTTATGTATCTCCAAGTAGCTACCATTTTAAGTGGTTAATTTATGTATTTTGGTGTATCTTCAGGTAGCTAGCATTTTAAGTGGTTCTACTTGATTGCTGGTCTGGCCTTTAGGGGAAAGTATGTGACTTAAGCCAAAGAGGCTGGGAGCCCTTGCTGACCTCTTCCTGTGGCAGGAGGTGGTTGATGAGCCTCACTGGAGAGTGCAGGCCTTGATCCCTGCTCCTAATAACCTCACCACTCCAATTCCTGCTGCGGGGCAGGGTGGCATACTGATCATGGTGGGGAAGATGCTGGGGCTCAGCTGGCCCTCTCTGACACAGAACAAACTCAACAGTGAGGCCAGTGACTTCCCCACCAAATTGTAGCCTCCTGTATCACCAGTGGAATAAGATGGCCGATTTGGACATCTACCTGTTGAAAAGAATTGCTCTGTTTTCCATAAGTATATCCCTCAAAGCAGAGGAGACTAATGGTCACCCTTGGGAATCTTGTCTTTTAGCGAAAAGTCCAGTGTGAGCCTGTGAAGTTCTCTGATTGTAAAACTTCACATGAATTTTGCATTTTTTTATTATTTACAGATGTTGGTATTAACATGGAAATCTCTTAAATTATTTTAAATTTCAACTCCAAAAGCTACTTAGCTTGTGTATGCTCTGTTTTTTGGAAGGCTGGTTACAGAAGTATTATGTGCTCTATTTGGCAAGAACAGAAAGGAATCCCAAGGAGTATGCATTGTGAGTCCAACCTCTGAGAAGAGGAGAGATTTAAAAGCAAATGATGGTTGGGCTATGGTTAGAAATATGTTGGGTTAGTGGAGAAGGCAGTATTCCCTGAGAGTTGTGGTTTTCAGTGGGTAGAAGTGGGAGAGTCAATTGGTGAAGATTTCCTTAGGTGTAAGGAATGAGCAAGAACTGGGCCTTATGTCCTGCCTCCTTCTTACCTGGGGAGTGCAGCCTGCCCCAAATGGCTTCCTGTTCTCCCTTAGGGAAAGGACTTAAGGTTTAAGGTAAGTGAGCTCATTCCTAGACCTCTATGGAAATCTGAAACGTTTGACCAAAAATGATATTGACAGCTAATTCTTGTGGAACTGTTAAGACCTTACAAAAGGGTGTTAAAATTATATTATGGAAATAGTCTGGATTAGGTTCCCTGTGGTTTTAAAGCACTGGATGTGTTGGATATGGGCACAGTTACAGGAATTGTGGCAAGTGAAATTTTGAAATCATTCTTGTATTTTAAAGTATAGTTTCTCAAAAAATGATGAATTGGGCATTTGGGGAAAGCAAAACAACTTTAAGCCGGTGAAGGAAATAATTTCTCACACTGAGAATTGAAATTTATCTTTCAGTTTGCAAAGTTCCTGTACCCATTAAGTAGGGGACATGTTAGAGAGGATTTATCCCATTCACTTCTTCAGCTTTCCCATTTTGCTATTGTGTCCTGTGTTATTTCTTGCCTTGCATAGAGCCTTGTTTGCCAGGGAATTTGAGATAAAACAATGACAGTGGATAGGACTAAGAGAAAGTAAGGATTATGTACTGGCAATACATAGGTAGTTATTGATTTCCATTTTGTGTATCTACACCTTTCGTTGGTTTCCAGAGAATTCGAGGTGTATTTAAATGTACTGGTATATTTGGTGATATTTCTCTCACCAAAGAGTGAGTAGGGGCACCAAGGATCTGCCCTTTCTTCTTGGCTAAACAGGGCCAAGTAAATGTGTGGGCCATGATCATGGGTGTCAGGTGGTTACTAAAATGTGGAAGGAAAGGCTTGGCCTCTGCAGTAGAGCTACCCTGATGGTTCTGAATGGCCATCTGATAGGGACAAAGGCAGCCCTCAGCCACCGCCCTTTCTGCCTTTCCAATTCACATGAATCAGATGCTTTTACTTACTCTGCAAATTATAAAGTCACACATGAAACTTTAGTTTGTGTTGACTTGATTCTCCTTTATTACTTTACAACCACATGGGAGAGGCTGCTTTTGCTAGTATGATTTTGTTTCAAAAAGTTTTAATCTGGTGCAAACCACCTCTAGTGGTTTTCCTTTGGATATGAGTGTAAACCATTACAAATAGTAAATTTTAATCCATCTGTTAAAAATAACACCTTATGTAACATTTGGCTGTAAGCACAACAATAAAAAGGATGTAAGTATTTATTTTATGTCACACTAAATTAGTTTGATCTTTACCCCTAGTTATTTTCTTTTGGAATGGTTATTAGATTCTTGCACAATCCAACTGTAAGCCACATTGCAATCTAAAATAGAAGTCAGCGTAAGTCACTTTGGGCTTAGTAATCAAGAGGCAGTGTATTTTAATTTTATTTCATAGTAAATTCTAAGATCTCAGCTCTCCCATCACTTCGCTCCCTACTTTTCAACCAAGTTTATATAACCAAACCATGAAGAACATCCTGTAACTTTCATTACATTCACAAATCCCCTAAATTCTTTAAATGGCATATGTTTGTAAACACAGTCTGACAATTCTGATACTGTGAGAAGCACAATAACAATGTGGTAGTTAAGGGCACAGACATTGAAGCCAGTTCCTTCTGTGTGACCTTGGGCTGGGAACTTACTGTGTGTCTCAGTTTCCTCAGCTGTAAAACGAAAACTACAATAATGTACCTACTTTACGAGGTTGTTGTGAAGATTGAATTTTTATATGTATCTCTCTATATATTTTTTACTTAGACTAATACGGGTATATACTAAGTGCTATGGAGGTATTTGCTAATATTATTTATTCTTTCAAAGTAAATTAGTCCTTTCCTTGTGTATCACTGTGTCCCTTGTCATGCTGTGCCACGTGTCATCATCTTGCCCCCAAGAAATGTCATGATTTATCACATCTGGTCTATAGTAAAATTTAAATTAATTTCAAAAAGGAGACATCTTAGCCAACTTTCTTTAAGAAAGGCTTGTCTTGAGGAGTATTTGAGGTTTCTGAAGATAGGATTCAAATTTTTCTTCCCTCAAATCACCTAAGGTAATCAGTGTTCCAGATCACTTCCTGCCTCTAAATAGTGAGTCGAATTTCTCAATCTTTGATGACCTTTGGGAGGTGATGCAAAAAGGATGAGCAACTCACTAAATTGCCTAGAAATAAGTATTTTGATGAGACGCTTTTCTGTTTCTACTACGTATTTAAACTTAGTACAAATAAACTTAGTACAAATATTTAAACTAAGTACAAATATCATATTAGTACTAACAGTCCTGGAGAAAATTAAAATGTGTTTTAAAATACTTACTGTGCATATCACATAGTTTTAAAGCTGCCAAAACATAAGGTCACAGCATCTAATGTGTAAAATTAAAATTTTGTTGTTATTTTTAATATAATTATCATAGTCTCTTAAAATAGAAAACAAAATGACTATCATCCGAATTGTGAATAAAGAAATAATGCAGTTGTTTATACTAAAAAGAATTAACATGTTGTTAATGTTGTGTAAAGTACCATTATCAGGAAAATGCCTTAATTATTCAACTTCCTAATCCAGATGTTACAGATAATATCATTTAATATGTTTTTCTTGACTTTGTTTCAGGATGAATCATTGCCTCTTACCATTGCCTTTATTAGGCAGTTCCAAATTTACAAAGAATTTGAACTCCTAAATTGAAAAATAATCCACTGGAGCACCTCCCTTCGCCCTTTAACATTATGCAAGGTATTTAAACAAATCAAAGCACTTTGAACCCACATTCATAATCCACAGTGCTTAGGGCTTGCTTTGTCTGTTGTGAGCTCCATGTAATATCAAAAGCTGTTTCCTAAACAGCTCACTAGAACTAAGGCATATAATGTCTTTGCTGCCCAGCGTCCAGGTACTCCTTACCAGTAACATAACACCCTGGTTTTCCTTTAGGGAAACCACCCCCGTCTCTGTTCTCACGCTGTGTAATTTTAGTTCCAGGGAATCCCACTTCCACTTCCAGGGTCATGATGGCCTTAAGATGGTTCAATGTACCTATGGCTCACCCAAAACTCCCAATGGTCATGGTGATTTTTTCAGAGAGAGGCACATTTAATCAATTAGAACCACTGAGACTCAGAAGACCTTTGCTGAATCCTCTGAGAAAGAAAAGGTTTTCTTTCCATCTGTGTGAGCAAACCAGGAGAGAACCTCTCTTTCTTGAGGATGGGACCCCTCTTTCCTTAGAATGAGTGGCAGGTAGGAGAATGTGAGGTCTGGAAGCATGGCAGCCATGTTGCTAAGAAAAGTAGAGATCCCAGAGATGCTAGGGGTGGGAGACTTTGAAAGAGGTTAGGACACAGCACTGCATGAACCCTGAAGTAGAAGACTTGGCCAGTAGCCAGCCTAAAGTAATAGAGAGACCTGAGCCCAGGGAACATGGTGTGAGCTTGTGGATCAAGCTTCCCCTGAACCAGTCACAAGTTTGAAGTTTTTAGTTACTGAGTCAACATATTTAATGTTTAAATCAGTCTGGGTTGAGTTTTCCATTACTTGCAACATAAGGGGCCCTAATGAATGCAGGCAATGTGGTTTAGACTAGATAGGAGCCTTTGGGTCCCAGAATTGTGTTCCCAGGAGCACCATGGTGCTTCCTCTACCATGACTGGGAGTGGGATGGAAATGGGCTAAGGGCAGGCTGTCAGCCAATAAGAGAGATAGATAGGTGATGGCCAGGCGCGGTAGCTCACACCTGTAATCCCAACACTTTGGGAGGCCGAGGTGGGTGGATCACTTGAGGTCAAGAGTTTGAGACCAGCCTGGCCAACATGGTGAAACTCCGTCTCTACCAAAAATACAAAAATTAGCTAGTCATGGTGGCACATGCCTGTAATCCCAGCTACTTGGGAGGCTGAAGCGGGAGAATCATTTGAACCCAGAAGGCAGATGTTGCAGTGAGCCGAGATCGGGTCACTGCACTCCAGCCTGGGCAACAGAGTGAGACTGTCTTAAAAAAAAAAAAAAAAAGTGAGAAACTTAAGGATGGCTTCCATGGTGATACCAAAGGTGAGAAGAAAAGAAGAACCCAAAGACACAGGTTTGGAGTTAGGAGGAGTTTTTGCTTAGGCATCCCAGAGAGAGGTGCCTGAGTTAGCATCACTGTTTTAAAGGAATGGCTGAACAGTAATCAAGTCTTTGTAAATTAGAGGCTGCCTGATTCTCACAGTCAGTTGATAAGGTAATTATGAAAGGTTTTCTAATTAATAGAAGAAATTGGTTGTTAATAGACACTACAGTCTTTCTGTTTTTTAAAAATGGGTGATTATGTTCAAAGAAGACAAAATAGATTTACTTTGAAAAAAATAGGCAGGAGAGAGTGTATATTTTCAGATTATTCTGTTCAAGGGATGCTAAAGACTGGAAAACCACTTTTAAATATGCACTATATTCATATATTTGCCATTTCTGTGTCTCTCATTTAGTAAATAATAACTTTGTCAAACTTTACAATCACAGTTAAATGCTTAGTCTTGATTTTAATATTAGATCTGAGACATTTTCCATGGGTTTGCTCTTTTTCAAAAATTGTTTCTCTGCCTCAGTGAATAAAATTAAAGAGAAATAGAATGAAGACTGTGGGGCAGGGAAACATTTCTTTATCTTATTAATAAGAAAATGAATATTCTCTTTGTCCATTCTGAATTTTAAAAATCTATTTTTTTCTATATAATACTGAAATATTTAACAATTCATAAAAAACATAAGCATTTACATTAAAATACATCCTTAAATAGAGCCCTGTAATTTTTACCAGGAACCTTGTAAAATATGATGAATATACATGCATGAATATTAAAAACAAGAAAGACCACTTAACATTCAAATAGAAATGCAGCATTACATAAAATATAATAAATATCCAGGATATCAAATCCACAAATTGATCACTATTCTGATTTAGATTCTTTTTTCCAGTTAAGACTTTTACTAATATAATTTATTATAATAACCTTATGAGTTAAGCATAACTAATGTGAAAAGAGAATTCAATTAATCTTACTGCTGAAATAACACAAATTTTTGATATTTTGCAACATATTTTAATCTATAACATATAAAACTGTCATTTTAGCAAGAAATACACATCCATATAACTAACTGCTAAGTTAAATTCTCTTCGATGTCCAAAAAAATAGCATTAATAGTATGAAAAAAAATAAGCTAATATTATTTATGAGATAATTTTACTGCCTTAGCTCTTAGGCTTTGTCAATAAATGTTTTAATATAAATCATATAACTTAAGTACTGTATTTACAAAATAGAAACTTTTTAAACAAAATTCTTTACAAAACACTGTCTTTACACATTTAAAGGGTGCTTTTCTTTACAATGTATGAAATTATATTTTTACCTCCACTGTTTACCTCTCCTTTTCCCGCATGTTTCAGGATCCTCCCCCCAGTATCTCAGAGGTGGGTTTTTAACAGTTGAAACTGATCTGTGATAAAAGTATGAATCTAAAGATCAAAGATTGCTATATACCTTATGGAGGTTTTTCCAGATTCTCCCAGTGAAAAGGCACTTAAAATCTAAATCATTCATTATACTTTTTACATATTGATTCTTTGTCACTAAACATCTGTAATGATCATTTTTTTAGGGATATTATATCACTTAAGAAGATTCTTTTTGATTACCTTTCTTTGGAAGTACATGAAAGGGTAAGTCAGCACCCAATGCTTATGTTAACTTTTCAACATCTTCTATCCACACACAAACAGTATAATTTCTTCAGTTAAAATACTGAGAGAATAAATGAGATTCATGTTAATGTCTCCTTATTGCTATAAGAGGTGTCTTTTAAAAATGACTAATGTTCACCCACCATTATTGAGTCCTGTAACTAAGTTCCATATTCAAGGATCTTATCCTGAGTATGGCAGGCCTCCTGGCATAAGGGATCTTTCCTGTTATTTCTTGCTTAGGAAACAGATTATCTTCCTTGTATGTCAATATATATTCCCCAAATCATCAAAAGGTGAATATAAACCTTTTCAACATTAGAATCCCAAGAAATCCACATGATTGATGGGTTGATCAGATAAAGGAAAATATGTCGATCAGGTAAGGGAAACTCTCAGGTCCAAGGTTCTAGGGATTCCACTGCAAGAGTCAACTTTACTAGCGCTGCACAGGGATGGGCACCTCTCTGGTTGCAATGCCATTGTATATTGCTGAGGCATCTTGCCCAAGGCTGGATGGAGTGGTTACTTGCAAGTGTGGACATCAGTCATGCTTTCACACCTCCTGCAACGGACATAGCAGCACCAGATGAACTTACACTCACACCTCTCCACGTGCCTGACCACATGGGTGTTGTAACCTCGGCCACAGCAGAGGAGGTTGCAGCCATCTGCACCCTCTGATGTACGGTTGCATTCTCTGCCTTGTGTCCCTGGGATTCCCAGTTTCTTATCTTCTACACAGTAGTTGGGAGACTTATTAACATAGAGCAGATCATCCTTATGGATTGGTATTTTCCTCTGATCTTTTTCTCTCCTGCGCATTTTCCTCTTTGTTTTGTCTGATATCTGGATACTGTTTTCATATTTATCCTTCAACAAATGGCCAATCTTTTCAAAAGAAGACATGGTTTTCCAGCATGTTTTCACAGCACAGGAGCCGGAAACTCCGTGGCAGCGGCAGTCTACTGACATCAACTTGGCGACAGCCTGAAACCAACAGTAATTGTGTTCAACTATCAATCATAAAGTGTTTTACTCAACAACAGAAGCACAGTTAATCTAATCAATTAACTTTCTGGGTCTATTTCCTCTTGAATAAAAATGATGGTTTTGAACGTAAATAATCTTTAAAATTGCGTAGGCTTCAAATGTTTCGTCCTTTGGTTTTTGTCCCAAATGTTTTGTCCAAATTTCTTGACCCTTCAGAGCAAAGCTTTCCAAGCTGTACTTAAAGTAGTGGACCAGACTAATATTATTGGAGATTATCTGCGATAACAAAAGGAAATTACTTCTATTTCTAATCCCCGGTCTAATTTTGAATGTGGTAGGATGCTTATGCATGCCTGTATGTTCCTGATACCATTCAACACCTCGTTACTCAGAATACAGCTCAGGGACCAGCAACACCAGCATCACTTGTGAGATATGCAGACTCTCAGGCCCCACTCCAGACCTACAGAACCAAAAGCTGCATTTTTAACAAGATTGTCATTAAAATTTGAGAAGCACTGAGAGAGAAGTTACCCTTAGCTCTCATGGTGCATAGAAACATCATGGAACTTTACAAATAACCAATGCTCAAACCTCTCAGATTCTGATTTCACTGGTCGGGCAGGGGGTGGGGTGTCCAGGCCATGGTACTTTCACAAAGCCGCTGAGATTATTTTAATGAGCATCCAGGGATGAGACGTATTGATTCAATTGAGAGTTCTCAAGTTTGATCACTATAAAAGTCAGTCACATACAAAGGGAGGGGTGGAGGTGGTGAACTATGCTATCCCCTGGTTCCAGGCCACATGAGAAACTATGACAAATCTGGTTTAGTTGGTCAAAAGGAGAAGGGGCTACAGTATGGTGGCTCCCCCCAGCAAATTCTCCTTTTCTGGAAAATTAATTCAAAACACATGCCCTATCCTTGATGAATCAGTAGCATTATCCTAGCATGGAAAATACAAAGGGGATAATGTTTATGTAATTTTTTCAATTCTAAGTGCTAAGTTCAGTTTAAACAGACTAAGAAGTTAAATGAAACTACATATATTTGTAATAGTCCACTGCCTGACACACACTAAGGTCTAAATAAAAGCCCCTTTCTCTGAAAAAGAAGGTACAGTTAGAGTTGAGATAAACATTTCCAGTAAGGCTAGGGGTGCAAAAACAATATAGAGATTTCAAAAGTTTAGGGCTCTAATCTCTTACATACCAGGCTAGCCAGCATAGCTTCCTTCAATCCCCAGACGATGGCAGAACAGATTAATAAATCGTCAGGGCTAGCTGTGGAGTTGACGTTCTGTCAACATGCTGGGTAAAATGAAAGATGGATCCATCCATTCAATAACTTGGAAATTATGTGTGTAATCTCACCAAAGAAAGGAAAAACCTCACAGTTTAAATTCCACTTACAATTCTTATGAAAACAATAAAATGACAGGGGTCTACACTTTGCTGTTTTGTACCAAACCTGACATTGACACGTTTGCAGAATGTTATGTTTTCAAACAAATTTTAAAAATGTCTGAACTATCTAATGAGACAATATTGCACACAAATAATAACATTTGCAACCTTAAATAAGAGCATATGGTATTGATTTATGCAATGCTTGATATTTCTTAGTAGTGCATATGGCACATTTGCTTTTTTTGAATTCACAAAACTAAGAAACTAATAGATGTATCTATTTCTTCTTAACCCAGGGCAAAAGGTGTCCTGCGATTATATGACAGCAATTTATAAAGTATGTCACAGAAGCTTATTTCTTTAAATTTATGGCATTTCATATTCACAAAACCCTCAATTCTTTAAAACATTTCCAGGCAAATAAATGTGATCTGCCTACTTTGTTCAAATTTTAAGCTCCCAAAGTTTACGAGAAAAAGCTCAATCAGTGCTGGGTAATAACAAAACATAACTGTCCAAAGAACACTAAAAACATAACAATGTATGTTTCCATGTTTAAGCTGATCAGCCTTCTTTACAGTCATCACTTAGTGACTTAAAGCTGTTTCTCCCCTGGATCATGACTGAGGAGCCGATTTTTTCTTTTATTAGTCACTTCAGACATCATGTAAGATGTTGCCAATTTGCACAGCATGAGGGACAAAGTAGACGCTCATCAAATACTTATTGAGTAATTGGTCCAGCTCACTTGAACACTTTTATCTCATCCTCTGTTGGTAAACTGAATCAAGAGGGAGTAATAAAAACCACCTTCTTAAACACATGTCACTGCTAAGAGGTTAATGGTATTGTTTTGAGCCGGCTGGGCTCTCTCTTTCAACTCCTCAGTTTTAGCCCCGTCCACAATAGTGTTACTCTATGAAAGTTATGCACTACAACACGATGAAGGATAAAAAGAGAGACTGATTTTCAAATTCAATTACATCACCTGCTGAATTTGTATTGAAATTATAGAAAGATTTCCCTCCTAGAAAATTAGCCCTTTTGAATACATACATGGAATTTATAATTTTTCAGTGATGACAATTTAAACTTTGAATTGTAAGTGTCCCTAACAATAAACATAATAAAAGAAATAATATCTTTATTATATATGATACATATTATTTTTGTATCCTCGAACATCTATAGAGGTATATACATATTCTTAGAATATCTATGGGCATATATACACACATATATATGCATATATATACTGTATTCTAGGACAGAAAGATAAATGAACTTCAAGGAAAAAAATATCAATAACCTGACCTGGAATTTCAAAGATTATACCCCCATAATATTCCAAGGAAAGAACTTGGACAATCTGGAATTAGAATAAAGCAGTGTAATCACCACTCAGGACTGATGAAATGCAAAATTCAAGGACAGATACACACACACACACACACACACACACACACACACACACACACACAAAGTTTAATTCTACAGAATTAGAATTCTGCTTCTCAGAGCATATTTTAATAAATATTTTACCTGATTTAGTTTTAGAGGAAGATATTTGTTGCACATAATAGCTAGTTAATAAGCAGGTACTTATGATTTCAATTTTACAGAAAAATAAAGTCTGATTAAGACGTTTATCTTACATAAGGAAAGCTGGTGATAAATAATATAAGGTATTTATATGCAGCAGGATAATTTTAGTAGAATAGGGAAAAATAAAAGTGGAAAATGCAAGTATATTTAAGGAAATTGCATGAACACTCCCCCAGAAAGTGTATTCTGGAGATTTTCCTCCAGGATTCTTAATTAATGTTAAATAGCCATTGTGAATTACAGCAATATCACCATAATTTTCTGTTAACAGGAACATAAGAGAATAGCAAAGGAATGAGTGCTGTGTGGTTATGAGAAAATTCCTTTCTCTACTCTAGTTGAGTTGTTAAGGTTTATAACGATATTAACAGAGGAATGTTTTGTTAACTATTGCAAACAGATGTGCACATTTTGGTGGAATATTTTTAAACTATGTCAGAGCAATCAGGAGGGTAGCATTTAATCTACTGGATTCCTTGTGTAAATTTTGGTTTGATAAATTTCTAATGAAGTGAAATAGGAAAGATGCATCATTAATACTTAATGTAAACATAGAAACCGCTTGAGAAGTGGTTTAAGAACTGATTGGTTCCACAATTTTGACTCAGAGGTAATGTGGCAGTTGGCGATTGTTTTTCAGTAAATTACGTTGTCCGAATTTTACAAAAATGGCCAGAAAATTGTTGTGGAACGTTTTGTGACTAACATTTCATTTTCTCAACTATCAGATGATCTAAGTTTTTATAAAAACTGCGACACGAGGTTGGATGGGTGTATGTAGGATTCCTGTTCCTCTGACCCGTTTTGTCCCTTTCTGTCCAAAAATATATTCGAACCTACTGAAAAGCAAAACACTATGTGTTGTTCAACTACTTATAAATATTCTTGGAATAGGTCAATGAAAATTTGGGATTGAGCCCTTCCCACTTTGTTGAGTTACTCATCATAAAACAAATTATGGGGTAGGGAAACTTAAAAGTTTGTGAGGTGGACATGGGAAGAATGGAAATATTTTAAGCACACCAAAAGAAATACCCATAAATATTCCAAGTCACATTATTCCCAGAAGTTCTGCCCCTGGAAGACATCACATCATTCCGTTAGCCAATCATCATTCGGCAACATTATTCTTGGAGTCATAAGTTTAGGAATGGTGTCAGAAACCAAGTGGGAATCAGAGTATTTAAGGTTAGCGGTTAGAAAATCATCTATCCTGCTCACAGTACTACTAAGCGCCAGTACCCACATTTCTCTGAACACTTTCCTACATTTTGAGTTTGTGATTTTGAGGCTAAGAAAATCAACTCAATTGAATACAGACCTGGATTTTATTCAGAAGAATATGCCTATTAGATTAAAATCCTAATTGCCAATGTTGAAAAAATTGAGTTGATTGCTCATCCATGTTAGATAATAACCAGGAAACCTCTTTTATGGTGTTGTTGGTTTTGTTTTTGTTTTTGTTTTTTTGCCAGCAACAGAAAGAAAAATACAAAACTCTGTTGAATTATAATACCTCAAGAGAAAATAAAAACAACAACAAAAACACCAGCATAGTACCTACCAAATAACCAGGAAAATGTTTTCTAATATTTTAAGATTTCATCTAAATGTGAAACAATGTGAACCAAAAATGAACAATGTGAAAAAAATGATTCAGGAGAGAAAACTCAGAGATTTACACAAAATGTACATATATGCATAAATTGAATTGTTTTCAAGCTAGTTAGAATAATAGCAAGAACCTAGGTAATGTTAGAAAATTATTTTTTGCCAATAAAAATGGATTTAAATTAATGGTGAATAGGAAGTATGTTTTTAATAAAATCAGGATATAAATAATAGTTTAAGATTAGCATTAACAGTTACAGAGAGGAACATTACTACCTAATTTGAAAAACACACAATATAAAATAAAACCAAATAGCTGCCGAATGTTACTAATAAAAATATATTTTAGAATGCTTTAGGGTTTTTTGTAAGTCCCAAGATGATTTTATTTAAGAGAATCAATCATAACGTGAGTTTTTGTGTTCTGAATTTCTAGTTTATTAAAAATCTCTACCAAATTTACTTAAAGAATGGCCAAAGAAGATTTAAGGTCTGTTGATAACAAACACTCGTTTATTTGTTTTCTTGTTTTAAAAATATATTAATTTGAATAATCTTATCTCTAGGTTTAACTCTAGAGTTTTAAGAACATATCCTAATTACATTTAACCTTTTCAAAATTAATATGCTAGAAATAATAAAAATTCCCTTATTGGATAATATTTAAATTGAAGCAACATCTCAGTCATTTATTTTTTTAAATGTAAAACCTTAAGAGGCATGTGCATGACTATGGTGTTGGGCAAGAGTTATTCTAGTGAAATAAAATAACTTTTACAATTTTATAAACAAAAATACAAAAAGCTTACATAGCTATTTACTGACATTCCTACTTTCTATTTTGCTATTTTGAATTAAATATTTAAATTGAATTAAAATTAAAATTTGAATTTGAAGTGTTACAGTGATATATTTACCGACTTTTCTGTTTTTGTATTTTAAATGGACAAAGTAAAGAAAACTGGGAGTAACTTGTAACTATTCTAAATGCGTTCCATTTATTCATTTTCCAAAAATGGAAAACAAACGCAACATATACTTTTAAGATTACTAAGAGATATTGCAATTTGTTTTATTTATTTCAAAAGAATGTGACAGATTGCAATGATTACTTTGGGACCTTTATAAGTTATTGAATATTTACAAGAATATATGATATGTGCTAATATTTCTGTCCTGAAAAAGTTTATTACAACATAGAAAATATATATTCATATAAAAGATTTAGACTTTTTTAGAAAAGTCACTATGAATTGCCAACTAAGTCAACTATGTTGTAGAATTCAAACTTTGTTGTGTCAATATTCACTAATGTGAATATGTATAAGTCAAATTTAGCTACAAGAATGATGCATTTTAAGAAAACAGTATAAAAATGTAGAATTCATAAAGGATGGTAATTACATAGCAATTCTTCAAATGTACCACCTCTGTATCTTTAAGATACTGATATTTTAAAATATCTATAGATTTAATATACCTATAGCTTCTTTATGCTTAGGAGTATTTATGAATTTTAAAAATTAACCTACATTGCTTTATAATAAAATAACTATTTCCCTAAAAAAACTTTCCTTTACAAAAAATATTAGTTAAGGGCACATATTACCAAAGAAGGTTTGCTAGAAAAAGGTAAGTACAAAACTGACAACATGTTTAGGAGCCATTGCCCACTAAAAAGTCGATTTAAAAAAATATCATAAAAATTCAAATTGGGGGAAATGAAATTTGACTCAGTTCTATTAGAAAGGCAGATACTGTAGACCCTATTCTGACTCCACGACTAAGCGGGTAGAACCAATGAACCCTACAGGCATTGTGCATCTATTATATTATATCAAAGTTTTAGATATACACAGTATACAACCACAAACACATGCTATAACACGGTTTAACTCATATCAGTTAGAGAACCAAAATTGTGGTTAGTATATATTCATGAAAGGGTATATACATATTTGTATAATACACATTTGTAATATATGTGCAAATGTGTATACACACACACACACACGTATATTTATTCTAATCAAAGCCTCCTATTCATCCTCTTACCAGAGAAGGAATTTTTCAATTGCTTACCATGGATGCTTTAACGCATACATATTTAGAAAGGATAATTTTCTATTGCTGTAGTCTTTTAAAAACAATATTAATTTTCAGGATCCCACTTGAGGGCTGCCAGTGTTTGGTTTTTAAGTCATTTGGACAGTTTCATGCAGATGTGTAATCCTAGTTATTTACCTAACAGCACTGGGTTTTGATTATTCCATTTTCTAATACATACCTGCCTTCCAGCTTCATTGTTATGTAGGTTCATTGCTAATAGTACTTTGTTTTCTTTGCCCGTGGTGTTTCCGATGGGGAAATCTAGGAACTTTCTGCTGAACCACATGCCATACTGGACATCATCGGAGCAGCCCCCCCAGTGCCAGCCTTCACTTGCTGAGCCGCCGTTCTGCAAGGTGGTGTCACAGGAACACTCTGTCATGTTGCCTGCACTGCATGACCTGGTCACAGAATGCACCAGGCCTGCAGCCATCACAGCATAAATAAATGCTGTCTCTTTGGTGCCTAGAAAAAATATAAATTGCTAAATTAGAGAACCAGGCAACTTCTGTTTATGTTCAGAAGAAAGCCTCCTACTCATGATCTTACTGGACAAGTAATTTTTCAGTTGCTTACAATGGATGCGTTAACGAGTACATATTTAGAAAGGAAGATTTGCTCTTGTTCTAGTCTCTTAAAAAGCAACATTAATTTTCAGTATTCCACTTGAAGAGATTGTCATATACTGTATGGTCATACATTGTCCCTTTACCTTAAAATCATCTCTTTATTTTTTAAATTTGAAATGTATGTTTGCACCCAGTTCAGTGCACAGTTGACAGTCATAGCTCAGTAATACATGCTGAATTAAAAATTCTTTGCATAGATACTGTAAACGGTAATACAACACCCAAAGAACACTAGATTGCTTTTCTTTTGAAATTTAAAATGTGCTCTCACAGAACACAAGCTGAACATTTTGGTGTGATTTTTGTTTGCATAAATAATACGTGTCAGAATGAAAATTAAAATTAAGGAAAGACCAAAGCAATTAGTAAACGGTACCGTATATTTTCACATTAAAGATTAGTCTCACATTAACATGAAACAGTTAAACATTTTATATAGTATTAGCTACTCCTCTTACAGTCTTAAAGGCAATGAAAGGTAAGATAATTAAAATGTCACTAGCAAAAACATAATTCTATTAAAAATATTGAATATTGAAAATTATGCATTTAGCACACCTGCAGTAGAGTTTGAGCTAAAATCTTTGAAAATTAAAGTCCATTAAAACATTAATAACATGGACTAGAAGGGAATCAGCAGGCGACTTTTTTTTTTTCTTTCCAGATGTTTAGTTTGGAGTAGAAACAGTTTCATGCCCGCTGTCCAATAAACCTTTTCAACAGCTGATGCATTTCAGCAACTGTGAAAAACACATCTATTTTTTTTCTTTCTGTCTCTTTTTTTTTTTTTTTTTTTTTTCTCTCTACGGGGACCAGGGCTCCTTCGGAAGGGCGTGCCGGCCAGAACGCCGCGGGGGAGGTGCGCGGCTCGGCGGGGGTGCGCGCAGGGACTGCGTGGACAAGGGTCAAAGGCGGAGGGGGAACGGAAATGAACATGAAAAACGACAGCGCATCCTTCAGCGCCCCAGTCCTAACATTCTTTGGATCTGTTGATATTCCAGGAACAATCCTGGCTCCCTGTACCTTTATCCTTACCAAGTCACTACGCACGTGGAAGTGGAACTTTGTTTTCCTGCAGCTTCCCGCGCCGCGGGAGTGCGCCGAGGAGGGAAAGATAGAAAAGCCAAAGAAACGAGAAGCGCACAAGTGGTCCTGCTCAGGTTAGCCGCACGTTGGGTGGTCGCGGACAGTCGCTTTAAAAGTCACCATTATTCTGTCAACTCGGTGCTCCTAGGAGCCAATAAAGGTGGGGCTTCGCTGCAATTAGCCACTTGTCCGGGGTTTGGTGCGCAGCGGAGTTGGTTAAATCAAAGCAGATGCGGCAGCCGCATTCCCCGCTGCCGACATCATGTTTCTCCAGCTGGTCACCCACGTAGGGGGGCGCTACGGGGTCCGAGGGGGTCGGCGGGGTAGGAGAATTAGAGTTTTTTTTCCAACTCTGGCGGGGCACCGCAGGAAAGAGGAAGAGCTCCAGCCCCTAGAGCTCCGCTCTGGAACTGGGGAGTCACCTCCCTCCAGGCTCGCACCTGCTCCCCAGGTCTGGCCTTTGTAGCTCTCAATCCCCGTGCACTAAAGGGCTTCTTCTGGAACTTAGAGAGCTACAGGACCACGTAGCACTATTTACTTTATTTGCAGGAACCGGTGGAGGAGTTGTCGCCTTCCGTCCCCCACCAACCCCTAAGGACCCAGGACTCACCGCTGCTCAGCTCGTAGCCAAAGAGGGGGCTGGCGCCCATCGGGGCGGTAGTGGCGGCGGCGGTGATCATGCAGTTCCATCTCTCGTGTCTGAACTGGCTCCCGCACTCCTGAATGCCCAGCCGGGCGCCCTCTCGGATGCTCGGCAGCAGGTACGGTTTCCTCTTGCACAGCTCCTTCTGGCGGCTGTTCAGCGGCAAATTGGCGCAGCCCAGCTTCTCTGGAACCCCGAAGGAGGCAATGCCCAACCACCTGTAAGACACGGCCGCCCGTAGCGTTAAGCCGCTCCCCAATTCCAGATGTTTTCCGAAAAATTAGGTCACTCGTCTAAGGGTCCCCGCCCTTCTCCCCCAGCCTCAGTTGAAAGTTCCCTAGGATTGGGCACCCCTTTTGCCACCTACCCGATGCTTCCCTGCCACCTCCATACTCACATCCAGTTTCCTTGGGCTCCGTAGGGGAACAGCACGAGCAGGGCTGCCCACAGCGCGCACAAGCGGGCCAGTCCCAGGAGCGCCGCCCTGTCCATCGCCCCCGCATGGAGTCCCCCAGCCCAGCCGCTCCTCTTTTGCACCCCCTCCCCAGAGGCCCTTCGGGCCGCAGGTCAGTTGTCCAGCACCAAGTTATCCCTCGCCCTCTTCCTCCTTGCATACAACATTAAAAGGCCAGCAGTGATAGGGACTCTCAGCAGCTTCCCCCTCGTTTGCAGGGAGCTGTAGGAGAGATGGAGAGAGCAGCCTGGGGATCTCCTCCTGCGCAGGGGTGGAGATGTGCAGGAGATGCGGGAGCGCCCCTCGCATTCCTAGGTGAGAAACTTCTGTTGATGTATCCGCGTCTCCATCGCCCCCGGCCTCTCCTCCCATCTCCTCCCCCTGGCCGCGCCTGGAGCCTGATTGGCTGAGCAGCGGCCCCGCATCTCATCATCTCGGGACCTCAGGCTCTTATTGGTGGAGAGCGGCTCCGCGGGGGGCGCTCCGGGCACTGGCCTCAGGGACAGCGTGTCCAGACCTGGGTGTGTCATGACCTTTCCTGCTGTCACAGTCTCCTTAGAACGGGTCGTTGTGGGGTTGATTCAACCCGAAGACTAACAGGACGCTCTGTCTTAGCAACCTTGGGGGAAAGCGTGGGTTTGATGAGTCCCACCCATCCCACCAACATCTGGGTTACCCTCTGGGTGTAGTGGCTGGAAAATGTCACTGACCTTTTTTTCTTCTCCTTCACCTCACAGGAGAATAATCTTTTTGAGTCAGAGTTGGTACCGAACAAATTAACCTTCCAGTCCCCTGCTTGAGGTCCCACTGTCAGGAGACTTTAGAGAGTGGGTGAAGTGCTGTCAGGCTTACAATCACTGTCATTTATGTATGCATTTATTTTGAGCGAAAGAGAAGATTCCAGTCTAGCATCTCATCTGCCATATTTCAATCGTGCTCTGTGATTTCCTTTTCCCTATTTGTCTTATTTCCTGCAGTCCCTGAGAACGCTGTAAGTCCCCTGCAGAAGATGGGGACAAAGAAAGTGAGAGGTTTCTGGAGAGTTCTAGAGTACATGAGAGATGTGCTCTGATCTTTTTCTCCAGTCCTACCTTACGATTCTCATGGTGGGAGGGTCCCTGCCCTTCTCCCCCAACCTCAGTTGAAAGTTCGCTAGGATTGGGCACCCCTTTGCCACCTACCCGATGCGTCCCTGCAGGACAGGGCTACACATGGAAGACACATTTTTAAAAACGTACTTATTAAATACCTGCTGTGTGCCTAGTCCTGTGGGAATTTATAAAGACAAGCTCTCTTCCCACAACTGTACAAATAAACCATACACAAGTGTAAAAGAAAATACGTTTAGATGATCAGTAAGAGAGATTAAAGAATCTAGCAGGGTACTCCCTGGAGCCGAAGATAGTTCAGAAGCAGGAAGTGTTCCAGTTACTGGCAGATTTGGAAGGTTAGTTAATCAGTGTTTTGTAGGATGGAAGGTCTCCGAGAGTTATCTGAAGGCAAGTGCAACGTGTTTAGCTGTGGTATTGGGAAAGCCTGCCTCACCTAATTAGACACAAGAAATGTTTCTAAGAAGCATTATCTGTCCTTAGAGATCTTTTGAAGTGTTAATACATTCCCATGGTGGACGTATCAGCTCAGTGGGTACCCAAAGCCAAAATTACTTAAATAAAGGATTTGGGGCCAGGTGCAGTGGCTCACACCTGTAATCCCAGCACTTTTGGAGGCCAAGATGGGCGGATCACCAGAGGTCAGGAGTTCAAGACCAGCATGGCCAACATGGTGAAACCCTGTCCCTGCTAAAAATACAAAATTATTTGGGTGTGGTGGTGCATGCCTGTAATCCCAGCTACTCGGGAGGCTAAGACAGGAGAATTGCTTGAACCTAGGAGGTGGAGGTTGCAGTGAGTTGAGATAGCGCCACTGCACTCCAGCCTATGGCACACAGTGAGACTCCGACTCAAAAAAAAAAAAAAAAAAAGGATTAGATAGCATTAGCTGCTTATCTCCTATATCAATCAGTGAGCAATAAAA
The DNA here is from genome assembly GCF_000001405.40 of Homo sapiens. Lineage (NCBI taxonomy): Eukaryota > Metazoa > Chordata > Mammalia > Primates > Hominidae > Homo > Homo sapiens. The sequence goes on along the minus strand of NC_000007.14, from coordinate 121,327,296 downwards.
GCTCACTGAAATTTTCATCCTATCCCATTCACTCCCTTATCCAACAAATGTTTATTGAGTGTACACTATGTACCAGGTTCTAAAGCCACATTTTAAAGAGTCGAGGAGTCAAGTTGATGATAGGATGTAGATACTGATCCAGAAATATTTTGGCTAACGGCTAGTGGCCTCTCTGAAAGTCAGAGCCTTCATCCAAGCTCACTTTATTCTGTGAGCTTCTCCAAGAGGGACAATGGCGGATTCATTGCTGTACCCCTGCCATTGGGCCTAGTACATAAGATCCTGTTTTTGAACAAAATTTATTGAGTGAATTAACAATGAGGAACATCCTGAGTGGATATGTAAGAGGCCTAAATGCTGGAACTACAGTTTTTACTTCATTTCAAGGGGAATTGGAAGTGGGGAGGCAATCTCCGGGTTGGGGGTGCTGGACAATATCCATACCTTAGGCTGATTTTAGGGCCAACGGTGGTAGATGTTTTAAAGAGGTGTTTGATTTTTTAAAAAATCAAAAACATATATTGAGTCTCTGTTATGGGTTAGAAAGTGGGGATAGCACTTACTCAAATGATCATGGAATTCACAGTCTACTTGGCAAGACAGACAAGGGAGCATGCAGCTATAATACGTGCAATAAATGTACAAAGTAGAGTGTGCTGTGAACACACAAAGGAAGATTACTTATTTCAGTCTTGGGGATCAGAGTGGGGAGGAGACACTTGAATGTTACCTTCATTATTATTCTGGGAATCTAGCACCATCTACGCATCCAGATAAAGCCTTTGGGGTGCACTCAGAGGGTATTCTGTCCTGAGAGTCAGAGACCACTGTGTCAAACATTTTCAAACACAAGACACAATTTTAGGGCGTGAGTGGTCTTGCATCTCTTTTGTATGGGCTAGAGCCTTAGGGGTCATTCTGTCCATATCTCCAAAACAAAGGAGACATATTTCTAGGAGCTGACCCAGCTGAGGAAGCAGATTTTTCATTCAGTGAACAGATATTTGAATGATAATTTTGTTCCAGGCATTGTGAACTTTCATGTTCTGAGAGCTGCCATACACTCCCAAATCCCTCTTACTGTCTTTATTTGTCTCTCTGTCTCTGTCTCATTCTCCATCTTTCTCTATACAAAATTGATACTCACTTTACAGATGAGGAAATTAATTTGGGGAGATTAAGAAACTTGCTCGAGGTTACTCAAAAACAATCAACCTTTAGAGGCCCCTCCTTTTTTTTTTTTTTTTTTTTTTTTTTTGAGATGAGGTATCATTCTATTGCCCAGGTTGGAGTGTAGTGGCTCTATCATGACTCACTGCAGCCTCAACTCCCAGGCACAAGCGATCCTCACCCTCAGCCTCCTGAGTAGCTGGGACTACAAGTGTGCACCGTTATATTCAGCTGTATTTTTTATTTTGTGTAGAGACAGGGGTCTCACTATGTTGCCCAGACTGGTCTCAAATTCCTGGCTCAAACAATCCTCCTGCCTCAGCCTCCCAAACTGCTGGGATTATAGGCATGATCCATGGCACCTGGCCAAGACCCTGTTTTTTTCACTACAACATACTTCTGCATGCCTAATTCAAAACATATATATAGTGTGTGTGTATAGAGAGAGATATGTTAGGTGTTATATATATATATATGTAAAATTTTTTTTCCCTGATCAAATCCCCAAATCTTAAAACTCAGATTACCGTGTCTTTGGGTCAAAATTTTTTACTGGTGTCTATGGTTCCTTACGTCACAATTCACAGATCTCTCCATTGAAACATTGAAAAAGTTGTTTTGTTCTCCAAAAATAAACAAAACCCACCATAGGGAGGTCTTTTGAGAAGCCCCTGTGAAGAGGGTCTCCCTGAGGCAAGTGGTGAGCTGCATGGGTGCCTTTCCATCTTTCTGGCTTTGCCCTCTGTGGTTTTTGCAGGCTGAGAGGGGCAGTGGAAAGAGCACTGGGTTGGGTTGGGTAACCGGGGCTCCTGTCAGCAGGTGATGATCGTGGACTACTCATTTCAACTTTGAGTCTCAGTTTTTTCATTTGCAAAATTATCAAAATTTCTTTTTCAGATCTGAATCTCTTACTGGAGCTACCATAGGGCTGGAGGGAGGAGAGTGGTACGTGTGTGTGTGTGTGTGTGTGTGTGTGTGTGTGTGTGTGTGTGTGCGCGCGCGCACATGGTGGGGAGGGGGAAACTGCATTTGCTGGGGGACTGCAGGAGGAGGAAACCTTAGCCATTGACAGGAACTTGTCTACCTGAAAGATGGTTCAGTCCCCAAGGTGGCATAAGCCAGGGTTTTTTGGCGCCCATCTTGTCTTAATATCTCCAGCTTCACTTTTGCTTCTGGATTTCAAGGAAAATGAATCTATTTTAATTGCAGAAGTCATTTAAAATGGTTGAATTTTAAAATATAATCTTGTCAGATCACATGAAATTTTATTTGGAGAATATAAGAAGTTACAGATATTTTATCCTGACATATGAAGTTGAGGAGCTCTTTCATAATCGAATTTATGTCTATTAATATAAAGCATTCAACTCTACTCTCATCGGAGGGGATTATGCTATTTAGACTTGATGAATGAAGTAAAAGATCAATTCCAAACATGTATACAACTGCACATTTTAAATTATTGATTTCTTTCTCAGCAAGCAGGAGCTTAATTTCCTATTTATTATATTTTGATTGAAGAGACGACAAAATATTCACTGACCAGTAGAATGTGAGACCTAAAGTTTACTGTACTGTATAAACTTTTTAAGCTTCTAGTGTCCATATGCATAAAATGTTGTAAAGATCATATCATTAATCATTTAATAAACACATAAATGAGAGCTAATATTATGTCATTTCATGATCTGAGCCCAGCTGCCTAGATTTTGACTAGTGATGTTAAGAAAATCACCATATGACTGCAAGTTTGCATTGGTTACTCAAGCACCTGTAGTCTCTGGAGTCCACATAGAGGGCATACACTTAAACTCTTTTTCCTAGCTGGAGGTAAGGTGCTCTGAGCTGTATTCTGGGAAAAGGAATTAGGGAGGGGAGAGCCAGATTTCAAGCATACTCATTTCACTCAAAAGAGCTCTCTCAAGATGCTGAATCTGTGACTGTTATCATCTCCAATCCGCTGAGCCAACTGAACCAGATAAGTAGCTAGACAGCAATAAATCCCATCTTCCGCCCAAGACAGTTGTAGATTTCTAGTTGTAGAATACAGGGGAGCCTCTTCCTTCTGATAGTTTTCTCTCAGTCCCTGGGAAACTCAGCAAAAAAAGTCTGCCTGCAGAGATATGCCTTGGACTCTGCCTCTGGCAGCCCATCAGAGGACGAGACTTCTAAGGGCCCTGTTGTAAGAATTTCTGCTGCAGATCACAGAGACTTATGTGCTGGAAACTGATACCAGAAGCACCCCAGCTGGTCTTAACTCCCATGATAGAACAGAAGACCAGAGGTGACTTTTTACATAACTGGGTCCCCATCCATTCTATTTTAAATTCCACCTGGATGCTACAAGTGTGGAACAGAGCACAGGCTTGTGACCACTGGCTCTTAGGAGGGGGTGGAGAATGGCATTCTGGATAGCCTGCTGTCCTTTAGTGGCCAGAAAAACCCGCAGGAATGACAGACTTGGAGGAACAGAGGAGACACCAGCGATAGTCCCAGGAGAAAGAGCAGGAGTTGGAAAGGGATGATGCTTTGCTTTTTAAATTTCCACAACCACAGAAGTTAAAAGTTTTTTGTTTACTCATCCTAGCAATTAAGGTTGAAGAAGGCTTGTAAAGTGTCAGTAGAAAGTGACTTATCTCTTACCAGCATTTCCCCAGCAATCCTTAAAAAACTTAAAATAAAAAACAGGGTACCTCAAGATTTTTTTAAGTGGTATTTTGTAGGAATTATGCAATTTTTTTGGAATAAGGGAATAAAAGTAAAAACATTCCTTGACAAATAAGAGTGGTCACTTCATTCAGAGGGTAAAAGTAAATAAAATGCACAAAACTGGAATATATTGATAGTTTTGATTCTTTAAATACTTTTTCCCAGTAATTTTTTCCAAATAAAGCAACTTCATTAATGAATGATTTTAATGTTTTAATGTTGTCAGGAAAATTAAGAATCTGGCATTTACATTGTTTAAAGTAATATTTATGGAGTAATCACTAGGCTGCCTATAATGGAAAAAACAAATTTGCCCTTCTTGAGGGATTTTCCTAAGATAGAATAATTAAAACTTCAAGGGGGCCAGGCGTGGTGGCTCACACCTGTAATCCCTTACTTTGGGAGGCTGAGGCAGGAGGATCACTTGAGCCCAGGAGTTTGAGACCAGCCTGTGCAACATAGGGAGACCCCATCTCAACAAATAATTTAAAAATTAGCTGGGTGTGTTGGTGTGCACCTCTGGTCTCAGCTACTTAGAAGGATGAGGCAGGAAGATTGCCTGAGCCCTGGATGTTGAGGCAGCAGAGAGTCATGTTAGCACCATTGCATTCCAGCCTGGGTGATAGAGTGAGACCCAATCTCAAAAACAAACAACTTCAAGAGAAAAGCCATTTAAAATTGACTGCATCTATCCTATTCTATCCGTTGGTCTGCATAATTATAGTTAACGTCATGTCATAAATGTCTTTCAGTCAACAAATGCCTGTCAAAAGTAAACAATTGCTGACACTGCTTTTGTATCCAAGGTCATTTTTCGAATGTCTAACCTTTGGTTACTGTCCTCATTATTAGTGGGAGCAAGTTGAAATGGAGGCTTTTAAGTCTGGCCAAGCAACAAATGCCATTTGGTGTTTACTTATATCTCATTGTTCACATTTAAACTTGACCTTAATATTTTCACTTTCCTCCCTAAAATCTTTAATAATTTATTTACTCCTATATCAGTTTTAAACCCTTTGGTTTGACTTCTAAAATCCTTTATTCAGGATTTGTCCATAACTGTCATTTCTGATTAAATTCACTCTATATCCTTGTACTCATTCTTCCTAAGCAAGACACCTTCTGTCTTCCCTTTTCCATAAGCAGGACCTGCATATTTGTCTTTCAGTTTCTTGAGAAACACTGCGTCTATGCCTAGAAATTTCTTTTCTCTCCTTCCACTTACTCAAACCTATCTACCCATTTTCTAGGTCATACCACTTTTGGAGTTAACCATGTTAACGTCTCTCTCTGCCCAATTCCTATATTACCTGAGGTCCCTACCATAATACTTATCACTTAATTTACTTTTGCTAATGGTCTAACGTACCTTAGTTGTCAGTCACCAATTAGATTATAAAACATCTTTTTTAAAATTATACTTTAAGTTCTGGGATACGTGTGCAGAATGGGCAGGTTTGTTACATAGGTATACACGTGCCAGGGTAGTTTGCTGCACCCATCAACCCATCATCTACATTGGGTATTTCTCCTAATGCTATCCCTCCCCTAACCCCCAAACCCCCATGACATACCCCCTGGTGTATGATGTTCCCCTCCCTGTGTCCATGTGTCTCATTGTTCAATTCCCACTTATGAATGAGAACATGCAGTGTTTGATTTTCTGTTCTTGTGTTAGTTTGCTGAGAATGATGGTTTCCAGCTTCATCCATGTCCCTGCAAAGGACATGAACTCATCCTTTTCTTATGGCTGCATAGTACTTCATAGTGTATATGTGCCACATTTTCTTTATCCAGTCTATCATTGATGGGCATTTGGGTTGGTTCCAAGTCTTTGCTATTGTGAACAGTGCAGCAAAAAACATACGTGTGCATGCATGTGTCTTAACAGTAGAATGATTTATAATCCTTTAGGTATATACCCAGTAATGGGATTGCTGGGTCAAATGGTATTTCTGGTTCTAGATCCTTGAAGGAATTGCCACACTGTCTTCCGCAATGGTTGAACTAATTTACATTCCCACCAACACTGTAAAAGCATTCCTATTTCTCCACATCCTCTCCAGCATCTGTTGTTTCCTGACTCTTTAATGATCTCTATTCTAACTGGTGTGAGATGGTATCTTTCATGCGCGTCCGTGTGAAGAGACCACCAAACAGGCTTTGTGTGAGCAATATGGCTGTTTATTTCACCTGGGTGCAGGCGGGCTGAGTCCAAAAAGAGAGTCAGGAAGGGAGATAGGGATGGGGCCCTTTTATAGGATTTGGGAAGGTAATGGAAAATTACAGTCAAAGGCGGTTGTTCTCTGGTGGGCAGGGGTGGATCTCACAAAGTACATTCTCAAGGGTGGGGAGAATTACAAAGAACCTTCTTAAGGGTGGGGGAGATTACAAAGTACATTGATCAGTTAGGGTGGGGCAGGAACAAATCACAATGGTGGAATGTCATCAGTTAAGGCTGTTTTTACTTCTTTGTGGATCTTCAGTTACTTTAGGCCATCTGGATGTATACATGCAAGTCACAGGGGATGCGATGGCCTGGCCTGGGCTCAGAGGCCTGACATTCCTGCCTTCTTATATTAATAAGACAAGTAAAACAAAATAGTGTTGAAGTGTTGGGGCGGCGAAAATTTTTGGGGGGTGGTATGGAGAGAGAATGGGTGATATTTCCAAGGGCTGCTTCAAGCAGGATTAGGGGCGGCATGGGAACCTAGAGTGGGAGAGATTAAGCTGAAGGGAGGTCTTGTGGCAAGGGGTGATATTGTGGGATTGTTAGAAGAAACATTTATCATATAGAATGATTGGTGATGGCCTGGATACGGTTTTGGATGAATTGAGAAACTAAATGGAATAACAGAAGGAGAAAAACAGGTATAAAAGGTCTAAGAATTGGGACGACTCAGGATATCTGATTAGAGAGTGCCTAAGGAGATTCAGCATAGTCCTGCCAGCAAAGATTATTTATTTACTTCAAGAGTTAAGAGTGGCAGTTTGGGGATAGCGCCAGGAGATATCAGCTGTGATGGCTTGGAAAAACAGTGTAAACCGGCAGTGTAAACAAGAGCAGGGCATGTATGAGTAGTTGAGAACGGTGAATAGGAGTATGACTAGACTGAAGATAGTAGGGATGACAAGTTTTTTTGGGCACAGTCTAAGTTGGTCTGGTGTCTGGAATGAGACTGGGGCCTAATAAAAAGGAGCGTCTATACAGGAGCTTAAATGGGCTGTACCCTGTAGCATTCCAAAGACAGGCCTGAATTCTGAGAAGGGAAAGTGGTAAAAGTATTGTCCAGTCCTTTTTAAGTTGGTGGCTGAGCTTGGTGAGGTGTGTTTTTAAAAGACCTTTAGTCCATTCTACTTTTCTTGAAGACGGAGGACCATAAGGGATATAAAGGTTTCACTGAATACTAAGAGCCTGAAAAACTGCTTGGCTGATTTTACTAATAAAGGCTCACCTGTTATCAGACTGTATTGAGGTGGGAAGGCTAAACTGAGGAATTATGTCTGACAGAAGGGAAGAAATGACTGCGGTGGCCTTCTCAGACCCTATAGGAAAGGCCTCTACCTATCCAGTGAAAGTGTCTACCTAGACTAAGAGGTATTTTAGTTATCTGACTCAGGGCATGTTGAGTAAAGCTAATTTGCCAGTCCTGGGCGGGGCAAATCCTCGAGCTTGATGTGTAGGGAAGGGAGGGGGGCCTGAATAATCCCTGAGGAGTAGTAGAATAGCAGATGGAACACTGAGAAGTTATTTCCTTGAGGATAGATTTCCACAATGGAAAGGAAATGAGAGGTTCTAAGAGGCGAGTTAGTGGCTTGTACTATAGCATAACCTGCCTTTGCTGGTGTGTGGTGATTAGGCCTGGTGGAACCGCCATCAATAAATCAAGCGTGATCAGGGTGAGGAACAGGAAAGAAGGAAATTTGGGGAAATGGGGTGAATGTCAGGTGGATCAGAGAGATACAGTAATGGGGGTCAGGTGTGGTATCAGGAATAATGTGAGAGGCCGGATTGAAGTCTGGGCCAGGAACAACGGTAATTGTGGGAGACTCAACAAAGAGTGAGTATACCTGAAGGAGCCGGGAAGCAGAAAGCATATGCGTCAGGTATGAGGAAGAAAATAGATTTTGGAAGTTATGAGAACTGTAGAGAGTGAGTTGAGCATAGTTTGTGATTTTGAGGGCCTCTAAAAGTATTAAAGCAGTGGCAGCCACTGCATGCAGACATGAGGGCTAGGCTAAAACAGTAAGGTCAAGTTGTTTGGACAGAAAGGCTACAGGGTGTGGTCCTGGCTCTTGTGTAAGAATTCTGACCATGCTAACCATGCCTAGGAAGGAAAGGAGTTGTTGTTTTGTAGAAGGTGCTTGAGTTTGAGAGATCAGTCGGACCCAATTGGCAGGGAGAGCACATGTGTTTTTATGAGAATTATGTCGAGATAGGTAACAGATGAGGAAGAAATTTGGGCTTGATTGAAGTAATGGGGGCTGTCTGTGAAGCTTTGTGGCAGTACAGCCTAGGTAATTTGCTGAGCTTGATGGGTGTCAGGGTCAGTCCAAGTGAAAGCGAAGAGAGGCTGGGATTAAGGGTGCAAAGGAATAGTAAAGAAAGCATGTTTGAGATCTAGAACAGAATAATGGGTTGTAGAGGCAGGTATTGAGGATAGGAGAGTATATAGGTTTGGCACCATGGAGTGGCTAGGCAAAACAATTTGGTTGATAAGGCACAGATCCTGAACTAACTTGTAAGGCTTGTCTGGTTTTAGGACAGGTAAAATGGGGGAATTGTAAGGAGAGTTTATAGGCTTTAAAAGGCCATGCTGTAGCAGGCTTTAATCTTTTTAAAGCGTGCTGCGGGATGGGATATTGGCGTTGAGTGGGGTAAGGGTGATTAGGTTTTAATGAGATGGTAAGGGGTACATGATCGGTCGCCAAGGAGGGAGTAGAGGTATCTTATACTTGTGGGTTAAGGTGGGGGGATACAAGAGGAGGACGCAAAGGAGGCTTTGGATTGGAAAGAAGGGCGGCAATGAGATATAGCTGTAGTCCAGGAATAGTCAGGGAAGCAGATAATTTAGTTAAAGTGTCTCAGCCTAATAAGGGAACTGGGCAGGTGGGGATAACTAAAAAGGAGTGCTTAAAAGAGTACTGTCTAAGTTGGCACCAGAGTTGGGGAGTTTTAAGAGGTTTAGAAGCCTGGCCATCAATACCCACAACAGTTATGGAGGCAAGGGAAACAGGCCCTTGAAAAGAAGGTAATGTGGAGTGGGTAGCCTCCGTATTGATTAAGAAGGGGACGGACTTACCTTCCACTGTGAGAGTTACCCAAAGCTCGGTGTCCGTGATGGTCTACGGGGCTTCCGAGGCAATCGGGCAGCATCAGTCTTCAGCCACTAAGCCGAGAAGGAGTCGGTCAGAAAGCCTTGGGCCAGAGTTCCAGGGGCTCTGGGAGTGTCTGCCAGGTGAGTTGAACAGTCCGATTTCCAGTGGGGTCCCGCAAAGATGGGACACGGCTTAGGAGGAATCCTGGGCTGCAGGCATTCCTTGGCCTGGTGGTCAGATAGATTTCTGGCACTTGTAGCAAGCTCCTGGGGGAGGAGGTTCTGGAGGAACGCCTGGCTGCTGCGGTTCAGGCGTTTGGAAGTTCTTGTGTGCTGGAGATGTGGCTGGGGTTTGTCTCACAGTGGAGGCAAGGAATTGCAACTTTTTTCTATTATTGTACACCTTGAAGGCGAGGTTAATTAAATCCTGTTGTGGGGTTTGAGGGCCGGAATTTAATTTTTGGAGTTTTATTTAATGTCGGGAGCAGATTGGGTAATAAAATGTATTTTGAGAATAAGACGGCCTTTTGACCTTTTAGGGTCTAGGGCTGTAAAGAGTCTCAGGGTTGCTGCCAAACGAGCAATGAACTGGGCTGGGTTTTTATATTTGATGAAAAACAGCCTAAACACTATCTCATTTGGGATAAAGAAAAAGGAGCATTAATGTTGACTATACCTTTGGCTCCAGCCACCTTTTTAAGAATAAATTGCTGGGAAGGTGGACTAGGGCTAGTCACAGAACGAAACTGTAAGCCAGACCAGGTGTGAGGAGGGGAAGCGATCAAAAGATTACAGGGTGGAGGAGCGGAGGCTGAGGAAGAATTGGGACCTAGCTTGGGCTGGAGAGGAGGGGAGAGGTCAGATGGGTCTGTAGAAAAGGAAGATTAGAAAGACTCAGCGATGCTTGGGGTTGGGACTGAGGGGACAGGCGGGAGGGAAAGAAGGAAGATTTGGGACGAGTTGCACTGGGCACAGAGACTAGGAAGGGACTGATGTGTAAAAGAATGCCTGGACGTCAGGCACCTCAGACCATTTGCCCATTTTATGACAAGAATTATTTAGATCTTGTAGGATGGAAAAATTGAAAGTGCCGTTTTCCAGCTATTTGGAACTACTGTCGAGTTTGTATTGGGGTCAAGCGGCATTGCAGAAGAAAATAAGGCATTTAGGTTTTAGGTCAGGTGTAAGCTGAAGAGGTTTTAAGTTCTTGAGCACACAGGCTAAGGGAGAAGAAGGAGGAATGGAGGGTGGAAGGTTGCCCATACTGAAGGAAGCAAACCCAGAGAAAAGAGAGCGTAGAGACACGGAGGGAAGGGGTTTGGGGGTTCTTGTCCCCTAGAAAAGCGGGACTTGCTGCTAAGGGTGAAGGAGAAGGGGTTGAGGGGTACTTGCCCCTGCCCCAGGAAAGGCAGAGAAGGGGGTAGAGACAAGGAGAGAAGGGCTTGGGCTACTTACCCTGTCCCCGGAAAAGCAGAGAAGGGGTAGAGACAAGGAGAGAAGGGGTTGGGGTACTTGCCCTGTCCCCGGAAAAGCAGAGAAGGGGTAGAGACAAGCAGAGAAGGGGTAGAGACAAGGAGAGAAGGGGTTGGGGTACTTGCCCTGTCCCCGGAAAAGCAGGGAAGGGGTAGAGACAAGCAGAGAAGGGGTAGAGACAAGGAGAGAAGGGGTTGGGGTACTTGCCCTGTCCCCGGAAAAGCAGAGAAGGGGTAGAGATGAGGAGAGAAGGGGTTGGGGTACTTACCCTGTCCCCGGAAAAGCAGGGAAGGGGTAGAGACAAGGAGAGAAGGGGTTGGGGTACTTGCCCCTTCCCCAGAAAAGCGGGACTTGCCGCTAAGGGTGAAGGACTGAGGCAGGCGTCCCTGCGTGGTCTGACACCCTTGAAACGTGGGTGTATAATCAGAGAGGTGTCCCTGCAATGATTAAACACCAAGAGAAGGCTGCCTTCCCAGTCCGTGACCGGTGCCGGAGTTTTGGGTCCACAGATAAAACGTGTCTCTTTTGTCTCTACCAGAAAATGGAAGGAATTGAAATTAAGAGAAGGGAGAGATTGAAGTGTAGCGCCAAGATTGAAAGGAGAAAGAGGTTGAGGGATAGTGAGGGAAGTTGGAGAAGAGAGTAAAAAGAGGCCACTTACCGGATTTGAAATTGGTGAGATGTTTCTTGGGCTGGTCGGTCTGAGGACCTGAGGTCATAGGTGGATCTTTCTCACGGAGCAAAGAGCAGAAGGACGGGGGATTGATCTCCCAAGGGAGGTCCCCCAATCCGAGTCACGGCACCAAATTTCATGCGCGTCCATGTGAAGAGACCACCAAACAGCCTTTGTGTGAGCAATATGGCTGTTTATTTCACCTGGGTGCAGGCGGGCTGAGTCCGAAAAGAGAGTCAGGAAGGGAGATAGGGGTGGGGCCCTTTTATAGGATTTGGGAAGGTAATGGAAAATTACAGTCAAAGGGGGTTGTTCTCTGGTGGGCAGGGGTGGATCTCACAAAGTACATTCTCAAGGGTGGGGAGAATTACAAAGAACCTTCTTAAGGGTGGGGGAGATTACAAAGTACATTGATCAGTTAGGGTGGGGCAGGAACAAATCACAATGGCGGAATGTCATCAGTTAAGGCTGTTTTTACTTCTTTTGTGGATCTTCAGTTACTTTAGGCCATCTGGATGTATACATGCAAGTCACAGGGGATGCGATGGCCTGGCCTGGGCTCAGAGGCCTGACAGTATCTCATTGTGGTTTTAATTTGCATTTCTCTAGTGACCAGTGATGATGAGCTTTTTTTCATATGTTTGTTGGCTACATAACTGTCTTCTTCTGAAAAGTGTCTGTTCTTATCCGTTGCTGACTTTTTGATGGGATTGGTTGTTTTTTTCTTGTAAATTTGTTTAAGTTCTTTGTAGATTCTGAATATTAGCCCTTTGTCAGATGGATAGATTGCAAAAATTTACTCCCATTCTGTAGGTTGCCTGTTCACTCTGATGGTAGTTTCTTTGGCTGTGCAGAAGCTCGTTAGTTTAGTTAGATCCCATTTGTCTATTTTGGCTTTTGGTGTTTTATTCATGAAGTCTTTGCCCATGTCTATGTCCTGAATGGTATTGCCTAGGTTTTCTTCTAGGGTTTTTATGGTTTTAGGTCTTTCATTTAAGTCTTTAATCCATCTTGAGTTAGTTTTTGTATAAGGTGTAAGGAAGGAGTGCAGTTTCAGTTTTCTGCATATGGCTAGCCAGTTTTCCCAGCACCATTTACGCAATAGGGAATCCTTTCCCCATGGCTTGTTTTTGTCAGGTTTGTCAAAGATCAGATGGTTGTAGTTGTGTGGTGTTATTTCTGAGGTCTCTGTTCTGTTGCATTGGTCTATATTACTGATAAAACGTCTTGAAATCAAGGAGTATGAATAATTCTTTTGCAACTCCTATTGCCTACCACAGGGCTGAATGCATAGTAGGCATTCAATAATGGTTAAGTGGTGGTTGTTTTAACAGACAAGGAATCTCTTACAAGAATAGTGGAATCAATGAAGCATTAAGTTGAGAGCTGTCAGCATTGACATAATCTACTAATTTACCACTTCTCAACTGGCAATTTGTCATGACCTCTACCTACTACGTTACATTAGTATGTGACATGTGATTTACACAAGTTCCAAGGGGACCACCAGATGGCTATGTCGAGAGTATTCACAGTTTCGGTTTCTGCTAGTGTTAAAATCAGTAAATAAACTGAGACTCTTAAATCTTTCTGACTAACCTGTAGCCATGCCATGTGCTTCTTCCAGGTAAGTTTGTTGAGCTAGTCTAATAACTCAAACTCTTACTGGAGTTTTCCCCAGAGAATGCTTTTTATTTGAGTAGGCAAGTGCTCAGAGCCTGGGAGATTTACGAGGATTCAGAGACATAAACACAAACTGCATAATAGGTGTGAGGTGTGTTCCAACTGCAGCCCTCTCACCTTCTGTTAATGATTATGGGAAGGGAGGCATCAATACAAAAACAGCCGACTTGAGGGCTCTCAAGTTTGCAATCTGATGAATCTTTTGGTGCCAGACCAACTTTTGGGGTTGTCACATGGCTTAGTGAAGCAGCTTCCAAAATGGACTGAAAACCACAATTTTGATATACTGGGCTAGATGCCAGAACGGAGTCGGAGTCTAGCCGGCTGGGTAAAGGATTCCAGTTGCTACTTTAGCACCAGTCTATTGTCTGAAATCCCCAGGGCACACTTGTGAAACCAGCACCAGACAAACACAGTGGAGCCACTTTTTAATGCTGTTTTGGGGAGAGAACTAATATTTGCCTTATAGGTTAACGGAGTTATGGCAGGCTTTGGCTGAAAGGAGTTTTCCTTCAGGAACTGATTTGGCCCTCAGCATATCTTAATCTTATGGTAATTGTTGGCAGTCCGGGGTGGGGTTCAGTGCTGGAATCTTACCCTTCATTTTCCACTCCCCTCCTTGCCCCAGGGGTTCTGATGACTAACGCATGTACAGAGAGAACTGAACCAGTTGGGACAAAGTATCAGGTTTATTAAGTATAAAGCTTCCTAGTATTGTTTTACTATGCAAAGTGAAATTTCCTATTTCTTCCCCTTGAAATGAAGACTGCAGGCTGACAAAGCAAGGTTGATCTGATATATCTACCCAGTATTAGGCTCAAAAGCTGGGCCAGAGAGAAGAAACTAGGAAGAGGCAACAGGCAGTGGAGAGGAGAGCTCACTATAATTGAGGATACTGAGATCTATGAAGAGGAAAAGTGGAACCATCTTTTGAGTCACCCACTCGTGATGAGGACCAACTGACTGGCCACTCTTTTTCCACAGGGAAGGAGCAACCAGTGAGGTGGGAAATAGAGGAGCATATTCTTCACCATAGAAGGAAGAAATGAGAGTACAGAAATGTCACAGGAAATCTTCACTTTCTTGGGCAGAGGGCAAGTTACTCAGTTCTGCTACCTACTATAAAATGTAGTATTGCAAGCCCTCAAAATAGACAGGCAGATTAAGAACCATCACAGAAGCTGTAGGCAAGATAACTATATTGCAAATCCTCTGGATTGTATTCTGAGAAAAGACAAGCTATGCAGTGATAATTAGCGGCAGTGTAAGAGGAGTGGTTAGCATAGGACTTATTAATGCCCATGGAAGCCCTATCCGTGTCTGTACTTAGAAGCCATATTGAGACAGAGCAGGATTCTTATTGTCATTCACCCTCAGCTGTATGGGTTAACCCAATGGATCAGAGAGGATGATTTCACCAAAAATTATAGTGTTTCTAAATAATGTCCGCCTCTACCTTTTTAACCTTAGAACACATTATTTGGGTTGTTTTTCTGTTTGTGGTTTCCTTTGGCAACACTAAAATTAATTCATGATTCCTCACACATTGTCATCTCAGGCAAGTGGCCCAGAAGCATATCAGGTGGCCTAATCAACATGAGGTTGGAAAATTGGATGGGATTTAAATCACAAAATAGATAAACAGCAGGTGGCCTAAAATCAATAGGTTGTATTTGAGAACTATAATACTGCTGTATGTAGATGCTCATAAAAATACTGAAGAAATATTTTGATTCATATAAGATTCACAATTATTTGTGGATAGATTTGCATAGATTTTCACGCTTGACAAAACAGGTTATGACTGCTTGTGATGGCGTAGAGGAAATATGCTACATTTTTTTCAAAATAATTTAAGTGATTTGATAACATTTACCATGGAGGGTTATTTTTGGTAATTGCTTGCTGTAAGGTGTGTCTTGCTTGGAATTCAAAAATGAACAAAAGAAAGGAGTCGAAAGTCATAAATATGTTTAACAGCTGGAGAAAACAGAAGAACCACCTAGAAAGATTAAGCTCAACCAGGATTATTTCCCTTAGTTTTATGCAGTATCCTGCAGTGAATCTTGAAATTTTTTTGAGGCTCCTTTCCTTATATTAATATTTAAACTGTACTATTCAGTAGGCTAATCAAACTTTGCAAAACAGCTTAAATAAAATATCCTCTCACTACATTCGTAACAGTACCATAGATTTTTAAAAATCACATTCATGAAATAAACAATTCTGTAGGTCTTGCAAAGAAAAACAAGTTTCTTACTTCCCTACCATTTTCCCCTCCCCAGGAATAACAACTTGCAGCTCTTTGACCTGATTCTTTTGATATTTTTCTTCAATTTGTTAAATATTAATACTGAAGCAATTGCTTCTTAATTTTTTAAATTTTAGGCATTATCTGTGATCTTCACCCCCATCCCTGCACATGTGTACTTTCTTATCCTTTCCATTTTGAATATAGATATCTTGAAATTGTGGTTAGATCACTAGTGAGCTTTTATATTATCACGACATGTAATGTTATTTTTGCTAAGCTATATGGTAAACAGTGATTATTTCCCTTTTCCTCACTTGCCTTTTTCCCCCACTTAGTTTTCTTTTCTTAAATTTTATTATAAATTGACAAATTATAATTATATAAATTTGGGGTACAAAGCAATGTGATGTATACAATATGGAATGATTAAATCAAGCTAATTAACATTCCATCACATCAAATATTTACCTTTTTGTGGTAAGAACATTTAAAATTTACTCTCTTAGCAATTTTGAAAAATGTATTATTATTAACTATAGTCACCATAATGTGCAATTTAAAAAATTATTCTTCCTGTCAAACTAAAACTTTCTACTCTTTGATCAACATCTTCCTGTTCCTCCTCCATCCTCAGCCTCTGGTAACTCACCACTCTGTGAGTTCCCATTTGCTTAGCTTTCTGTATGCTTGTCATGAATCAAGCTCCGAACCTCACCAGTTTTCTAAATCTCCTCTGATGAATGAGAAGTGCTATCAATTCCATGTTTTTGGCACAGTGTCTTGAAACATCCCCTGACCTGTTCCAATCTGGAATGGTTGCTTTTATACCTGGTGCCCCACTGTCCAGGGATCCTCTTCTCCTTCATCCTGGGGATTATATTTTCCTTGTTTCTAAATAGAGACCTCATTTTTCTGAATCTTGTGTAGTTCTCATTTCTGGTTTACTGTCCTGTTCCAGTGGAGCACATACTACTGTAGCTTCTTGATAAAAAGCATATGTACAGTAAATTTTTATTAGAATTTACCTGTTTTACAATAGCGTAATCCTACCCTGATAGTTTGGTTAGGTATCAAATTGTAGGTTAGAAATAATTTTCATTCAGACAGTTAAAGACATTTCCCCATTGTTTCCTAACTTCCATGGTTACTACTGAAACATTCCAGACCCTTTTTTCCTCTGGTTATCTTTTAGGATCTTTTCTTTCTCTGTAATGTTTGGAAACTTCATGGTAATGTGACTACATGTGGGTATATTTTCATCAATTGGTCTAGACACTCAGTAGCCTATCTCAATATAGGAACCTATGTTTTTGCTTGTAGAAAAACATTTTCAAATTATTTTTATTGATTTCCCTTCTCCCACTTTTTTCTCCTGAATTTTCTATTTTATGAACATTGGATCAACTTTCTGATTCTTTAAGTTTTGTAACTGTTCTGTTGTATTTTCTTTTGTATGTTTTTCTCTCATTTATATGTGATTTTCTCAATTACATCTTTATAGATTTCTATTTTTTCATTTTGCTAGTATACATGTGTATGTGTGGACCTGTATATATGTGTGCAGGTGCTTATGTATGTGTATGACTTCTAAGAGCTCTTTGTATGTTTCTTTGCATGCTTTTAAAAATGACATAACTTGTTTTAATTTTGAGTGTGCTATGTTATCTTATCATTTTATATTATGTATTGGTTTCCTATTGCTCCTTTAAAAAATTCTCACATTTTGAGTGGTTTAAACAGCACACATGTACCATCTTACAGTTTGGGAGATCAGAAATCTACAACAGATCAGCAATGCTGGGTCCCTTCTAGAGACTCTAGAGGAGAATTGGTTTCCCTGCCTTTTCTAGCTTCTAGAGGCTACCTCTTTTCCCTGGCTTGTGGTTCCTTCCATATATCAATCTGACCTTTGCTTCTGTTGTGACATCTCCTGTTCCTCTGCTTCTATTGTTATATCTTCTTCTCTGACTGTGACCCTTGTGCCTCCCTCTTGTAAGGACCTTGTGATTACATTGGAACCCCATGAATAATCCAGGAAAATCTTCTCAAGAGCCTTAACTTAATCACAGCTGCAAAGTTCCTTTTGCCATGTAACATATTCATAGGTTCCAGGGACTAGGACATTATAGTGGGTTGAGTGGTGCCCCCCAAATAGACATATATCTATGCTCCTTTTTTTTTTTTTTTTTTTTTTTTTTTGAGATGGAGTACTCACTCTTGTCTCCCAGGCTGCAGTGCAATGGCACAATCTCGACTCACTGCAACCTCTGCCTCCTGGGTTCAAGCAGTTCTTCCACCTCAGCCTCCTGAGTAGCTAGAATTACAAGTGCACACCACCATACCTGGCTAATTTTTGTTTTTTGTTTTTTTTCTAGTAGAGATGGGGTTTCACCATGCAAGGTGGGCACATCACCTGAGGTCAGGATATCTATGTCTTAATACCCAAAACCTGTGAATGTGATCTTGTTTGGAAAAAGAATATTTTCAGATGTAATTAAGTATGTTAACAAGAGATTATCCTGGATTATCTGGGTGGGCCCTAAATCCTGTAACAAGGGTCCTTATGAGAGAAAGAAGAAGAGACACAGACACAGAGAAGGAGGAGAAGACCATGTGAAGACCAAGGTAGACACTGGAGGTGATGCCACAAGGAATGCTTGGAACCAGCAGAAGCCGGAGGAGGTGAGAAACGATTTGCCTCTAGAGCGTCCAGAGGGAGCGTAGCCCTCCCAATATCTTGATTTTGGACTTCTGGCCTCCAGAACAGTAAGACAATAAATTTCTGTTGTTTTGAGCCACCCTACTTGTGATGCTTTGCTATGGCAGCTTGAGGAAACCAATACAGATGTGGACATATTAGAGGAGGGGACATTATTCTAATTCAATGTATCAATGACATTTTCTGAAATTTTTCTCCTCCTGCTTCTTCCAAGTTATTTCATTGTTTTTCTTTGTCTCTGTCATTTTAGGAACTTGCGTCAGATGTCCAGTAATCCTTGGTTGTTGCTCATGATTATGAAAGAGTACTTAAAAGCCAATTAGATGCTCAGACCATGTGGGTGGGACTTATTGACTTCGGGTTTTAATTTAGGATGATTTTGATGGGTGACATTATTGGCAAATCTTCAATGTCAGTATATTTATGTCTTGTCTTTTAGTTGGTTGGTTTCTCCAGAGAAGAATATTTTAGTCTTCTGTTTTGATGATGTTGGCTAATGTTCTTCGGTCTAGTAGAAGAGAGCTTAAGAAGTCTTAGCATTCACTGTCTAAATTTTTTTTAAAGATTGATATCTGAATTCTCACTTGTCTTGGTGTCCTTCAGTCCAAATATCTTGTATCTTACATTCTTCAAAGAGTGGAGCCACCATCTTCTGCTGGGGTCTCGTGGACACTTGTTAAGCTCCCTTTAGTGAGGGAAGAAATTTGAGGGTCTAACTGCTTCCTAAACGTTCAGCCAGTCCTTTTACTTTTAGCCTTACTTTCATTTCAACTTACAGGGCTTGTAGTGGTCCCAATTTCTAAGACTTTCAGAAATATTATGGTGTTGAACAGGTGGCTTCTTGACCTTCCACAAATGGCTTAGGATTCTACTTACTTGAGTCTGATAATTCAGTTATTACTCAGTTATCTGCTTTACAGTTTTCAAAGCTGTATTGCTGTGTTTCCTGTATTGTTCTTTGTCTTTTAGACATATGTTCTTTAAACATTAATTTACTATTGTTATTGTGGAGTTTTGGAAAAGAGCAAAAGTAAATATTCATGTTTATACCACCACCTTTAACCAGAAATTCCATAAAAAAGACATATTTCTTAGACTTGTCATTGTTACTGATTAGGTCCATTCAATGTCAGGACTTTTGGGGTTGTGTTTTTATTATTTATTAAATGTTTCCACTTTTATTTTCCTACAGAATCTGATTTTTAAAATATCTTGATTATTCTTTCAAAACTTTTAACCATCTTAATATATATTCATTGTAGAAAGATTAGAATATTCTAATAAACAAAAAGAAAAATCATTTGTAATCCCAAGACCGGAGATAGTTTCTGTTGACACTTTCATGTGTTCCTTTGATTTTCGTCCTCAATTTTGTATATTTTATACAAAAGTATCATAATGTACATATTGCTTTAGTAATCTGTTTTTTCATTTAATATTTCAAAACAACATATTGTTTTTGATTGTGAGGATTTTATTCAGTTTTGTGGATTCATGAGTAGATGGGCACAATACTTTGGAAATCCTTGATCCTAACTCTTTGAACTGAGCCACGCTTGTAAGTCTCCTGTCATCTCTCAGTGCATCTATTAGAGGTTTTAGAGGCCTCAGCAAGAATCCACCACATACAATTATTATTTTTTTGTTTGATCATACTCATTTCTGTGGCAGTTTTTTTTAAAGTCTTGCAAGCATACTGTTTCCCTTGTTGAATGTCCTTAGAATGCCACCTAGTCTGGCCAGGGAGTGTTTACCCACAGTGTGCAATTTTATACTTTCCTACAATTACTTTGCAGTAATTTGCTCTGACACTATCTAAGCAGGTTGACTATACAGCAACGTCAGCTATCTTCACTCCAGATAGTCTACTAGCTTGAAACCAGGAATACAGGAAGACAAGAACAATGGACAAGAAATCCACGCATAGTAAGTTTGTAGTGCTGGGAAACAGCTGATCTTGTCAGGATCACTGCCTAAGGGCCATGGCCAGTTAAGACTTGATGTCAGCTATTGAAATATTTGCCCGGCCTACAGCAGTTGCTCTTTGGTATTGATGTTCAGTCACAGTAATTCTAGTAGTTGCATGCACTGTCTGGTACATTATGAGGCCAATCATATTTGATCTGGTAGTTCCATGTTTCAAATCATGATGATTGAAAATAGCTTCTGTTTTAAATGTGTACTGGCAATTGATAAAAACAGAAATGAATTTTCAGATGTTAATTTAGCTTTCCAGACTAATCGTCTTTAGTGTAAAGCAATTAGGAAAGTATCTTTGAGAGAAAGTTGAATCGTGACCAAGTAATGAAAATATAGTACTCACTGAAATAGTTTGATAACTTAAACTGGGAAGATTTGAATCAGAATTTAGGACAACTTTTATTACTAAGAAATGTGAGAAATACAGTAAGCAAATGAGTTACAGTGGTTAGGTTTATTTCTGAAGCAAAAAAACTCATGATTCTGATGACTAAACTGAGAAAAGCATTAGTTCTTTTCAAAAGGCAGTTTCAAAAGTACGACTAATCAGATTAGTTTGTATGAAATATGACATTTATTTTCCTTTTGTGACTACCATTATCCTGTCCCTGATTAACGGCATCTTTGTATCCTGTTGACAATGCAGTCACTTCATGGCTGTAAAGCCAGACACACATCTGGATAATTAAACATTTTAGTGACCCTTCGCTGCCCATTTGTGGCAACCTCCAAAATCTACTTGCTGAACTGTGGTTAAATTCTAGACCAGTCTTGCTGACTGATAATCATGACACCAAATGACATCTGCCACCATTTCTTTAGGGTTTCTGAACCTCCTCTTTCTTTCTCCTTTTAATTTTTATTGCTGTCATTTCTTCCCTTTCCTTATTCTTCTCATGTTCTTTTACTATCTCCTTTGTCTTTTATTTTGGAACCATAAGAATGATGCTTTAAGCTTTTGAATCCTGTTCCCCACAAGAGTTTAGCCAGCAGGCATTTTATGACAATATAGAAATAAACATGGCAAAGTGGAGCAGATTCTCTTTAGGTAACAGTTATGCTTTTGCTTTTTATTTGCATGCTAGAGACAAAGGATAGAATTTTTGTAGTTTATCCTCAAGTCACTAAACTGCCTTCTGTCTATGGAGGCCAAAGACAATGAGCATATCTAGTCAAATTTAGAAAATCCTTTAGAAGATAGAATGCCACCACTGCATTCTTTAATCTTCCTGGTTTTTCAGTGTGTTTTTCAGAAAAATATTCTTCCCACACACCTGTAATCTCAGCACTTTGGGAGGCCGATGTGGGAGGATCACATGAGTTCAGGGGTGTGAGACCTGCCTGGGCAAAAAGATGAAGCCCCATCTTTACAAAAAATACAAAAACTAGCTGGGCTTGGTGGCACACACCTGTAGCCCAGCTCCTCAGGACGTTGGGGTGGGAGGATCGCTTGAGTCCAGGAGGTCAAGGCTGCAGTGAGCCGTGATTGTACCACCGCACTCCAGTCCGGGGTCTCATGAGTCTTTTGAGACCCCGTCTCAAAAAATTAAACTAAAAATAAATAAAAAAGAAAAAGGAAGAGAAAAATATTCTTCTATAGCATGAGATAGTTGGCATCTCAGCCAGATGGCACTGAAAGAGTATTCAGATTCTCTGAGCAATAAAGGATGAATATAAACTTTTAATTTCTATCAACTTTTAAGCAGGTAACTGTCTCCATTTTAACAATTGCTTCTCTTCCTTGGCAACCATCTAGGTGGTCTGCATTTAGATGCAGTGGACTTCTGCTTGAAAGTGCAGTGCTATAAAGGAAAATCTTGTGCTGCTTTGTGCCGTGGTGGAAACCAGGAAATGGCCAGATGGAGGCTCAAGAAATGTGTTTATTAGGTCTTCTGACTATGCTGTATTGATAAAATGCAAAACAGTGGGTGATGGGAGTAGCCCAATCAGGTCATCTCTGAAGTTTCTGCTTTCCCAAGTAAATAGTTCAAATTCCTCTAGCAATTCCTCAGAGAAGCTATATGCCAAATCCATTGCTCAACTATAAGTGATTTTAAAGTTCAGTCTTTAGAGGTGAAGTTGGCACAGGATAGCGCTCGGTCACAGTGACCCTTAGGCAGTCAATGTCCCTCTGCTTCTCAGGCTCCCCTTTCCTCCACAGGAATCTTTTTCCTAAAAGGGTTCCCTTCAAAATTACACCCCATTCCCCTTATTTACTCAGTGCATGGAATTTAGCCAGCTATTGGTAGAAAAACAATGTGATTAAATTCACTCATATCGTAAATGTCTAATAGCCCCAACCCTCCCAAAGATATTAGCATCTTAAGAGAGCCTGGAGGTTAATTTAAGTGATTTCACTAATTGAAAGGATTTCAAACAGTAGAATGCAGTAAAATAAAGAATTTTGGACACAGTAGGGAGTCATCTGGTAACAAAGCAAGAAAGCTTTTCATTTGTTCTGAATACCAGACACAGCTTTGTACAAAAGTATGAGTATCAATCTTATGCCTTGCAGTCCTCTTTTTACTTCCCAGATTCATATTTCAAAATCACATATAATGCTACTTGCAAAATTAAATTGCTGAAGAATATATCTACTGTCTTGACTTAGGAAAAAACATGCAGAGAAATCTTTTAGCTACTGCACTGTTGCAAAAAAAATATAGAATTGGTGAGTGTAAAAGAAAAAAGTACCTATCTGAAACTCACTAGAAACAGATATCACCCTACCTCTACTTTTCAGTGAAAATGTGATCTCTCTACCCATAGCACTTCCAGTTCCATAATTAAATTCAGTTGCATTGTTAATGTACTGTTGACATTAACTTGTATCTCATATACACAAGACTGGGAATACACACATGCTAACTTGAAACAGCTGTTTGCAAAATTATTACAATATGGCATACTTCTTTTAACCATTATGTCTTCTATTTAAACATGATTTGCATCTGTAAGCGCTTATCATATACAAAATTAAGGGAAGATTTATAATGTAAAAATGAATTTTGATGTTGCATTAATATTGCATTTGGTGATAGTATGGTAGAAAAAGAAAGCAAGTAGAAATATTTGTATGGATCAGAAGCCATGCCCATTGGTCTATATGCTGGAAGGGCAGGGCCTGCATGAATATCTTCCCATATACTTTAGGCTCCAATAACTCACATCTCTAAATGGGGCAATCAGTATAGCTTTTTTCCTGGCTCCTCAATTTTTGGTGTCAAAATAGCAGACTCTTCCAGATAAGTTATGTGATACTCCCTGCTTCTTTTAATAGTCTCATTTCTGGCTAGCCGATACCTGAAATTCCACAACTAGAAATGTCTTACTTTGTCCTCTCTTAAAACTTCAGTTATGAGGGCTTGAGATATGGTTCATTTAGACATGGGCATAACTTCATCAAATCCTTTCCAGTTTTGCTAGGGGCAGGGTGGAAAGAACATCTGCTTCTTCTGAGATGAGCGAGGTATAGGGGTACAGCAAAGAGCAGGCCTGAAGCACCATAGCCCTGTGCAAACTGCAAGCCTCAGGGCCCAGCACCGGGTGTCAGCAGCTCCCTGAACTTCTAGCAGCCTCCCCATTGAGTCCAGGAGGACAACTTCCACATGTACCTGACATCTTCCCCAACTACTTCTTTCGTACTCTACCTCAATCCCAACTGTAAATATACTAAAAACCACTGAATTTTATGCTTTAAATGAGTAAACTTCATGGTAGGTAAATTGTATCTCAATAAAACAGTTACAAATAATACATATAAACAATGGGAACAAACATTTGGTACTTGCTAAACAGGGTATCAGGAAATGATGATATTAATACTATTTCTAACATAGTGCGTTGTCAAAGCCTTTTAGATAACTTCTATTTCGAGCACAATTTTTAACTCCAGAAAATGCTAGAGTTTGTTAGTGCATTTGTTTGTGTGTTTTTTTTTTTTTTATAAAAATTCATGAGTGTCTTTCCTGTGCCAGGTAATTTGTTTCTAAACTGAGAGTGCAAAGATTAAAACATAATAATGCTAAGTGAAGGAAAGCAGCCAAAAAGACCACATATTGTGTGATCTTATTTATATGAAACATCCAAGGTAGGCAAATCCATAGAAACAAAAAGCAGATTGGTGGTCACTGAAGTCTGAGGAGTGGAGGTGGGGAAAGTTGAAGAGTGACTGCTATGTTTCTTTTTGGGATGATAAAAAAGTTCTAAAGTTAGATTATCTTGATGACTGCAGAACTGTAAATATACCAAAAACTACTTAATTTTACACTTTAAATGAGTGAACTTCATGTAGGTAAATTTTATCTCAATAAAACAGTTAAAAATTTTGCATATCCACAATCAAACAAACAACTCAGTCCCTTCCGCATGGAGTTTACATTCTAGGGAGGACAAACTTAAACAGACAAAGAGAAAATGGCTGGGTTGGGGTAAACAGGGAACGCTAAAGGAATGCAAAGAAAGAATACTTTGATCAGTGTATGAGGAATCAGAGAAAGATTCCTAGAGGAGATGGCATCTGAGCTAAGAAGTAGTGAACAGAGAAAAGAATGAGAGAGAGCAATGTTTGCTGAGCCCCTACTCTACATTAGAGATTGGATAGTAGAAAGATGAATGGCTCAAGGTAATCAAATAGATGATTGTAGGTAATTATACCGTGAAAATGCAATAATGGAGGTGGACACAGAAACCATCTAAGTCAAAAAGGGGAAACGAAAATGGGTGGAGGCCAACTAGAAATTCGATTTGGAGGAAGAAAGTTATGAGCTGTAGAACTGTGATCGTGCTGGGTGTCCTCCACCCAGCGGAACCTCTGCCACAGTTTACAGGACTTAGTTATGCTGCCGCATAACTAAGGGTTATGACTTACCCCTCAGCCATACTGAGGGTCATACTGAGTCATACTGAGGGATATGACTTACCTCTCAGCCACCCATCTCAGCATTTGCCAGTGAGAAGGCCCTGTGAGATCTGAGGGCAGAGGCACGGCATGTGGCCAGAGTCCCTACTGAGAGTGATTCCCATAAGTGAACTTTACTGATCCATTTACTTTCATCAGGGTACAATGTTGCCCTGCTCTCTTTCTTTCCCCGAGTTCTCTGTAGTTTTAAAGTTTAAACTATAGTTTATCGTTCTCTCTAGTTTTGGAGCCCTCGTGACTCCACAGTCCAACATTTCCTAGTATCTTCTTATTTTGGTGATTTCTGGCAGTTGGGTTACTTGTCACCTCTTAAGAAAAGCATCTAGCAAACATCTCCCCTAACACGTCCCTCCCTGCTCTGTCACTGCCTGGCGGAGGCCTCGAAGTGCATTCCCCACATGTTCAGACGAGCACTTGGTAAAGGCATCCAGAGATATAGAACCTGTTATACTAAAGGTTTTACATACTGCTATAAATAAAAAATAAAAGGAATGTTTTAAAGGAACTAATTCGATGGATATAAGATTATTTGATACTGCTCCATTATCTATTTCATTGTGTGTGTATGTGTGTGTGCATACATTTTATCTATACATACACACACACACACACACACGTATTTATACAGTATGGATGAGTTTTTATTTGAAAATAATCCAGAATTCCTGTTTTCAAGTCTTTTATTTGACACACACTCTGCCCAGACACAAACCAGGGAAGGTTTGGCTTTGACCCAACAGTTTTGACTTTCTTGTCTGCAGAGGCAGCATAACAAGTCCATGATCAGTGGTGAAGGGAAGGCATTTATTTTCACTGTATTTGACAAGCATCCCTCCCAGGGATGCTTCCATTGGAAGAGAAATCGACTTCAAGAAGCTCAGTACTTCAAAGACTTATGATGACCCCAGGAAAGAGAAAAACACCATGTAAGCCAATCACCCACTTTGTGATTGTCCATTCTTCTGGGAAATAAGAATCTGAGATGCAATGTCTGTATCAGCCTCATCTCAGAATCCATAAATAATTCACAGAAGGTATCAATTTATTTATAGGATAGGTGGCCAAGAGAGACTTCCGGCTGTTTACCAATAGCATGGCTCTGGAAACTCCATCCTATTGAAATAATTCCTGTTCTTGGCAGGAGTAACTTGAGCTAAGGGTGTATCCACACCCTTTTAAAAACATGCCAGTGATTTTGCATAACTAATATGAACATTGAAATGGGTATTCTATAGAGGCAAGTGTGAACAGAGATCAGGTTTTCCCCTGTGGGTATGCACATGTAGTGGAAACTGATGGACCCAAATTTGTGCCATTTGATGACTAAACTCATTCTGGGCTGCAAAGGCATTGTTTCAGTTTTCTCTCATAATATTTTTAATTCAGACCAAATTTTATCTTATAAGTAGAAGAAGTAGTTGCAAATAATTCCATGCCCTGCCAATGACATAGGCACTGATTTTTAACAAAAGGCTCATAAACTCTTTTTATGATACTGTAAAACTGGAGAGCCTGTGCCCATTAAAACATAAGCTTCATGTTACATGTAATTAAGGCAAGAAGGAGAACATAAAAATGTAAGCTTTAAAATGTATCTTGTATTACATATTAAATGCACACAGAAAAATACTGCATAAGTTCCATTTCAAAGGCAAAGGTAAGGACAAGCAGGAATGATCACAGTAGATGAGTAAGCCCTTCGGTGAAAAAATCAATTTAGTAAAAAATGGGTTTCTATTTCAAGTTCTTGAGGATATACTATATTGATGATTAGAGCACATTTTCTATTTTTCCTGATTTTTAACTCAGAAAATATCATTAGAGTCACATTCACTTGCTATTTGGTTAATCTAGGTTATAATTTTTGGTCCACTAAAGACTTAAAATTATTATTTCCTTTTTCTTTGGAAATTGGACCCTCCAATGTGATTCATACTAAGAAGAGGTTGAAGAGATGTCCAAGAGCTGTCAAAGGTAGCTAGAAGGTGCTCTTATGTATCCATCCCCAAACCCAGTGGAGAAGAGCTTCCGCTGGTGTGAAGGCCTATGCTGTAGCTTCCTTTCAATCCTGCACAGACCATGATGTACCTCATGGACTATCCTCGGCTGCACTGCATTCAGTGTTGGCATTTTGCACTCTTATTTCTGTGTATTTATTGAAAACGGACACAAGAATTCTGAACCCCAGATATCCAGCTATTAACGTAAAAAAGATCTACTGGAAACCAAACAACCTCTTATACCTAAGTGGAGATTAGTGGATACATGGTTATATTACAAGTTACAACATATGGTTGTTTCATTTTAGTGTCCTTAAATTTTTTTCTAATATTCAAATTTATGATTTAATTTTAAAGGCATACCAATTATAGACCAAATAAAAATTTGAGACTGGAAAGAAAATTAAAATGTTTACCTGGATGGCATACACTGAGATTTCAATCTGCATATTTTGAACAGGTTTTATTATAAAAAAGAAAGTGGAAATACAATTGAACAAAATATATAAATAAATTGCATACCATCATTAAACTGTGTAGCGTAGCCCCAAAAGCTACATCAAATAGCTGCATTTCACCAGCCAACCATAAAATAAGTCACTATATAGTTGAGAATCAATTGGATACATTTTGTATTTATGAAACCATGTTACTTCTGAATTCTTATGTACCAATAATCAATTGTAAATATTTTGCTTTTAAAACATATCTAAACATTTTAATGGATTTCATAGGAATTACTCTTTCATATTATACAAAGTATATTTTTTTATTTTATATGATAAAATGAATCATGTGATGCTACACATAAATCACCTTAAGAAGACATCTTGGTTAGAGATATTAAATGTCTACTCATAACCTAATCTACAATGGAATATTTTTCCCAGATATATTACAAAAAGGGCTAGAAAAAAAGTCTTTGAAAAACAAAATTTTAAAAAGTCCTCTGCAGAGAATGCTACAGACTTGGGAGAAAATACCACGCAACATAAATCAAATCCAAAACTTAAGCTACCTAAATAGTATTACACTGTAGGAATCCTTTTATGGTGTTTTCTCTAAAAGTGACGGTTTTTATTTTGCCCCTACTATTAGTTGGTTTTAAGTAATTATTTTTATTTGCCTTTCAAATAGACTTACACAATTTAAATACTCTTAATAAATTTTCACCGTAATATTTGATTATGTATCTAGTGTGTTAAAGCATAGTGATCTGACATTTAATAGGGCCATAAAACAAATTCTTTACATTTCAGCAAGCATAAAGAAAACAAATGGAATACCATTTTAGGAGGACTGCATGGTCTATATGAATTAGAAAAAAATGAGTTCTACATCCCCCTACATCAAGTGAATGAATCATAAAAGAAATATGGAAGTTGATAATAGCAGTTACTGCAGCAATAAAAACATGATAAAAGGCTTTTTGACAGTATGAAACCTTGGAAGTTGTGCCAAATACAAAATCTTGTTTGTAGGTGCTGGCAATATCCTGTTGTTTTTAGTAGGTCTTTGGGGGTTCCCGACAAATTCTGGTTCATCCCCTTAGGCTGAAGTGATCTATTAAAATGCCTTAGTTTCCAAGAGCAATAAAAATCATTTCAACTTCAAGTACACATTAAAAAAAAAACTACAGTAGCATTTGGAGAGTAATTATTCCTTGATCCACTCAAAATGGTGGAATCTGCTATGCTATCATTTTCTGCTTGAACATGTATTTTTGAAGTTATCAGTTTATATAAGCTTACTCAGTCATTTTTGTTCATTTTAAATACATTAATAGCCACTGGTCTTGGTGAATTTGGGGGATTTTTATAAGATAAAAATTCAGATAAATTTTAGATAAAGATGATTGTTTCAGCATTTACTCACATGGAGGAGCCCTTAGGAAAATACTTAATAAGATCCTAACCCTGATTAACTAACTATCTAGGCTCTTAATCTCACTACTATATTAGATACCCCTCCCTGCTCTGCCAAAGCATTATAGCTTTGAAATAACTCTTATTTGGTTACATAATTTTGAGCCATTTCTATATTTCTTCTTGGAATTGTTCAGCGAAAGGAAACTAAAAGGCATTTCAACTGGAGAATAGTATTAGTTTTTTTTTCTCCATAAGCATTATGGGAAATATTTCTATCTCAAAAATCAGTAATTTCTTCCAACACATTCTTAAGTAGGAATCACTGCTCTGTAGAGAAGACTTCTAGGCACATGGGCAAATAACAAAAGGATAATTGAATGACCCAAATGTAAACCCAACCAGCAGGCAAATGTGAGCCCTTCTTTTTCATGTCTGTGCAGGATCTTATCTGCCTAGTTGGGTGGCTGGCAAATAGTACACTGTGCCTTTAAACACACACGCACACGCCCACCCACACACAAGATCAACAGTGATGCTTGGAAATGTTTATGCAGTTATTATTGACTTTTAATGTTATAAATGTTTTCTTTAGTTTAGTTTGGATTGGATTCTAATAAATTCTTACCAAAATAATACATTTCCTGTAAGTTTTACACCTAAAAATATGTTAAAATGCCTACTCCCATTTTTTCCCATTGAAATTAAGAACTTGCTAAATATGTACAAACACATGTGCACACGGATACACATACACATACACCTAGGTAAAATAAAATGCAGTTTCAGTTAAGGAGCAATTAAAATGATTCCTAGCATTTAAGTAAGTGTCTTATTATTATTATTTTTAAAAAGCTTGTCACTACAATACATTATCTTCATACATTTTGGTCATTGCACAGTGGGAAGTTCATCTGATCATAAACTTAAAGAATATTAGGCTTAGAAGGAACTATATAGTTAATCGTGTTTAACCATGCTATAATACTTGAATCCACATGATAATATCCCTGCCAAGTGGTCACTGTTTGCATAGATGTACATCTTCAGTAAAAAAGAAAATAAAAGATACTCTACAAACACAGACTATTACTAGTAAGACATTTATTAATGATATTATTACAATTGTTTCTAAAATCCATTATTATTTCAGCAGCGAAGAGATAAATACCAGAGTAACCTCAGTCAGATGGTAACAGTTAGGTCTAAAGAAAATTATATGAAATACTGACTGTAATACTGCTATAGAGTATACAGTATGTTAAAACATGATGGAGAGGCTGCACACATTGGTAACGTTTTATGTCATTAAAAAAATCACTGAAAATTTAAAAATGATGTTTGCATTTAAGTGTATATTAGAAAAGTTTTATTTTTAAAGTTAATTCTGTATCATTCTTCTAAAAAAATTATCATCTGTAAGATGCAGATTTGTATTGTTTATATCAAGTGATATTTGCATTTATGTAAATATAATTTAAGACAGTTAAATATAAATTCATGTTTATCTTCATATAAAAATATATATAAAAATAGAGTATTTAAAGGAGGTGGATATTCATACAAAAGAACTGATCAATCAAAATAGGTGTTTTTTTCTTGTATGGTAGTGAAAATGAGGTATTTATACATTTGGTAATTTCAGCCATGTATTGAATTAACCCTCTCAGCTTCCCACCCCACCCAAAAAAGACAAACCTCTAAAATCCATTGTAACAGTGTGATGTTATCTCACAACAAAGCATTCATATAATAAAGAAATTCACCATTTTGAACCTAAAGAGATAAAAGAAATAGTTCTCACTACTATAATTAGGTATGTATTATATGTATGCCACAGTTTAATTAAAATAATAATTTTTTGTCTAATCTAAATTTGGATTTGATACAGTTGCTCAGGAAAATCAAAATATAGATACTAGTAACATAATACTATTTGTGGACATATGCAAATGCTTGGTGGGAAAAAGCACCTATGCATTTCAGAATGCATAGTCCTTTGCAAAATATTTACATAAAATATAATTGTAATTTTAAGTTACATAGGGCTGTAATGGCAAACACAAGATTTAAGTAATATCATCAATGAAACATAGTACAGTAATACATGAGGAACTACATTTTGTTACTTACTTTAAAATTACATATTTCATTAATTCAGACTGCAGTTACCCATCGAAGTACACAGATAAGACAAGAGGGAATGTTTATGAAAAACACAAGAAGTGTAAAGTTGAATATATTGGTGTTTTAACTATAAAATATTTCATATCTCTCTCACAGAATCTCTTCAAATTCCCTTGTGGAACATTCCTGTTCTTTTCCTTTCAGTAATAAAATTTAAAAAGTATAGGAAGAAATGTTTTTCATAAGCATTAGATTCACAAAGCCTAAGCCATCATAAACATCACATTTTCTCCTGGTAAAGAATGAAAGGACAACTTCTACTTGCCAGTGGAATGTCATTGGTTTTTCTCCTTTTCAATATTGATGTACCTATAGATATGGTAAGACAACATGAAAGAGCATTATCCTTTTTTTCACATAATTTTAAGTGTCTATATTTCTCTTTATTATCACAATGCCATACCTGGCCCACAGTGGTTCTGGTTAATAATTATGCTTCAAGTAACGTTTCTCTAGGTATATCTTTCACTGTGAAATGGACTGGTGTTCAAGGTCACATCTTGAATTCATAAAGCTGTAAGAAGTGTTATCATTATTTAACTGTGTGTGTACTGGTGTGCATGCATGTGCTGGTGTGCACAAGTGT
This sequence comes from Homo sapiens, assembly GCF_000001405.40. NCBI lineage: Eukaryota > Metazoa > Chordata > Mammalia > Primates > Hominidae > Homo > Homo sapiens. The sequence continues at coordinate 121,295,758 of NC_000007.14, read as the reverse complement.
GTGTGGTCGATCCCAAATGTGTGCGATGTGCAGCGCTTGGCTCCTAGACCATTGTCCGGGTGACTAGCTCGTCTCCAGCTCCAGATTCAGCTCTCCTGCAGGGAGCCTACATAGTCCTTTTATTTGCACACATCCTGCTGAGAAGGATTTCAGAACAAACCTGATTTATTGGACCTCTGACATGATATGGCGATCGAAAATTTGTTACAGTGCCTTGTTGTAGTTTGCTTTGATTGCTGAAATATCTTCCCATGATATGATTTCTTGATCTTTTCATTTTAATAAAGTTATATTCTTTGGATAACTTTGATTTCACTACCTGTAAATGAAGAGCAAGAAAACTGTGAGGCAAAATCAAGAATATCCAATCCCTGCATAACTAACTCTCAAACTTGAACATGCATCTCTGCCACACAGATGTTGCTAAAAGGGCATGACTATGACTTACATAACCAGGAATGGCTATAACTTATGTTTCGAAAAAGACCAAGGTTAAAATTCAACTTTGTCACTTTTCTTACCTCATTGCAGCTGTCTCCAATGCAACTAAGGAACAGTCTCAGATGATTTATCTTCTAGTCTTTGTGTGTGTGTGTGTGTGTGTGTGTGTGTGTGTGTTTTCAGGCCAGGCACACTGACATACAGTTTGACATAGTACTACAATAGGAAAGGCACTGGTGTGCCTTTGCCAGGCCACTGATTCAAACATGGTACCCTAAACATGTCATGGCACTCTTCTATAAAATGGCAACTAAAACTATTTTCAGAGAAAAGAAAAAATTTTTTTCCATTGCAGACTTATAAGCTAACTGTTACTTTTAGTGGTTTTGTTGCTCTGGGCACTTAGTAAGTTATGGAATCTGGGGAGCTGCCTATGCACTATTAAACTAATAACTTCGTATATTTGGAGATATATATGTAGATTTAGTTTTAGACTTTTTTTTTTTTTTTTGCTTAGAAGGCTAAAGTAACTCCATCTTGGATGCTAATCTGCCATGTTGACTTCTGATTAACCCCAGTCCCAGGAAGGTCTGTAAGATTTCCAGTTTATCTATTGTTCCTTGTGTAAGAGCACACTTATGATAAATCCTGCCCTTAGGT